>NC_000006.12:42787272-43090303 GCF_000001405.40 Homo sapiens | reverse complement strand
CTGTTTACTCACTGGTGGGGCTATTGGGAGAAGTATTTTCCTGCTCCCTGAGGAGGCTCCTTTGATCCAGGCAGAGTGGGAAGGGGCAGAGAGCGGTGCCACCTGCACCAAGGCTAGGCTGAGCCCACGCTCTCCTACCCCTTTCTGGGTCACCAGCGGCAGCTGTGCAGTGCCTGGAAAAGGGAGTCTCTTGGAAAGGCCCAAGTAGAGACTCGCCTAAAATTGCTGTCTGGAGACAGAGCAAGCTGGCTTGGTGGCTTCCGCAGGATCTCTCAAGCCATGTTCAAAGGCCCTTCAGGCAAAGGTAAAGAGGGTAAGGAAAGACACAGGAGGCTGTACAACCCCTGAGAGCACCCCAGCCTCTTACATAGGCAGTAACAAAGGACAAGGTCCCCACCCTGTTTTTCCCAGTCCATGGCACAGCTCAGGACACTCCATCAAAACAGGGTGCAGGTGTTTATTAAATAACAGCCTTTTGTTCTAAGAAGTTTTGCTAAAGGGGAGGGGGGATAGGAGAGAGAGAGACCTTCCTACAGGTCTCCAGGGCTGTTCCAGGACCCAGCCTAGCCCCCTCCCCTCAGTACTCCTCCGGTAAGAGGCCTGGATCCCTGGGGTAGAGGAGGAGCTCAGATCGTGGGCAGAAAAGCTGCTGCGTAGCTGGGCATTTTTTTAATTGGTCAGTTTAACAACTGGTTTAATCTGCTAAAGGAACTAAACTGATAGAATGCTTTGTTCTTTGTGCTGGAACTATTAAGAGATCGACAGCATTTCCTTTTTTTCTCCCCCCTGAGGCTGTAAGACAATGTTTTCTTTGTGATTTGTTTTGTTTTTCAGGTGGCTGGAAATTAGGTTTGGATCTCAAATGCCATCCTAGCACTCTCTAAGGATCTGTTGGCCTGACAGAGCCTTCTCCCTCTTCTTCTAGGTGGGAAACAGCCCAGCTTTGTAAACAGATGAGCTACAATGGAATCAGATCACTAGAGTTGTCCCTTTGCATCCTTCATTGACAGAACATAGGTTCCCACACTGGAGTCTGAGAACCTCCAAAGCAGAAGAACAAACTCAGTGGAATCACCAAGAGTGGTCAACGGTTCAGCCAAAGAGAGATACACCTGGCACAAGAAAAGTGGCATCACCCGGAATGTCAAGGTCATGATCCAACCTCACCTGAACACTCCTGAGGGTTAAAAGACTTGACTCCAAAGTCAGAAATTAAAGGGAAATCTACATCATTAGGCCCCTACTATGAGGCAGGGCCTGGAGCACCAAGCGTGGGCACATCTACCTACACAAAAGTAGTATGAGGTGGCTAACTCTATTAACCACTATGGGGATGACTCTATTACCTCCTACGTGGTCTCCACCACAGCACTGCTCAGCATACATCTCCCAGCAGGAAGCAATAGTCTGGAATGCACCTACAAGCCAGGGCCTGCAACTGCCTGTGACCTTCCAGCAGCACCAGGAGGAGGAGGCTAAGGACTCATGGGTTCATGAGAAAAGCTCAAGCCATCGGGATTTAGGCACAGTGTTCTAGCCTTTTAGATTACATATAGTTTCACCATAACTCTTTATTTATTTATTTATTTATTTATTTATTTATTTATTTATTTTGAGATGGCGTCTCACTCTCACCCAGGTTGGAATGCAGTAGCATGATCTCAACTCACTGCAACCTCTGCCTCCCAGGCTCAAGCCATTCTCCTGCCTCAGCCTCCCGAGTAGCTGGGATTACAGGCATGCACCACCACAGCTGGCTTATTTTGTGTTTTTAGTGGAGACTGGGTTTCACCATGTTGGTCAGGCTGGTCTTGAACTCCTGACCTCATGATCCACCCGCCTCGGCCTCCCAAAGTGCTGGGATTACAGGTATGAGCCACGGCAATTGGCCACGTGTGCAGCATATCATAGCACAGTAACACCTGGACATACAAGGACTCTAAGTGAAGGCACAGGAGGGACTGGCACTCTGGTCTCAGCTTTCTACCTTTGTTTTTTGAGACAAGGTCTCTCACTGTTGCCCAGGCTGGAGTGCAGTGGTGCAATCTTGGCTCACTGTAGCCTTGACCTCCCAGGTTCAAGTGATCCTCCCACCTCAGCCTCCCAAGTAGCTGGGATCACAGGCACGTGCCACCGCTGCTGTCTAATTTTTCTTTTATTTTCTATTCCGTAGAGATGGGGTCTCGCTATGTTCCCCAGGCTAGTCTCAAATTCCTGGGCTCAAGCAATCCTCACGCCTTGGCCTCCCAAAGTGCTAGGATTACAGGTGTGAACCACCACACTGGCTTCAGCCCTATTCCTCACCAGCTCTGTAGTGCTAGGCAGATCGTACTTTTGTGCCTCAGTTTCTTTCCCTGTCAAATACTCTCCCTCCTAAATCTTTACAGCACCCTTTGCACCCAGAAAATTATACCCTAATACCCACATCACCAGTTGGTCAAGTCTAAACACATCTGTGCCCACGCACTAGAGACTCCAGAATAAAAAGCAGCCCTTAGATTAAAGTGCTCTCCCTAAACCCAGGGTAAGGAGAGCCTGTAAGGTGTGGCAGAAACAAGGCTGGAGATGCCACACTGAGTGAGCCTCAGCAAGGGCCCTCCAAGGTCTTCTGTTCTGAAGTTGAAGCCTGGAGAAGAGGATGGGACCTGCCCATGGTCACACAGGCAGTTTTAGGCAAATGTGGAAGGAGAGTCCATGTCTTCCAACACTGACCCTAGTGCTCCTCCTGGTGCTTCCTCAGGCTCAAGAGGTATGAACATCACCAGGATACCCAGCGCTGGAGCTCAGCAAGACCCAAGACCTGCCTTTGGGACTGAGGTCCTGCCACTTCTCTTGCAGGAATTCCTCTAAATCAGGAATGCCCACACACTTTACCTGGAGACCCTAGTGTCCCCAGGGAGAGAGGAAACAAGAGAAAGGAAAACTGAAAGCTCCTAAATAAAATGTGAAATAAACTCTGCGGCCCACTCTTCCCAAGGATTCTGCCAGCCTTCCACACCAATTATCACATAAGGCTAGGAGCCTGTATCTGCAAGACAGCAAAATCCTCTCACAGGGAAGGGGCCCAGAAATAGGTCAAGACTTCAGCAGCCACAGATATACAATGTGGGGTGGGTACAGTAATGGGGCTCCACCCTCACCGGCTTCTCCTATTGTATGTTACAGGCAGGATTGCCCCATCCCACCACCATAGGAGGCAGAACAGTAGTGAAGAGGGCTCACTTGAAACATGACTTTAGAACAGAGGCATCAAAATCATCTTGGCCCATCAGCTGGGAAACAAAGAGCCACAGCTGCAAGGCCTTCATGCCAATGGAACAGCCACCTTTGACTGTACAGGTTGTGCACTGCTCAAGATGTCTGACCAAAGAGTCAACACTGAAATACTGCCTGAACCCTGGTGCAGGACTGCATCTACCTGGAGGAAGGGTTTTTTTGTTGTTGTTTTTTTGTTTTTTTGAGATAGGGTCTCGCTCAGGTGCCCAGGCTGGAGTGCAGTGGTGCAATCACATCACAGCTCACCCACTTCAGCTCTGACCTCCCAGGCTCAAGCAATCCTCCTGCCTCAGCCTTTGAGTAGCTGAGACTACAGGCGTGCACCACCACACCCAGCTAGTTTTTTTGTATTTTTTGTAAAGACAGGGTTTCATCTTGTTGCCTAGGCTGGTCTCAAACTCCTGAGCTCAAGTGATCCACTTGCCTCTGCCTCCCAAGTGCTGGGATTACAGGCGTAAGCCACTGCGCCCACGACTGGGAGTACTTATTTGTAATGTGCACAAAGGTACCATACGAGCTAGCTGCTGGGACACCTCAGCAGTCCCAAAGCAGACAAGCGTTCCCCTCATTGCCCCGCCACCACCCCAAGGAGGAGACAAAAAAAAAAAAAAGCCAGAGTGTCTCCTGGAGGGGAGGTTGTACATGATAGTGCCCATGCGGGCCCCCATAACCACCCCCAGGGAGAGCCCACTGCCCTTGGCCACACAGAATCTCAGGAACCTCCCCACAGCACAGACAGAAGTTCCCACAAATTAACAGAGTCGCTGACTGGGGAAACCCCCACAGTCATCCAGTGATTATAAAAACCCCTCCCTTGGGTATCATAAAAGTCTGCCTAGGCTGCCTGAAGCACAGTTCACTACCCACTCCCTGAGAACCTCAGCATGCCAGGAGAGACAGTGGCCCTGAACCAGCACCAACCCACCCCTTGGGAGAATCTGCTATTGAGACAAAGAGAGAGGGAGAATTCCCACCAGGAAAATGTGGCTGTGTGTGGCTCCCACATTTCTGGGCTGCTGTTGGAATACTGAGACCCATTTAGAAAACTTGTGCTTTTGAATGAGGAAGCCATGTTTTTTTTTTTTTTTTTTTTTGAGACAGAGTTTCGCTCTTGTTGCCCAGGCTGGAGTGCAGTGGCGCAATCTCAGCTCACCACAACCTCGGCCTCCCGGGTTCAAGCGATTCTCCTGCCTCAGCCTCCTGAGTAGCTGGGATTACGGGCATGCGCCACCACACCCGGCTAATTTTATATTTTTACTAGAGATGGGGTTTCTGCATTTTGGTCAGGCTGGTCTCGAACTCCCGACCTCAGGTGATCCACATGCCTCAGCCTCCCAAAGTGCTGGGATTACAGGCGTGAGCCACCGCACCCAGCCCAAATGAGAAAACCATTTCTAAGGCTGCTAGTCAAGAGGGACTTTGTTGAGCCTTTGGCAAACCATTCTAGGGTCCGAAGGCTGGAAATAAAGGCTGACACCTCTGGCCAGGCACAGTGGCTTATGCCTGTAATCCCAGCACTTTGGGAGGCTGAGGCAGGTGGATCACGAGGTCAGAAGTTCAAGACCAGCCTGACCAATATGGTGAAACTCCGTCTCTACTGAAAATACAAAAATTAGCCGGGCATGGTGGCGGGCACCTATAATCCCAGCTACTCGGGAGGCTGAGGGAGGAGAATGGCGCGAACCCGGGAGGTGGAGATCGCACTACTGCACTCCAGCCTGGGCGACAGAGAGAAACTCCATCTCAAAAAAGAAAGGCTGACCCCTCAAAAGGAAACGGCTGGCCAGGACAGTCTCTGGGAAGAACCATCAGGGCTAGCCAGAGGGGCTGCTTCCCAGGGGTCACCCATTTCCACAGTTGAAGAGCATTATATCACAACTTCACAGGGGCCAGCAAGGCAGGCAACAGCATCACTTGCATTGTGCTCACGAGGAAACTGAGGCTCAGAAAGGTTAACTAACCAGCTCAGGGTCATGTGGGTATGCAGCAATTGAGCCAGGACCAGAATACAGAAAAACTGGTGTCACAGGTCTATAGATGTCTCTTCTATTACTTCATCACTTGTGGCTGCCATGTGATATTAGAACAGTACCACCCAGGTTTTCAGAATCCTGGTCCGATGACTTTACATCATTCTGAGGCCGTCACTGACTACATCTATTCATCATTCTGAGGCCGTCACTGACTACATCTATTCAGCAATGTAGGGTCTTCTCTCCTCTCTGAAGCCCTCCCACCCCCTATTTGCTCCTACATCTCAGACTTACCATCCCACACATTCTAGAATGTTCTTCTATTCTACTTAGCACTTTACCAAATGGTGTCTTTCATACTTCATCTGATTCACGTTTCTCCATCTTGTCTTCTTCCTGCATTCCATGCCTCCTCAGACAGCTTCACCCATAGAAGACACTGAAGCACTTTGAATGAACTCCCTCCTAAGCCCCCCACTATTAATATCACCCTTTTTCTCAACACCACACCTCCGCTTCAGACTGATAAATTCTCCTTATGGCTACCCAGTGGTTCTCACACTTAAGCGTAGGTAAGAATCTCCAGGAAGCTCTTTATAAATGCAGTTTCCAGGCTGGGCGTGATGGCTTACGCCTGTAATCCCAACACTTTGGCAAGCAGAGGCAGAAGGATAGCTTGAGCCCAGGAGTTCAACACCAGCCTGGGCAACACAGCAAGACCTCGCCTCTATTAAAAATAAAAAATAAATTTAAAAAACTAGCCAGGTATGGTGGCATGCACCTGTGGTCCCAGCTACTTGGGAGGCGGAGGCGGGAGAATCACTTGAGCCCAACAGGACAAGGCTGCAGTGAGCTGTGATTGCACCACTGTACTCCAACCTGGGTGACAGAGTGAGACCCTGTCTCAAAAATAAATAAATAAAAATTAAAATGCAGTTTCCTTTTGAAATCTGGCCTATGTAACTGGATCAGCTATTCAAAAACAGCAACATAATCTAACAAATAAATAAAATGCATTTTCTGGCCTCTCCCTCAATAATTCTGATGGGCAGGTCTGCAGTAAGGCCCAGGAAACTAAACTTTTCATCAATACTTTGGTGACCTGCCCTATACTCTCCACTCTAATTTGAGAAACACATATCTACACCTTCCTAATATGTAACTTACAATCCCTACCCTGCGACTCGGGACTTTGTCTTCAGAAATTACATACACACCTAAACCTGTGAGTGCATATCCCGCTTATCAAGGCTTACACTTCTAACAGGGGCTTGGGATCTGCAGGACACCTGGTGGATGACGTTCTAGTCACCTGAGCGTTCACTCAACACATACCCCAGTTAATGCACACAGCAGATGAGAGTTTAGCAATGTAAAACCAAGTTGCGAGAGGGGAAAGGCGCCTGTGTGTGTGTCAGCCCTTCGAACCAAGCTTCCTCCCTGCCCCACTGCTGTCTGTGTAACATTATTGGGAGGGAAACGGCCTAAATGCAGAGAAGAAAAGAGGATGGAAAAAGTGACATACTACAGAGGGCTTCCTCAAACCGCTGATTAGCTGTGGCATCTCTCAGGCCAGCTCCACCAAAGCGCCAGGGGGCTCAGCAGTGAACTCAAGAGAATTCCAACATAGGACTCTAACCAGCTACAATGGCAGGACTTTCACACCCTCAGAAGAAGGACCAGGCAGATGGGGGCCAGAGCAGGAATCAGGAGAAGGGCAGGCGGCAGCTCCAGGGCAAGGTGAGGGCCAGTGCCAGCAACTGTGGCCCCAAGCCTGTAACCCCACCACGTGGCTCTGGCCAGGGGTAGTGCCCAGGCACAGCAGCAGAGAGGCATCTACTGAGGTTAGGGAGAGCAGGAGGTTGAGGGACACAGGCCAAGGACACCCAACCTTGTTTAATGACCCTTTCTTCCATCAGGAAAACACCAAAGACTGAATCCTTGGCCCCAAACTGCTCTTGGCTCCAACACTAGAGTCTGAACCGGCCAACCTCTATCCCAGACGAGTCTCACAGAAGCTGCATTGGCTTAAACACAGACTCACACAAACCCCCTCACTCCAGAATATGAAATGCTCCAAAGACTAACAACACTACAGCTGTCAAAGCCCAGCGGAGACATGCCTCCCTTTATGAGCCAAATGTATTCCTGAAAAGTTGTCTGTCGACCAAATTTCTGCCTAACAAATCCAGTTTCTCCACTGGCTTTCGTTATAAAATCAGCCGTATTCTCCTCTAGGAAAAGCTGAGGTTCTGAGAGGAGCTAAACATCAGGCTGAATATTGCAGACTTCCTAGAGTCACACATTTAATGGAGAAATTTCTTGACAAAATCTAATTCAATTTAAACCCAAAGGAGGTAATATTAAAGCGTACACATCACCCCAAGGAGTGTTCGCATAAAGTGAGTTATTTAAAGCAAATCTTCAAATACTGTGCAGCATCTCAGCTCCCAATTTATACTGTTGCAACAGGAAAGCTCTGTGCCTTGAGATTCTGTATAAAGAAGGATGCCTAGGCCAGGACTTCTGGAACTCTGGGGTACAGAGTCACCTGAGCATCTTGTTAAAATGCAGATTGCAGCAGGGCACGGTGGCTCACGCCTGTAATCCCAGCACTTTGGGAGGCTGAGGTGGGCGGATCATGAAGTCAGGAGTTCGAGACCAGCCTGACCAACATGGTGAAACCCTGTCTCTACTAAAAATACAAAAAAATTAGCCTGGCGTGGTGGTGCGCGCCTGTAATCCCAGCTGCTCAGGAGGCTGAGGCAGGAGAATCGCTTGAACCCAGGAGGTGGAGGTTGCAGTGAGCCAAGATCGTGCCACTGCACTTCAGCCTGGGCGACAGAGTGAGACTCCATCTCAAAAAGAATAAATAAATAAATTGCAGATTGCGATTCTGATTCATGCTCCCAGGAATGCTGATGCCACGTGGCCCTGGGTCTTTCTTCAAGTAGCACAGTTATAGATACTCTAGGCCCCTACCCAGTTCTCTGAGGAAGCAACTTTAGCACCAGTTTTTAAGTTGCAGTCAGCTTCATACGTAGCGGTGCTTACCCACGCACAGAACTTGGAGAAAGCTAGAAGACCCACCACATCAAAACTGAGAAAAACCACCACCAAAACCAGCCAGCCCAGGATCAGGGAAGGAAGGTCTGATCCTTAATTTGGTCACCGTAGAGCAGGCGCAAGGAGGAACAGGCAACCCCAACTCAAAGAAGCTGGGGAGGGTGCAAAAGACTCCCCATGCCTAGGATGCAAGGGGATATTTAACTCCACCCTTGATCATTCTGCCCTGCACCCAAATGGTTCATTCACTTTTTAAATAAACCTATATGAGGACCTGTTATATCGGCTGGGTGCAGTGGCTCACGCCTGTAATCCCAGCACTTTGGGAGGCTGAAGTGGGCAGATCACCTGAGGTCAGGAGTTCGAGACCAGCCTGGCCAACATGGGGAAACCCCGTCTCTATTAAAAATACAAAAATTAGCTGGGTGCAGTGGCACACACCTGTAAACCCAGGTACTCAGGAGGCTGAGGTAGGAGAATCACTTGAACCTGGGAGGTAGAGGTTGCAGTGAACCAAGATCGTGCCAATGCCTCCAGCCTGGGAGACACAGGCAGACTCCATTTCAAAAAAAACAAAAACAAACAAACAACAAACAAAAAAACCACCTACATAAGAACCCATTATAAATAAGTACTGTACTAAACTCTATGGGAGAGCCCCTCAGTAAATTAAAACAAAACCCAATAGGGGCAAAAATATGGATGGTGTCGCAAGAATGACAGTCCAGAAGTTCTACAGTGTCTACCTTCTGGCAGGAGAGATAGGACAGCTTCAGGGAAGAAGAGGCGGTGGGGCTGGGCAACAGAGAGACAGGAGAAGGCAATGTACAACCGGGGACTGGCCCGAAGGAAAGAAAGGTGGGAGAAAACCAGATATGTGTTAGGAGATGGCAAATATTCCAGCTGGACTGGAATGGAGGGTCCCAGTAGGTAAAATGTCTATTGTTGGGAATGACTGTAAAGCTGAAGGAATCTTTGAAGCACACCACAGAGGGAAGACCAAGAAAGGGCTGTGTGTGTGTGTGTGTGTGTGTATTTTTTTTTTTTGAGACGGAGTCTCGTTCCGTCGCCCAGGCTGGAGTGCAGCGGCGCGATCTCGGCTCACTGCAACCTCCACCTCCCGGGTTCAAGTGATTCTCCTGCCTCAGCCTCCTGAGTAGATGGGATTAGAGGTGTGTGCCACCACACCCAGCTAATTTTTGTATTCTTAGTAGAGACGGGGCTTCACCATGTTGTCCAGGCTGGTCTTGAACTCCTGACCTCAGGTGATCCGCCTGCCTTGGCCTCCCAAAGTGCTGGGATTACAGATGTGAGCCACTGCACCCGGCCTACTTCATTATACTTAATCCTCAGCACAACTCTAGGATGTCCCTTTATAGAAGAGGCTGAGAAGCTAAGAGGTTCATCCAGGGCCACAGGGCCTGCCAATGAGTCTGAGTTGCTGCTTTGCCAGATATACTCCTTATCCCTGGGCTCCACATCCCTCAACAGAGGATCAAAAACACTGGGGGAAGATAAAAATTAAAAACAATACAACAATAAAAAAGAATACAAATTAAAGAATACAACAGTTATTTACATAGCATTTCCATTGTAATAGGTATTACAAGTAATTTACAGATTTTTTTGTTTTTTTTGAGACAGAGTCTCGCTCTGACACCCAGGCTGGAGTGCAGTGGTGCAATCTCGGCTCACTGCAAGCTCTGCCTCCCGGGTTCACGCCATTCTCCTGCCTCAGCCTCCCAAGTAGCTGGGACTACAGGCGCCTGCCACCACGCCTGGCTAATTTTTTGTATTTTTAGTAGAGATGGGGTTTCACCATGTTAGCCAGGATGGTCTCGCTCTCCTAACCTCATGATCCGCCCACCTCAGCCTCCCAAAGTGCTGGGATTACAGGCGTGAGCCACTGCATCCTGCCCTTTTTTTTTTTTTTTTTTTTGAACTCTGTCACCCAGACCGAAGTGCAGTGACACAATCATGGCTTACTGTAGCCTCAACCTGCTGGGCTCAGGCAATACTCCCACCTCAGTCTCCTGGGCAGCTGGGACCACAGGCACGTGCCACCATGCCTGGCAATTTTTTTTTTTTTTTTGTACAGGTGGAGGTCTCATTGTGTTGCCAAGGCTGGTCTTGAGCCCCTGGGCTCAAGCGATCCTCCTCCCTCTGCCTCCCAAAGTGGTGGGATAACAGGCGTAAACCTGGCCCTTAGAGATGATTTAAAGTATACAGGAGAAGCTGGGCATAGTGGATCATGCCTGTAATCCTCATACTTTAGAGCACTGAGGCAGGAAGACTGCTTGAGCCCAGGAATTTGAGGCTTCAGTGAGCCAAGATTGTGCCACTGCACTCTAGCCTGGGTGATAGAGGAGACCCTGTCTCATAACAAAACAAAACAAAAGTATACAGGGAAGTTGTGTGTACGTTATATGTAAATACGACACCATTTTATATAAGAGACTTGAGCACCCTTGGATTTTTTTTTTTTTTTGAGACGGAGTCTCGCTCTGTCACCCAAGCTGGAGTGCAGTGGCACGATCTCGGCACGATCTCGCCCAAGCTGGAGTGCAGTGGCACGATCACTGCAAGCTCCACCTCCCGGGTTCAGGCCATTCTCCTGTCTCAGCCTCCCGAGTAGCTGGGACTACGGGCACCCGCCACCACGCCTGGCTAATTTTTTGTATTTTTAGTAGAGACAGGGTTTCACCGTGTTAGCCAGGATGGTCTCAATCTCCTGACCTCATGATCCGCCCGCCTCGGCCTCCCAAAGTGCTGGGATTACAGGCGTGAGCCACCAGGCCTGGCCGCACCCTTGGATTTTGTTATTCTCAGGGAGTCCTATTCCAATTCCCTGCAGATGCCAAGGAAGGACCATACTTTATCTCCATTGCTTGAGCTCTGTCCACCACTCAATGCTGCTCTGAACACCAGGAGTTTGAGTATATCATTTGACAAGTGACAAGAAGAGCACCCTTGCCCTGCCACCATACTTCCCAACAGCTGAGAAAAGCCATCACTAATAAAAGCAACTCCTAGGCCTGAATTACAGGCTGCAGAGCCTTGAGGAATCTGCAGACAGCCTATCCCAGAACATGACGACTCAATTTCCCCAAAGAAACAAGAGCCCGGAGGAAAGAAACCAGGGAGGGGGATGGGAATTGGAATGAGAAGTGACCACAGCTGACTGTACAAGAGGTTGGGGTTAAGAATCCATAGTTTCAAACATCAAGCCTCCTCCTCCTCCACCATATTTATTACAACAGCATCTCAAAGTTTGGAAAGTAACTCTGCCATTTATGGCATAATTACCCAGACTTTAAAATGGTCTAATCCACAAACCTAGCCAGCCTAGGTTCCTTACTCCAGCCTTATTAACAGTGGGATCTCACTACAACTCCAGTTAATTACACAATTAAACAATGAGATGCAAACATCTACTGTGATCTATTAAAAAACCGTTGCCCCTGAAGTCATGCGTCTGGGGGTGGGTTGAGTCCCAGGATTTCACTAGAAGACAGCAGGCGCCTCGGCCTCCACTGAAATTGTTTACAGCACATGGACAGGTTCCACAACAAGGCACATTTGGTGGAATTGATTTAAGGCTCTCATTAAAATGTTCCTTTGTTGAGCACAAGACATCCCCCCACCCCTGAGGAGACTACAGACCTCCTGTCCTAAGCCCTCAGCCTGCCCTAACTTCCCCCAACAGGATCCCCCACACACACGCGCGCACACACACTAAACACCAACCAGTCACCAGATTAAGTCAATTAACATCAGAGTCATCTTCTCATGGAAGGAATTTAGGAATTCAGCATTTGTTGAGCAAGAGCCCCATCTTCACCAGAAACTCCCCTTGACTCTAGTACCCTGAACAGCAGCAGTGAAGGCAGCCTCATTGGGCAGACCCACACACCAAAACCCAACCAGGACAGCCAGGGGGCCTGTGAGCTTGGGCTGCTCGCCCAGATGGCTGGGCCCCCATCCTGGCTGTGCAAAAAAACTTCCATACTTCCTCTGGGAGCAGATGTGGATTCTGCCACGAGCAATAACCACCACACACATCACAAGAAAAACGGGGCAACTCCAGAAACACCTCCTCCAAATCCCTGGAGATTGGTCTCTTTCCTGGGTTACATTTACCTCTCCTTTTACAACTGGGGGCAGGGGAGATGTTGATTCCACCAGCACCAAAACCCCTCCACAGCTGGCAGGCCAGAAAGATATTAGAAAGGCAATTCCTTACCCATGCCCTTCCCATTGCCACCTTCAAAGGAGATGGAAGGTGATCACCTAGGACAGGTCTCCTCGACAGAGCTCCCCAAGAGAAAGCTGCTTCGAGGACCACCAAGGAGTGTTGTGGAGGGTCGGGGGCTTTATTTCCAGTCCGGGCTATTTGGGATGTGCGGGTGGCTTGGTGCTTTCCTGTAAGGCACTTCAACACCTCAGTGATGACTCTTAGGTGTGACCAAGCCAGGAAATAAAAGCTGCGGGAGTTGGGGGGGCGGTGCTGTCTGCCCTGGTGATGAGGGCCACACCCTCGTTAAAATGCTAAGGCCCCCCCCCAAGAAAAGCCAGAATGAGCTCTTTTTGCCTTTCTTCCCTTAGAAATACTTCCTTTCCTCTGTGAGGACAGTCAGGATGGAAATCCAGGAAGGAGCAGAACAAACCCCGTCCGCACCTTTGCAGCCAGGCCATGCCCGATTTTGGCAGCGGCCTTCACACATTAGTCACCGCGACAGCCTGGGACCCTCGGATCCCCGGATTCGGCCCTGGCACGGAGTGGGCGCAGGGTTCCAGACCAGTAGCTAGAGGCCATGGATGGGGGCGGCCCCTAACTCTTCCCTTCTTCCGCCCTCACCCGCAGGGCCATCTGGGGTCTCAGCTTTGCCCAGGAACTCGGAGGAGGGAAGCCGGGAACGTCGGGTCGGCGTAGGTAACAAAGCTCCGCGCTTTGCGCGCCGCAGGTCTGTCCGGCATCGGGCCCCAAACCAGCAACTCTTACCTGGGCCGACCCTGCCGGGTGGGGTGGGGAATTCCTTTTTCTCCATCGCGCTCCCCACGGTGGGTGCGGATGGTCTTTTCTCCCCCGACAAGAAACTCCCCATCTGGGCCCGAGAGCCAGCAACTCTCGGCAGTTCTCGAGCAAACTCTCGGCTCAGACCAGAAAAACTCAGGGAGGCTGGAAATGCGTCCCCGCGGCGCGAGTGGGAGGGGTACCCTGACCGCGTCCCTGGAGGCTTCGCCAGCCTCCCGACACCCGGGCTCCTTGCGCCCTTCCGCCGCAAGCCTGCACCCCCAGCGAGCCTCTCCACTACTCCAGGGCCGTTCCAGCCGCCCAAACCCACCGCCCCGGGCGCAGCCTTTTGCCCACGGGACTCCCGCGCTTCCCAAGCTCTGTGCCCCCAACTCTCGGGTACTCACCGCCCAGCAGCGGCAGCAGCAGGACGCTGAGCAGAGGCAACCGGCGGGGTCTGGCCGGGGATCCCCGCGCAGCTCCCATCGCGGCGGGCTCAGGAAAAGGAGCTGAGGGCGCACGGCGGGCGCGCAGACTGCGCTCCGCGGCGGGCACAGGAGGCGGAGCGCACCGGAGCGCGGGCGCCGCAGCAGCAGCCGCAGCCGGAGCCCGACCCCGAGGCGTCCCGAGGCGTCCCGAGCCGGAGCCGCGCGCGCCCAGTACCTCCGAGTCCCCGCGCGCCGCCGCCGCCGCCGCCAAGCCCCGCCCCACGACGCCCCCTCCCCTCCGGCCCCCGCACGGCGCCCCGCCCCCTCGACGCCCCCTCCTCGCCGAGGCGGGGAGGAGCTCAGTAGGGGGAGGGGTCTGGAGAGGGATGGAGAATAGAGAGAGCAAGGCTCAGGGAAGTGCAGGGGACCTGAGTATTTGCTGTACCCACCACCGACTCTGCAGGGATCCGGGAGAACCTAAGTGACTTGTGCGATTCCGTGGACCCTGGGGAGAATGGTCCATTCTGGGCATACCTGGAGGCTCTGGCCAACAGTTCCCCCAGAATTCTCCAGGTGGGGGCAGGGGAAGAGGCGGGCCCCGCCAACTCTTCAGCAACCCAAAATCTTAACGGCAGACCCAGAACAGCAGGGTGTCCTTAATGTCCCCAAGTAACCTGAAGATGCTGTGTAGCCCGGAGAGGGGCTGAAGTGTGCATGACTGGGGTCTGGTTTGGCTGTAGACCAATCTGAACCCAAAGGTAGAAACACGCTGGGCTCTGAAAGCCAGGCTGAAGTCTGCTAACTGACAAATTCATCCCAAGTCCATCTCCAGGCAGTCTGGGCTGTGTCAGGGTATGGCCAAGTCTCCAGCTGTGGGGAGGCCCAGCACAACCCTTGTTCCAGGCACCCCCACCCCCAGCGCCACCACCCCCACATTCTTTCTTTGTTGTGAAAGCAGCAAGGGGTGTAGGAGGCGGGTCAGGAGGAGTCAAGCTTTAGAAGATGGGCCCCAGCTGCTGCTCAGGCCTCCAAGATATGCTGAGAGGGGATGGATAGTGCCTTGTCTCCCCTCTGGTTCCGGAGGGCCCCCCAGGCCTGTTTAGACCTCCCTTCCCCCAAGCAGCTGGGAGGAGGAATGGCAGCCACAGAGGGCCTCACAGCCAGGAGAAGTGGCGCCAGGACTCCAGGGTCCTGCCACATGGCCACCACATGTCCCTGACAACCCAGTCCACAGCACCTTCTCCTTGGGTTGTGAGCCTCCTTCTTCCCCATCCCCCAGATGCCTTCCTACAGGCCCTGCTGGAGATGATACAAACAACGGGAGGAAGAGAGGAGAGATCCAAGAATCAACACTCCTCCTGCTGCTCCATCCATCACTGCCCCTCACCTTCTGTGAAGGGCCCCAACACAAGCCCTGCTTCATACCCTCTTCAATCAGGACTCAAGTCACAGAAAGGTTACCTGATTCTTTTATTTAAGAAAAGTGAAATACATGGACCTGAAGTGAGACAGCAGAGGGAGGGAGTAAGAGCGGCCAGGGCAAGGCAGCTTGGCTGGCCAGCCCCCAACCCTCTGACTGAAAAGCCAGCAGCAGGCTGCATCTCTGAGGGCCATACCTGCTTTGTACCCACCTTGGGGCCTCAGAGCTAGCTACTCTAGAGGACCACAGGGTGCAGAGAGGGTGTCCTGAGGGTCCTTCCTAAGAGGGATTCCTGAGGAGGGAGCTGAGACCCTAAGGGCAGCAGCAATCTTCTGGTTAAACTGCTCCCCTTCACTGTCCCACCTAGGGGTGGGGAAGAGCCAGGAGCAATGGGGAATGCTGTGAGGGCTGTGGGGGTGGGGGGACCCAGCAGACCTGGGGGCCGGGTTGAATGTCAGCTGCTTGAAGAGAGGTCCATGGTGCTGGCACTGAGGCCCCGGGAGACCTGAAACAGACAACACTACCCCATCAGCTCAGGGACCTCGGCCTCCCAAAGACTGGCTCCTAGAGTCCATCCATCCCATGGTCACAGTGTATCTCTGGACCTAGGATCACATCTGTCTCTGGACCAGTCTATCTCTGGACCTGGGACTTTGTTTAGCCTCTGCTAGGGTTTTCCAGAAGGCCACAATCTGGTGGAGAAGCTACCTGGAAGAACCACATGAATACTGGCATATACTTGTGTGTTGATACAAGAAGTCATTTGCCATTAAAATATCACTAGTGTTTTCTCAGATGGGGATTATTTAATACTTTTCTTTTTCCATTCTCATCTACTACTAAGGCGGCTGCAGGATGAAAAAATAATTCGTATCTCCAAATAATTCTTAAATTATTCATAATTCCAAAGTACCAGTTTACAGAATATTCCTATTTCCCTCCTTATTAACTTATTTGCTACTATGTCTGGCCTGAAACTGTCCCTTGGTGGTCAGCACTCACCACAAGCTATCTGCCTGATTCCTTAATGACTGCAATCCCCTGGCTCATCTTCATCCCAGATGACTCCTCTCCCTTCCCTCTTCCCTTACTCCACTGGGCTTGCTCACTGGCTGTCCTTTTTTCCTCACCCACCAATATGCTCACAAGCACTGCTCTCACCTGGAGGGGTGCTGCACTAGGTTGGTTCAGATAGTTCAAGGAGGCTGCTCGCTTCATGTTGCTGCTACAATGGAAAACGGAAGAATTGAGGCCTCCTCTCTTCCTCCTGAGTGGCCTTAAGGCTGTGGGCCTCTTGAGCACTGCCACACTGGGGCACCCATTCTACCCAAACTCTCTCTCCATGGCTGGCCCGTTGACTTCCTCCCTGTTTCTCTCCGAGATACTTCTCCAGAGATCAGGAGCCAAGAGGAGTTGGAGGCAAGGGCTTACTTTACTTGCCTGCTTTACCATATCTTTTTTTTTTTTCTTTTTTTTTTTGAGACGGAGTCTCGCTGTTGTCGCCTGGGCTGGAGTGCAATGGCATGATCTTGGCTCCCTGCAACCTCTGCCTCCTGGGTTCCAGCAATTCTCCTGCCTCAGCCTCCCAAGTAGCTGAGATTACAGGCACCTGCCACCACACCCGACTAATTTTTGTATTTTTAGGAGAGAGTTTCACCTTGTTGGCCAGGCTGGTCTCAAACTCCTGACCTCAGGTGATCCACCCGCCTCGGCCTCCCAAAGTGCTGGGATTACAGGCGTGAGCCACTGCACCCGGCCACTTTACTGTATCTTGACTTCCATGTATACCTGGAGGGCCGAGGCTCAGTCCCCTGGAGCTTCCTCACCAAGAGTTCACTGCTTCTGCGGAGCACATCCCGGATCTTGCCAAGAGAGCCACTCCTCTGCAGGGTCCCACTGCCATCCTGGCAGAAAGGAGTGAGCAATGAAAGCTACAAGGATCCCACACAGATGGGTTTCTGAGTCTACTCCTAGCATTTATTCTGCACACATCCCCCACCCCCAAGGCCCAGTGACTGGAAATAAAAGTCCTGTCAAAAACTGGCTCCCAGAGATACCCCTGAAGGAATACACTACCTAGACTGGGACAGCATGGCCAAGAGCCTCTCACCACCACCAGCAGGAGTGGGCAGGAGAGATGAAAAGGCAATGATCAGACTTACCCCGGACCACTCCACAGCCACAGAAGCATCTTCACCTCCCTCGAATTTCACACTGTCTCCAGGGCCCTCCTGGGAGGTCCTTCTACCATCACTCTCCCCAAGCAGCTCTGCCACCTTCGTCTGGCTGATAGGGTCAGTGCCCTGGAAGGAAAAGGAAGGACCTGGGACTTCCTACTCCTTAACTCCTCAGGATGGGGCTTTCAAATTTTTTTCACCATCAGCCACTGGAAGGAAAACATTTTTCCTTGTGATGTCTCAGTTTATACCTACTGGAATAATACTTACCTTTTCTATTTGCAATGCATTGCTATATATAGATCTGTATATATTTTTATCCCCATGGCCCATACTGAATTGATTTCACAACCTACTATTGAGACCCACAATCTAAGAAATTCTTGATTTAGGCTCTCCCCAACCTCACTCCTCTCACCCATACCACCCAGGTCCCCTCCTTATGAAAGGGCAGGGTTTCTCCTTCATATCCCCATTTAGTGAATCTTGAAACTAGAGTCCTGACCACAAAATGCAGGTGGGGGGTAAGAACATGCTTAAAAACAACCACAATCACAACACTGCCTCACTTTCCTCTCCCTCCTGGCTTCATCAGCCTTTCCGCTTATTCTTAGGAGACTCCCAAGAAACCTCGGCACTCTCTCATCCCCAGGGCCCTTCCCTCTAGGACCTCCTTCCCCTCTGGGCTTCTGACCTGTCTCCGGGACCGCAGGGCACATTCCTCCAGGGTCTCAGCAGCCTCCAGCTTTCCCTGGCGCCTATACAGAGCTCCCAGGTTTCTCAGAGTAGTGTTCACTGTGGGGCTGTGGTGAGAAAGAGACCAGAGAAGGAAGAGAGAATGAGTTCAGAAAACAAAACATTTGTCTTCCAAGCAAGACAAGAGGAAAAAAAATAAGAAAATAGGAGAGGGAACAGAGCTAAAGCTGAGGGAAAGTCTACGGGAGGAAGGGAAAAGGTCTGGGAGGCTGGGAGCAGGGACTGGATGGAGGGCATCGGAGGCCAAGCTGGCTTTTCACTGTCAGCTCACCTGCTCACTTTGCAGGCCTTGTACCAGCCTCCATACTCAGCATAGGGTGTCCCACCCTCATGGTGCCGGCTCTGCAGGACAGAGAGAGGCCAGAAAGAAGGGCAGGGAGAGCCAAATATAAGAATACAGAGATGCTGAGATGCAAGGTGGCATGGGGCTAGGGTGCAGGCTGGGCTGGGGAGGACACCATGCATCTGGGGCTGGTGCTGGGATGGGAAGTGAGAGTTGGGCTAATGCAAGGAGTAAGACAGAGACCCCGGTAGCCTTGAGCTCCCCAGGCTGGCCCCCCTTCCCCCCACTCACTTTGCTCATTTCCTCCCGCTCCTCTGCATGCATCCAGATGGGCTTGTGGTCATCTAGGGGTGATACATGGGGTGGGGAGGTTAGAGATGGGAGCTAGACAGTGTCGGAGAGCCAGGACCCAGAGGCTGACAGGCTGGACTGAAGGGGTCTGGCTCCCCCTGGGAACCGCTGTGGCCTAACCCCCGACCTTTGGTCTGAATTTCTTTTCTTCCCCACAGCCCCTTCCCCAGGCCCTCACCACTCACCATCCACAGACCCAAACTCCTGTACATGGGCACGGGTCAGGATCTCTTTGTATAGTGTCTCAGCCTCAGCATATTTGCCCTGTTTCAGGTAACAGGAAGCCTGGAGGACAGAAAGGCAAAAATACAGGAACAAAACATGGAGGGAGGCAAGGTCTTTTTTTTTTTTTTTTTTTTAGACAAGGTCTTCACCAGGCTCAGGGAGTTCCACTTCTCAGTGTCTCTCTCACTTTCCCCAGAGATCTTTCTCACACCTCCTTCTCCAGGTGTAGGGTCAAGGGTATTCCCAGCCCACTCCCAAGAAGCTGTGGAACTTCTATAACTGGAATGAAGCAGATCCTTCATCCGCAAAGGCAGCCCCAGACATGAGCACAAAGTTGATGAGAGCAGTGTGCCAGACTGTGATGCTTCCTGACTCTAGGACCCAAGTGGCCTCTCCGCCTGCCCCCCCTCCCCCCACCTCTGTGCCCCCCTCTCCGTTTCTTCCACCTACTTTGTCCCTCCTCCCATACCAGGTTGTTCTTGGTCCGGGCTACATTAGGGTTGTCCGGCCCCAGCTGCCCCTCGTAGATGGCCAGTGCTCGCTGGTAGTAGCGTTCCACGGCCTCATACTTGCCCTGGTTTTGGCACAAGAGGGCCAGGTTGTTCAGCTGTTTTGCCACATCTGGATGATTCGTGCCCAGGACCTGAAAGGGAACAAAGGAGTGGATAAATGGCTATGATAACATGTGTGTGCACAAGCACACGTGTGTTTGCATGTAGGCACACACATGTGGAAAGCAGAGGAAAGGGAATGAAGGAAGAGAGAACAAAGCAGAGATGGGGGTGAGAAAAAAAAAGTGAAGGAGGAGGGTTAGACCAGAGGAGCCATGTAGAGAAGGGTCACAGCGACAAGAGAAGAAGGGAGAGAGGGCATGGGTACCTTTTCTCGAATCTCCAGTGCCCGCTGGCACAGAGGCTCTGCCTCCTTGTACTTGCCCCTTTTGCCATAGAGCACAGCCAAATTGTTGAGTGTGGCAGCCACCTATGAAGACAGGCCTGTCCCCATCAGACATTTGGGTTGCAAAAGACCTATGGGAATCTGAGGTTCCCCACCTCCCAGCAGGGCCCAACACTCACTGCACAACTCTAAGAGACAAAGTCTACTACCCTGGAGCCAGGGGCTGAAGGGAGGGGAAATTGCTGAACAGGATGGCTCTGAGGCTAAGGGACAGTATCGCCCTCTAGGGGATTTTAAGAAATTTCTGGAGGTGTTTTTTTTCTTTCTTTTTTTTTTTTTTTTGTTGTTGTTGTTGTCACCATGAAGATTACCTTTGAGGAGGCAAGAACGCTATAGATGTTCTGCATGTGTGGGACAGCTCTGCCAATTTTTTAATGTCCTGCCAGACATCCAAACGCTAAATGTAAACATTGATATTTGATGGGATATCAAGACAGGAGTATGATTTCTGAGATACATCATCCCTGCCTATCATATGTCATACCATAGGGAATTATTTTCACACAGATCACATTCAAAAATAGCTTTTTGGCTGGACGCAGTGGCTCACGCCTGTAATCCCAGCACTTTGGGAGGCCGAGGTGGGCGGATCACCTGAGGTCAGGAGTTCGAGACCAGCCTGACCAACATGGAGAAACCCCGTCTCTACTAAAAGTACAAAATTAGCCAGGCGTAGTGGCATGTCTGTAATCCCAGCTACTCGGGAGGCTGAGGCAGGAGAATTGCTTGAACCCGGGAGGTGGAGGTTGTAGTGAGCCAAGATCGTGCCATGTTGCACTCTAGCCTGGCAACAAGAGTGAAACTCTATCTCAACAAAAAATAAATAACTTTTCAGCTGGGTGTGGTGGCTCACACCTGTAATCCCAGCAGTTTGGAAGGCTGAGGTAGGTGGATCACTTGAGGTCAGGAGTTCAAGACCAGCCTGACCAACATGGTGAAAACCCATCTCTACTAAAAATACAAAAATTAGCCTGGCGTGGTAGCACGTACCTGTAATCCCAGCTACTTGGGAGGCTGAGGCAGGAGGATCACTTGAGCCTGGGAGGCAGAGATTACAGTGAACCCAGATTGTACCACTGCACTATAGGCTGGGTGACACTGCGAAACTCCATCTCAAAAAACAAAACAAAACAAAACAAAACAAACAAACTTTTCATTTTTCATTTTCTGTACATTGACAACTCTATCATTTGCCTTGGCGTGATATCTCTACTTAAGGTTGTTTCTCTCTTTCCTTTTATTTATATTTATTTATTTATTTATTTATTTTAAGATGAAGTCTCACCCCATCACCCAGGTTGAAGTGCAATGGTGCGATCTTGGCTCACTGCAACCTCAGCCTCCTGGGTTCAAGCAATTCTCCTGTCTCAGCCTCCCGAGTACCTGGGACTACAGGTGCATGCCACCACAACTGGCTAATTTTTGTATTATTAGTAGAGACAGGGTTTCACCTTGTTGGTCAGGCTGGTCTCAAACTCCTGACCTCAGGTGATCCGACCACCTCGGCCTCCCAAAGTGCTGAAATTACAGGAGTGAGCCACAGCGCTGGGCCGCTTCTTATTTTGTTGAGACAGAGTCTTGCTCTGTTGCCCAGGCTGGAGTGCAGTGGTGCGATCTCGGCTCGCTGCAACCACCAACCCCCGGATTCAAATGATTCTCCTGCCTCAGTCTCCAAATAGTTGGGATTACAGGCATATGCCACCATGCCTGGCTAATTTTATATTTTTTTTTTAGTAGAGACGGGGTTTTACCATGTTGGCCAGGATGGTCTCAAACTCCTGACCTCAGGTGATCGACCTGCCTTGGCCTCCCAAAGTGGTGGGATTACAGGCGTGAGCCACCAAGCCCAGTCTCTTCCTCTTATACACAAATAAATCTGGTCTGTCATTTATTTTCTTTTTTTTTGAGACAGAGTTTTGCTCTTGCTGCCCAGGCTGGAGTGTAGAGGCGCGATCTCACCTCACTGCAACCTCCACCTTCTGGTTTCGAGTGATTCTCCTGCCTCAGCCTCCTGAGTAGCTGGGATTACAAGTGCCCCCCACCACGCCCGGCTAATTTTTGTATTTTTAGTAGAGACGGGGTTTCACCATGTTGGCCAGGATGGTCTTGAACTCCTGACCTCGTGATTTGCCCACCTTGGCCTCCCAAAGTGCTGGGATTACAGGCATGAGCCACTGTGCCCGACCCTTGTGATTTCTTATAATACTGTACTTTAATAAAGTGTCCACCTATATTTTCTTTTTTTTTTTTTTTTTTTTTTTTTTTTGAGACGGAGTCTCGCTCTGTCGCCCAGGCTGGAGTGCAGTGGCGGGATCTCGGCTCACTGCAAGCTCCGCCTCCCGGGTTCACGCCATTCTCCTGCCTCAGCCTCCCAAGCAGCTGGGACTACAGGCGCCCGCCACTACGCCCGGCTAATTTTTTGTATTTTTAGTAGAGACGGGGTTTCACCGTTTTAGCCAGGATGGTCTCGATCTCCTGACCTCGTGATCCGCCCGCCTCGGCCTCCCAAAGTGCTGGGATTACAGGCGTGAGCCACCGCGCCCGGCCTGTCCACCTATATTTTCATTTTTTTTTTTTTTTTTTGAGACGGAGTCTCGCTCTGTCACCCTGGCTGGAGTGCAATGGCACGATCTCAGCTCACTGCAAGCTCCGCCTCCCGGGTTCACGCCATTCTCCTGCCTTAGCCTCCCGAGTAGCTAGGACTACAGGCGCCCGCCACCACGCCCGGCATTTTTTGTATTTTTTTTAGTAGAGATGGGGTTTCACCATGTTAGCCAGGATGGTCTCGATCTCCTGACCTCGTGATCCACCCTCCTCAGCCTCCCAAAGTGCTGGGATTAGTGCTGGGATTACACTCGTGAGCCACTGTGCCCAGGCCACTTTGCTATTTCTTTTAACAAAGTTGTACTCAATACAACTACTGTTGTTTTGTATTTTTACCTTATTATATTACATTGTATATATTGTCCTTACAAATTACTTTTCTTGTTTTTCTTTTATATTTATTAGAGTAGCATATTAAGTTTTGTAGAAATCATATGTGGATTTACCTATGACTTATCTATTAATTAAATTCAAGCAAAATATTTGTTATAAAAAGGAGTCACTGAGTCTCAGAGAATTGAGAATCATTAGGATCACTGGACAGTGCCTGGAAGAAAGGACTTCTTATGCCTCCTTCCTCAGCACCCTTAGTGAGTGGACTGAGGGCAGCAGATGGATGAGCTAAGAGAGGCCAAAACAGCAATGGTGGGGGGTGCGGGGCGTGGGGTGGGGAGGGCAAGGAATACTGACAGCAGGATGGTCAGGTCCCAAGGTGCTCTCCCGGATGCTAAGGGCATCATTCAGCAGGTGGGCAGCTTCCTTATACTTATTCTGGTCACTGGAAGAAGACAAAAGTGACAGGAGTTACCCTGAACCCGCAAGCCTTCTCCTTCCCTCCTTCCCTTTGGAAGGACTGAGTACATTTAAGGATTGGAGACCTCCATGAGGAGACAGGAAGCCTGGCGTGGACAGTAAGGGGGCTTCACTGACATACTCATACCAGAATGCAGGGCACTGCCATCCCAAGAGGAGGCCACAAGTTATAAGAAGCAAGGGGGCAGGGGGAAGAGAGGGAGAGAGCACTCCCCAGAAGAGAGATTAGAGGAACAAGGATCCCAAGGGATGAGCAAATGCTTAGGTATGGGAAAAGTGAGAGTTCTGGCACATAAAGAAGCACCCTGTTGGGGTGTATCTGGGAGGCCCAACAGGGAGGAGAGGTACCCTGTAAAGAGGAAAAATGAAAGCCAAAGGAGGACCAAGGTGGGAATGTGGGGGAAGATCTGGGCACTGGAGGAGGGAAGTCCTCACCGATACACCAAAGCAAGGATGTTGAGCATGGTGGCGACATCAGGGTGGCCACGGCCTGATGTGCGCTCCAGGTCCTCTAGTGCCTGCTTACAGAGTGGCACGGCCACCTCATAGCGACCTTGGGCTGCGTACTGGATCACCAGGTTGTGCAACGTCCGCAACCTTGCTGGGATCTCATATCCACCCTGCTGAGCTGCTGTAGCACCTTGACCACGGGACACTAAACCATCACAGAACATAAACAAAGGACTCTTCCTCTCCCCTTTGCTGTCTGCCCTTCCACTCCCCATTGCATGTCTTGTTCCATACTTGTGCCCACCCCAACCTGGACTCTCAATATTAGACCTGCCTCAAGTGCTATTCTTTTATCCACTCCCTTGACCTATGCCCATCACAACCTCAGTTGTTCACCCAGTAATTCATGCATTCAACAAACATTTATTTAATAAGTATGAACCAAGGGATGTTCCAGGAGTACAAAGGTAAGAAAGACCTGGTTCTTTCCCTTGGGGGGCTCATGGTCTCCCTGTCTCAGGTTTATTCTCCCACTAGACTGTGAACTCCTTACTGGTAAGACCTATGCCATTTCCATCTCAGTACTCCTAGTGCCTAGCACAGTACCTGGCACATATTCAGTGCTTAATACATGTTCGTTCAATGGGGAGGCTGAGGAAATCGAAGTACTAGCCCAGCCCCTGCCCTGTCTCCAGAGAAAGTGGAGAACCTATTTCTAGATGGTGACTGTCCTGTGTACAGGGTGGGCCACAGCTAGGGCCAGCCTCCTGCTGCCCCTTTTCACCCTCCCATTCCAGAGGCAGACTCACAGCCATTGCTGGGGTCCTCTTCCTCCTCATTAGGAAAGAGGTCATCCAGGGAATCCTTGGTGGCATCGCCTTCTTTCTCCTCCTGGAAGGGAAGAAGCAACATATAAGGGCCAAGATATCCCTACCTAGTAGCCTTCTCAGTGACCCCTCTAAGCCATGAAATCACAGACAGATGGGACCTAGGAGAAGACTGTTGTTCCTGTCTCTGCCCCTGGAAAGGCTAGCAAGTGGCCCAGCCAAGCTCAGGCCTCTTGTTTGTAACAGCCAGAGATGCTTTGGACAAAATCTCAAGACTTCCCCTCCTTCTCATACAGAAAGTTTCCTTCCTGGCCGGGTGTGGTGGCTAACGCCTGTAATCCCAGCACTTTGGGAGGCCGAGGTGGGCAGATCACCTGAGGTCAGGAGTTCAAGACCATCCTGACCAACGTGGAGAAACCCCATCTCTACTAGAAATACAAAATTAGCCGGGCGTGGTGGCGCATGCCTATAATCCCAGCTACTCATGAGGCTGAGGCAGGAGAATCGCTTGAACCTGGGAGGCAGAGGTTGCGGTGAGCCGAGATCATGCCATTGCACTCCAGCCTGGGCAACAAGAGCGAAACTCTGTCTCAAAACAAAAAAAAAAGAAAAAAAAAAGTTTCCTTTCTAACCACCCTCAATCTTGCCTTAACTCTTGTAATTATGGCCCTATGCTGATCTCTGTGTGTTTACGTTGATTGTATGTCTGTCCTGTCTCTCCTGAGGGAAGGGAGTGTGGCCGATCTTATTGACATGTACCCAGAAAGTGTCTAGCTCAGCCTGGTGCCCATCATCTGCACAGCTCATTCTGGACTTACTACGTAACCCTCCCTCACTGTCTAACCTATTCCGCACTAGGAAAATCTGCTTTTCCCCATCAGGAACTGCAGCCTCATCCAAACACCAACCCTCCTACCCAGCTTCACCAATGTGTCCTATGCAATTCATCTACTCACTTTCCCTGGGACAGACCAGCTTTTCCAGGCTGTAAGCCTTATCAATGACACCCTGCACTCCAGTCTAAAAAGCTGCTCCCTCTTCCTCATCATGAACTTTCAAAATCCATCTCAACTCCTAACCCACTCAAATGGGAAATCCAACCTATATCCTACCCATCCCTGTATCCTGCTTCCTCTATTTTTTTGTTTGTTTTTTGAGACAGAGTCTCTAGTCTGGCAACAGCCCAGGCTAGAATGCAGTGGCATAATCACAGCTCACTGCAGCTTCCACCTCCTGGGCTCAAGCGATCCTCCCACCTCAGCCTCCAGAGTAGCTGAGGCTATAGGTGCACACGACCACATCAGGCTAATTTTTTAATTTTTTGTGGAGACAGGGTCTCACTATGTTGCCCAGGCTCCCTGCTTCCTCTATGAATTCTTCTTAGACCATTCCAGCCCTCAGAGACATTTCTCTGTGAAATTCTTCCCACACTGACTGAACCACTCATCCAGCACTGAGCACTTGCTGCTTTGTATTTTGTCACATATATGTTCTCCTGGATAAGACTTGTTCCCTACAGATACATCTCAAGAAAACACACACTCTCAGCCAGGCGTGGTGGCTCACGCCTGTAATCCCAGCATTTTGGGAGGCCGAGGGCAGGCAGATCACTTGAGGCTAGGAGTTTGAGACCAGCCTGGTCAACATGGCAAAGCTCCATCTCTACTAAAAATACAAACATTAGCCGGGTGTGGTGGCAGACACCTGTAATCCCAGCTACTTGGGTGGCTGAGGCCCAAGAATTGTTTGAAAGCCAGAGGCGGAGGCTGCAGTGAGCTGAGATGGCATCACTGCATTCTGTTGAGCGAGGGTTAAATTTCACACATTTTGGACCGGGCATGGTAGCTCACACCTGTAATCCCAGCACTTTGGGAGGCCCAGGCGGGCAGACCACCTGAGGTCAGGAGTTCAAAACCAGCCTGGCCAACATGGTGAAACCCCGTCTCTAGTAAAAATACAAAAATTAGCCAGGCGTGGTGGCAGGTGCCTGCAATCCTAGCTACTCAAGAGGCTGAGGCAGGAGAATTGCTTGAACCCGGGAGGCGGAGGTTGCTGTGACCTGAGATTGCACCATTGCACTCCAGCCTAGGCAACAAGTGTGAAACTCCGTCTCAAAAAAAAAAAAAAAATTCACACATTTTGAAAGCAAATTTTAGGAGGGTCATGCTCAACTGGGTTATGCTTTCCCTAATTGTACCACGTAGAATTCTGGATTGGAATTGTCCAGGTGCTTATCTATCTCCCTCACAAGCTTGTAATTGTGAGAGCAGGAACTCTGTGTGCCCCATTCACCAGTGCAGTGCACAATGCCTGGTACACAGTAGGCATCTCATTAAATGTTGACTGAATTACCTGAATATTGTTTTTCCCCTTGCTGTCACCTGGAGTTGGTGTCAGGGCTGAAAAAGGAATTCTTTCAGGTGAGAGCAGGTTGGGTAGAGCTGATGGACCCTGAGGATGATGGGGCAATTGCCCCCATGTCTGTGGTAACTCCCGGCTGCCCACCCCTCAGCCAGTCTCGCCTGTGCACACTCACCGAGGTATGTCCATCCTCATCATACTGCCGCAGCTGCCCCAGGAACTCCAGGTGCTTCTTTTCCTCCTCCAGCTGAGCCACAGCCTGTTCACTGCGCTGTAGCCGCTGCTGGGTGCCAGCCAGCTCATCCCGCAGCCACTGGTTCTCCTGGCATAGCCGCCGCACCTGAGCCCGCAGCTTCTGTTTCTCCGACTCCACTGTGCTCAGGTGGCTGGCTAGAGCCAGCATCACCTAGGTGGGCACATCCCCTGAGCTCCAGATTCTGGGTGGGAGTATTCAGGAACAGGTGGAAGGGGAGCCTACTGGGACGTGGCAAGACTGGCAGGGGCACAGAGGAGCCAGAAGGTGGGGGTGTAGCAGTGGTGCTACCTTCAAAACATACCCTGAATCCAATTTCCCACTACCTCCACTGCTGTCACCCTGGACCAAGCCACTATCAATTCCTACCCAAATTATTACAATAACTTCCTCACTGGCCTCGTTTCTGCCCTTGTTCCCCTATTGTCTATTTGTAACCCAACAACCTGATGATGCCAAGTTAGACCACATCACTCCTCTTCTAAAAACATTCCAATAGTTTCCATCTCGCTCAAAGTAAAATCAGGGCCAGGCACAGTGGCTCACGCCTATAATCCCAGCACTTTGGGAGGCCAAGGCGGGTGGATCAAGAGGTCGGGAATTCAAGACCAGCCTGGCCAACATGGTGAAACCCCATCTCTACTAAAAATACAAAAAATTAGCCGGGCGTGGTGGCATGCGCCTGTAGTCCCAGCTACTCGGGAGGCTGAGGCAGGAGAATCGCTTGAACCTGGCAGGCAGAGGTTGCAGAGAGCCAGGATTGTGCCACTACATCCAGCCTGGGCAACACTGCGAGACTCCGTCTCAAAGAAAGGGCAAAATCAAAGTCCTCGGGGTGGCCTACAAGTTCCACTTGATCCATCTCCCTCCCCTCCAACCCCATTACCCCTCAGACTTAATTTTCTACCTTGCTTCTCCTCATTCACTCTACTGCAGCCATACTGGCCCCTTGCTGTTCACTGACCTCACCAGGCAGACTTCCATTCAGAGCCTCTGCACTTGCTGCTCTCTGTGCTTAGGATGCCCTTCCCCTGTTTATGGCATGACTCATTCCCCTCAACTTCACGTCTTTGCCAAAAATGTCACCTTTTCAAAAAAGGGTGGCCTTTTCTGACCACCCTATCTAAAATTATACCCTCTCCCCACAGTCCCTAGTTTCCTTCCCTGCTTTATTTTGATCCTTTTATGCTTAGCAACTATCACTCTGGCATACCGAATCATTATTTATTTATGTATTGTCTGTCTTCCCAAGCTAGAAGGTAACCTCCAAGATGGCAAAGATTTTTACAGTTTTGTTCAATGATGTATCTCTTCAGTGCCCAAAAGCATTCTGGCACACAGTAGGGACTTAATACATATTTAATGAATGAATGCAAACGTCTAGAGTGAGGTGATCCCAAGCAGCCCCAAACCTTTAATCAGATAACTGCTCCTCCATCCACCCTGGACCACTTGGCACCACCTTTGCCCTCTCACCTGGGCCTCACTCAGCCCGAGCTCAATGTTTTCCATAGAACGGCGAAGCTGCCGGGCCTTCTCATGCACCAGCCCTTCCTCATGGCCTCCCTGCTGCAGACACTCAATGGTCTGGGACAGGCTTTGCAGCACGGCCTGGTGTTCACTGCGTAGGGCCTCTAGCCCTTGGCTGACCAGCCGTGTGCTCCCCAGGATCTCCTCTTGGCTGAGCCGGTGGCCTGCAGGCTCATCCCGCTGCCCCAACACCAGGCCTGACATCCTGGCCTGGGGGACCTTGCCCGGTCTAGGGAGAAACAACAGAGTTCAGCTGGTGTAAAGATGAGACAGAGAAGCTGAGCAACTTTCTCAGAGAGTGGTGGGAATCCAAGTGAAGGGACAAAAGTAAGAGTGACCCTGTGGCTTAGCTGGAGAGAGAGAGTGACCAGCAGGCAGGGAGCTTAGATCACTAAACTCAAAGCTAAGGTTGTGGGCAAAGCGAGAGGGAGATGAACTGACTTAAATAAAGGAAGACTATAGTAGGAACAAAGGTGCTTAGAACTAGCAGAAGGATTTAGGACTTAGGAAAAGAACAAAAAAGCAGTTACAGCCTGAGTTAGGAAAAGGAATCAAGGGATGAGAGACAGCACTATGGGGATCACAGAAGGTCTGTGGGAGAGCTGCAAATGGCACAGGGTTAAAGTGGGAGATATGCAGAAAATAATGCAGGGGTCTAGAAAAAACGGAAGGAATCTCTGCAAAGTTAAATCAGGGAAGAAAGGGAAAAGAAGAAAACAAGAGCCTTCCTTGCAGGATCCACATTACAGGGTCCCAGAAAGCTCAAGGTCTTCAGGCTGCATCACCTGCAGAACTAAGCCCAGCATCTCCAAACCTGGTCAGCCCTGCATATTTTCCCACTAACCTTCAACCCATACTTCCCACCCCCCAGGACTCAGACTGTGTTCCCACTTCCTCAGAGGGGTCTTGTTTCTCATCTTTGAAGCCTTCTTACCTGTGTACAGAGCAGAGGCCCTGGCTGTGGCACTCAGGCCAGAGCACGGAAGAAACTGTTCTGCAGCCAGAGAGTCAGAGGATCTGCCCTGCCCAAAGTCCAGAAGTCCAGCGTTCCCACCCCTTCTTTCACCACTTCACAGCTACCCAGAGGACCTGGCCCAGAGCCCCACCCAGGACAAACACCCTCCCTCCCTCCCTCTGCCCACAGGTCTTCAAAGACGCCCAATTCCCGTCTCCTTCCCCAAGCCAGCCTCCCTCATTGCAGGCCTAGGGAGCTACTGTCTCCCAGGAAGGGAATGAGAGAGAGAGACTTAACCAGAGACCTACAGCAAGAGGCGTGTCTGGGAAAGGGGAGGGAGGAACACCTGGTCACTCCAAACCCAGTCACTTCCATGGTTTTGTCTCTGTCACGGTCACCTACAAACAGGCTCTGAGAGGAATCACCGTAGGGTGCCTCCACAATGCCCGATGATGCAGGAAAGAATGGGAGGTCTGCTGAACGGCTGCCGGGTCGCAAGGAACCGCGGCGCTGGAGTGGGTCTCCTGGGCCTGGAAACGCAGTAGAGGAGTGCCTCGGGCTGTCGACCTGCCCTGGTGCCCAGGGTTGGGAGAGTGAGATGGGCGGGGGCGGCAGGGGGGAGGTGTGGATGGACGACTGAGGTCCGCAGCTCCAGCGAGGACGTGGAGGCCTAACGACCCCGAGGTCACTGAGTCAGTCGGTGGCGCAGGGGGCGGGGCAGGTCGTCTGTCTATCTGTCTGGACGCCGAGGGGCGGGGAAGAATCGCGAAGGGCGGAGTTTTGGAGGCTGGAGTTTTGTAAGGTTGGTTGGAGGGGGTTTGTTCATCTTTCTGGTAGTGCGAGAATAAGAGATGGCAGAGACCTTAACCTTCAGCCCCAGGATACCCTCAAAGACTCACCTGCAATCTGCCGGTGTGGCTGCCGCTCTTGCCGGTACTGCCCCTTTAAATCCATGATGGCTGCCGCTCGAGGCAATTGTTTTGACGGGTCTGGGGGGGCGGGGCCTGTTTCCTAGTCACGCGACATTAGAGCTGCCCGCGGATTGGCTCTCACGGCGTTCAGGTAGGAAAGGAGGTGTGTATCCAGCTTGGGCTCCAGTTTTCTGCCCGCCTCCTTTTACGTTATTGCGGAGCGACGGCGCCGGACAGTCAACGTCATCTAGGAGCACCGAGCAGCTTGGCTAAAAGTAAGGGTGTCGTGCTGATGGCCCTGTGCGCACTGACCCGCGCTCTGCGCTCTCTGAACCTGGCGCCCCCGACCGTCGCCGCCCCTGCCCCGAGTCTGTTCCCCGCCGCCCAGGTAATCCATCTTACCCGGGAAGAAGGCTGCTTCCATTCGGGCTGCCGGAGATGGGGTCTGCGGGCATGCGAGGCGGGAGTTGCGAGTCTGGTCAGGAGTCATGCAGGTCCGTGACCTTGGATAAGGCACACTTAGCCTCAGCTTTTTCCTCTACAAGTGTTGCTTTCTCATAGGGCGAAATTCTTCAGACGAGATACTTAAGGTGAAAGTGCTTTGCAGATCACCGGTTGTGCAGGTTTCAGTAATAACGTTTCGAGTGCCTATGATAAGCCAGGTATAGGTAATAGACGTTTCAAATAAATGAACTCCTTTCAAATACTCTATAAGGCAGTTACTATTCCCATTTTATAGATGAGGAAAATAAGGAGTCCAAGGTCACACACCAACTATCAGAGCTAAACAGTCTGTCTTTCAGAGCCTGTGCTCTTAACCATTATGATATGATGCCTGCAAGGATGAGTTACTGCTGATATTAGAGAATGCAGGGCAAGATACCAAGAACAGTGGCCTCAGGGGAAGGTATCCTGAGGTCCTAGTGGGTGACTGGTGAGTCACACAAAAGAGAAGTAAGTCCTGCTCCTCTGGAGCTTTCAGGCTGCTTATGGTACAGTTTGGGAGATGCATGTTTAAAATTCAAATCCAAATCAACCTACTCCGAAATGCTGGGAATACATCAAGGAACAAGAGTGAAATGACCCCTCCCCTCCATTCATATGTGAAGAATTCCCAGAAACAATGCAGAGGGCAAAAGGAATTGGCACTGATGGTGGTACATGGATGTGTGGAAGCTACCAGCTCTGGAGAAGGGAATTGTTTAGGTAAAAACAGATTCCTGGAGATGGAGAGTTCTGAGCCAAATTTGGAAGGAGATCACCAAGGAGAGAACATTACTGTGCAAGCTGTGAAGGGTGGAGTTTTTGGATAGCTGGTTTGGGATACATCCAGGAGGAAGTGGGCTACAAGCTAAAATTGATCTGTGCCCTCTGCCTTGGTTCTCTGATGCTTTGCCTTCAATTAGCTTTCAAATGAAAGAGATGTCTTTTTATCCCTAGATGATGAACAATGGCCTCCTCCAACAGCCCTCTGCCTTGATGTTGCTCCCCTGCCGCCCAGTTCTTACTTCTGTGGCCCTTAATGCCAACTTTGTGTCCTGGAAGAGTCGTACCAAGTACACCATTACACCAGTGAAGATGAGGAAGTCTGGGGGCCGAGACCACACAGGTGGGAACAAGGACAGGGGGATTTAAGCAGTCAAAAGGAAAAACATGTTAAGACCCTAGACTTGTATATTGACACACTTGTACCTTGTAAGGCAGAGGAATGTAATTAAAAAGCACTTATTTGGCTCCTTTTGCATGTAGTATGTGTACAGGAGTCAGAGAGTAGAATACAAAGCAATAGGTAATTGGTCTATGCTTCTAAAGACAATTTGGGTAATTGAAGAAAATGGGCCATACACAGGAAGTGCCATGACATTTTCCTTCATACCCTTCAAAAATTTATAACAGGCTGGGTAAGGTGGCTCACGACTGTAATCCCAGCATTTTGGGAGGCCGAGGCGGGCAGATCACCTGACGTCACAAGTTTAAGACCAGGCTGGCCAACATGGCAAAACCTCATCTCTACTAAAACTTTAAAAATTGGTCAGGCGCAGTGGCTCACGCCTGTAATCCCAACACTTTGAGAGGCCAAGGCAGGCAGATCACTTGAGGCCAGGAATTCAAGACCAGCCTGGCCAACATGGTGAAACCCCATCTCTATAAAAATATAAAAATTAGCCAGGTGTAATGGTGCAGTCCTGTAATCCCGGCTACTTGGGAGGCTGAGGCATGAGAATCACTTGAGCCCGGGAGGTGGAGGGTAGAGGCTGCAGTGGGCCGAGATCGCGCTGCTGCACTCCAGCCTGGGCAACAGAGCAAGACTGTCTCAAAAAAAAAATTAACCAGGTGTGGTGGTGGGCACCTGTAATCCCAGCTACTCAGGAGGCTGAGGCAGGAGAATCGCTTGAACCCAGGAGGTGGAGGTTGCAGTGAGCCGAGATCGCACCATTGTATTCCAGCCCAGGTGACAGAGCGAGACTCATCTCAAAAAGTATATATATTTATAACCGGCCGGGTGTGGTGGCTCCTGCCTATAATCCCAACACTTTGGAAGGCCAAGGCGGGAGGATAACTTTAGGTCAGGATCCAGCCTGGGCAACAGAGTGAGACCCCATCACACACATGCAAAAAATTTATAACAGTTGAAATTATTTAAGTATGATTTACATGGCTCTCAGTAAACTTACTGATTTCAGTAATTTGAAAATATTTTGGCTGGGCGCAGTGGCTCACGCCTGTAATCCCAGCACTTTGGGAGGCCAAGGTGGGCGGATCACAAGGTCAAGAGATTGAAACCATCCTGGCTAACACAGTGAAACCCGTCTCTACTAAAAATACAAAAACTTAGCTGGGCGTGGTGGTGGGCACCTGTAGTCCCAGCTACTCGGGAGACTGAGGCAGGAGAATGGCGTGAACCCGGGAGGCGGAGCTTGCAGTGAGCCGAGATCGCACCACTGCGCTCCAGCCTGGGCAACAGAGTGAGACTCTGTCTCAGAAGAAAAAAAGAAAATATTTTATCTGGAAGTTTTATACAATTTCAATAATCATATAATGTTTTTTTCACCAAGCTTCATGTTGGTGTTGCCCCTCCTTACTCCAGTGTGCTGTGCAAATTTTTATCATTTCTGCTTGTGCCACAATGCTAAGCACTGCTCTCTGGCAGAGAATGGGCCAGTTCCCAGTGCTGGAAACTAAACTACTCTGACCTGAATCATATCCCCCAACTGTCCTAAACCACAGGCCGAATCCGGGTGCATGGTATTGGCGGGGGCCACAAGCAACGTTATCGAATGATTGACTTTCTGCGTTTCCGGCCTGAGGAGACCAAGTCAGGACCCTTTGAGGAGAAGGTTATCCAAGTCCGCTATGATCCCTGTAGGCAAGTTTGGGATGTGGGATGATGATGGAATGGTCTGAATAACTCCATAGCTTCTCAGAAGATGTGGGGCTGCCTAGACGGTCTGCTTACCTGTCCCTCACCCTGATTAGGTCAGCAGACATAGCTCTGGTTGCTGGGGGCAGCCGGAAACGCTGGATCATCGCCACAGAAAACATGCAGGCTGGAGATACAATCTTGAACTCTAACCACATAGGCCGAATGGCAGGTGAGAGATGGCTACCAGATGTGTGGGCTGGAGGCAGCAAAAGTTCTAGAGCTAATGAAATCCTGTCTTTTAGTTGCTGCTCGGGAAGGGGATGCGCATCCTCTTGGGGCTCTGCCTGTGGGGACCCTCATCAACAACGTGGAAAGTGAGCCAGGCCGGGGTGCCCAATATATCCGAGCTGCAGGTATGGGGAAAGGAGTTGCCTGGGTCCTATAGTTTGGAAAGGCAAGGAGAGTCTGAACCCATGGTTCCACATCTGGTACTGGCAGAGAAAATTAAGGAAAAAACAAACATGAGGATGAAGATATGCATGTGTTTTTACCTAAAACATAGCATGCGTCCTTCTTTGTGTATCTGCTCCTAAAGAGCAAAGCAAGGGCAGCATGTGGGGTATGTCCCCTGTGTAAGTCCCTCTGCACCCCCCTGTTTTGTGGAGGGTGGCAAATCAGCTTCTTTCCCCAGGGACGTGTGGTGTGCTACTGCGGAAGGTGAATGGCACAGCCATTATCCAGCTGCCCTCTAAGAGGCAGATGCAGGTGTGTATGGGTATGGATGGGAGGGGTCAGCAAAGGAGGAATTTTTGGAATGTAACTTTCCTGTCTGGGATAGCTCCCAGGTGTTTTATGATGCAAGGAACTGCCTTGAGCTGAGGCTGTCCTTTTCTGCCACATGACTCAGGTGTGCTTTGTCGGATTGGCACCATAATTAATTTTTTTTTTTTCGAGACAGAGTCTTGCTCTGTCGCCCAGGCTGGAGTGCAATGGCACGATCTGGGCTCACTGTGACCTCCACCTCCCAGGTTCTAGCAATTCTGCCTCAGCCTCCCGAGTAGCTGGGATTGCAGGCACGCACCACCACAGCCAGCTAATTTTTGTGTTTTAGTAGAGATGGGGTTTCACCATGTTGGCCAGGCTGGTCTCAAACTCCTTACCTCATAATCCGCCCACCTTGGCCTCCCAAAGTGCTGAGATTACAGGAGTGAGCCACCACACCCGGCCCTACTTAATTTTTTTTGAGACAGGGTTTCACTCTATTGCTTGAGTGCAGTGGCACAATCAGCTCACTGCAGCCTCAAACTCCTGGGTTCAAGCAATTCTGCCTCAGCCCCCCAAGTAGCTGGGACTACAGGCGCACACCACTCCACCAGGCTAATTTTCGTATTTTTTGTAGAGACAGGGTATCACCACGTTGGCCAGGCTGGTCTTGAACTCCTGAGCTCAAGCAATCTGCCTGCCTAGGCTCCCAAAGTGCTGGAATTACAGGTGTCAGCCACTGCACCTGACCCTGGCTAATGTTTTTTATTTTTGTAGAGATGGGATCTCATTATGTTGCCCAGGCTGGTCTTGAACTTCTGAGCTCAAGTGATCCTCCAGCCTTGGCCTCCCAAAGTGCTGGGATTACTGGCGTGAGCTCTTTGTTTTCAACTACTTAGTTCCTACTGTAGGACCTTCACTTAGTGTCAGCCATCTTATGCTTTTCCTTTTCCCTCGCCCTTCTCTCCTTGAGTCTAAGAAGCCCCCCAAGGGTGTGCTCTCAACATTGTCAAGCTCTTTCCCCCCCATTGTACAGAATCTCCATCTGTTTTCTCTGTCAGGTGCTGGAAACGTGCGTAGCAACAGTAGGCCGAGTATCCAACGTTGATCATAACAAACGGGTCATTGGCAAGGCAGGTCGCAACCGCTGGCTGGGCAAGAGGCCTAACAGTGGGCGGTGGCACCGCAAGGGGGGCTGGGCTGGCCGAAAGATTCGGCCACTACCCCCCATGAAGAGTTACGTGAAGCTGCCTTCTGCTTCTGCCCAAAGCTGATATCCCTGTACTCTAATAAAATGCCCCCCCCCCCCGTTTTAATCTGTTACTGTGGTTTTGTTTTGGGTGTTTTTTGTTTTTTTTGTTGTTGTTTTTTTTTTGCGGGGGAGGGGATGGTACAGACTAAACGTGGGGAAAAGAAGTAAAAAGTGTGGAAGAGAAAGTACAGGACACTGGGTCTGTCCCCACCCCAATTCCCTTACAAGTAATGGAGCCGGGGATGGAAATAAATGACGTCCAAGGTCTTTTCCAGTTCTGACTTTGGGAAACGGGGAGGGCACTTCCGCAGGAGGGAGGACTAAAGGAAGAGGAAAGGGCGGCGCAAAGAAGGAGGTGCTGCGTCGCCAAGGTGGCATCCTCGGCTCCGCCCCGGCGCTCTCCCAGGGCCCCTAGCTTTCCGCTGGGTCGGGCGGAAATGAGCCGTGGCTTTTGGCTGGCGGAGCCGCTGGCAGGGACCGGGCCCCACCCTGCCCCAGTGGCTGCCGACTCACGCGGGTGCAGCTCTGTTCCGCGGAGGCACGCCCCCTCCCGTCTCTCCGTCTCGACCCCCTCGCGGGGCCCAGGTGGGGCCCAAGTCGCCGCCAGCGTCTGTGCCGCGTCCCTTGCTCTGTGAAGGACAGGCCTCGCGCCAGGACCCCGGTGGACTTCTGAGGTGGCCAGAGCCCCACCGCGGCCCCTTGCTTCTCCTTCCCTGCCCACTAGCCCATCGAGCCTCGCGCTCACCCAACCTCGGTCCCCATCCTACCGTGCCTCGGGGTTCTAGCTTATGGGGCCTAATCCCCTCTCCCCCACCTTACCGCGCGCCCCTGGCTTCTCCAGTCTCCAACCTCGGTCCCCAAGCCCCTCGCCTACCTGGTCTGTGCACCCTGCCCTGGGTCTCGCGGCGCCCTCACCAGCCCTCTTGTTCCAGTTGCTCCAGTCGGAGGCGCCTCCAACCCACCAGTGCCTCCTCCTAGTCCATCGCGCCTTGCCCTCCCACTCCACCACCAGTTCTCAGGTCTCTTAACTCTGCGATCTCGGGACTCTTAACTTGGGTCTCGCACTCCCATGCTCCAATCCTTAGAGACAGCACCCCTTTTCACACACACTCACGATCTCCCTCCCAAACATACCCCTCTGGGCTTCACATACCCCATAGGTTGCTGCCTGTTCCAAGGCCTTGGGATTCACTTGTAACTCCAAGGCTGCCCTGCCCCCACTAGTCCGCCCACTGTTCCATATCAACCCACTCCAGGCCACAGGGTCTTGGGGACCTTCCTTTTAGCCCCCAAATTTTGTGTTCTTTCACAACAAACACCCCAGTGTTCTCTGCTTAGGCCTGCCCCCACCCAGCGTGCAGCATGCAACTCCTGGGCCTGGCTTTACCCCACCCCGCCTGACAGCTGTTGCCATTTGCTTCCCCACCTCCTGGATATCTTTGATTTTCTGACCTCTCCTTCCTCTAGCTTGTCTGTTCTCTTTTCCTTGTGTGCTCCAGGTGCCAGGATGGTGGGAGAACTCCGCTACAGGGAATTCAGGGTGCCCCTGGGGCCCGGCTTACATGCCTATCCTGATGAGCTGATCCGCCAGCGCGTGGGCCATGATGGGCATCCTGAGTACCAGATCCGTTGGCTCATCCTGCGGCGTGGCGATGAGGGGGACGGGGGCTCTGGCCAAGTGGACTGCAAGGCTGAGCACATCCTGCTGTGGATGTCCAAGGATGAGATCTATGCCAACTGCCACAAGATGCTGGGCGAGGATGGCCAGGTCATCGGGCCCTCCCAGGAGTCTGCAGGGGAGGTTGGGGCCCTGGACAAATCTGTGCTGGAGGAGATGGAAACCGACGTGAAGTCCCTCATTCAGAGAGCCCTTCGGCAGCTGGAGGAGTGTGTGGGCACTATCCCTCCTGCTCCTCTACTTCACACTGTCCACGTGCTCAGCGCCTATGCCAGCATTGAGCCCCTCACTGGAGTATTCAAGGACCCAAGGGTCCTGGACTTGCTCATGCACATGTTGAGTAGTCCTGATTATCAGATTCGCTGGAGTGCAGGCCGGATGATACAAGCCCTGTCCTCCCATGACGCTGGTGAGGGGCAGTGTGGGGAGGAAGGGAAAGCAGGAGAAGGGCTGGGTCGGCTCAGGGACTCACAGGACACTGTGGCAGGAGCCTCTGATCTCATCAGTACGTAAATGATTCTGTTGCCCTTCTCTTAGAGTTGGAAGAAAAGGAGGTGGGCATGGGAGTGAGGGTGGGGGTTATCTGCCAAAAGAGGAAAGACTATCTTCAAGAACCTCATATTAATTAGTTGCTTTTTATGCAAAGGAAGAATTTAGAGTTTAGACTATTGTAGATCGTGTTTATGTGCGTGTGTGTGTGTATGTGTATAAGTTAGCAAATTTTAGCTTTTGAAGCAAATCAGTTCTTTCTCATTGTGTGGTGGCAAAAGGATTGGATTGAAAGAGTAGAGGGTCTAAGATTTCTAGGAAGGGTGAGATTAGGGAGAAGTTACCAACTGGGGTGTGGGTTACAGGGACCCGGACTCAGATCCTTCTGTCACTGAGCCAACAAGAAGCCATTGAGAAACACCTGGATTTTGACAGCCGCTGTGCTCTGCTAGCACTGTTTGCACAGGCCACGCTCTCTGAACACCCCATGTCTTTCGAGGGCATTCAGCTACCACAGGTAACCTTTGGGGGTGTAAGGTGGGGGGAACTTGTGAACAAGATCTAGGGTCCAGGCCTTTGCACCTATCTGCAGAGGATGGTATGGAGAGAGGGGCTTAAACTGGGACAAGGTGGATATAGGCCAAAGGTTGTATCCCACAGGTCCCAGGAAGGGTGCTCTTCTCCCTGGTGAAGCGGTATTTGCATGTCACCTCGCTCCTGGATCAGCTGAACGACAGTGCTGCGGAGCCAGGAGCCCAGAACACCTCTGCTCCTGAGGAGTTGAGTGGGGAGAGGGGTCAACTGGAGCTGGAGTTCAGTATGGCCATGGGCACCCTGATCTCGGAGCTGGTGCAAGCCATGCGCTGGGACCAGGCCTCAGACAGACCAAGGAGCTCAGCACGGTCCCCCGGTTCCATCTTCCAGCCTCAGCTGGCAGATGTGAGCCCAGGGCTCCCCGCTGCCCAGGCTCAGCCCTCCTTCAGGAGGTCAAGACGTTTTCGCCCTCGTTCTGAGTTCGCAAGTGGCAATACCTATGCTTTGTATGTGCGGGACACACTGCAGCCGGGGATGCGAGTGCGGATGCTGGATGATTATGAGGAGATCAGTGCCGGGGATGAGGGCGAGTTTCGGCAGAGCAACAACGGTGTGCCTCCTGTGCAGGTGAGTGGCACATGGTGGTGGGATACTGTTGGGGGTCTATTTGGGGTAGGGCAGAGCTGGGACTTCTATATGGGGGGGCTCCAGCAGGCCACCCAAAGAGAAAGCTTTAGGTAAGATTGGAATGGTGAAAAGAGTCAGTAGTTGAGAGGGGGGCCATTCTGAGAGCTGGGAAAATCTGGGTTTAGGAGGCTGTGAAGTCAAGAAGACTCACACCTGGGAAGAAACTGATATAGCCAGACTCCTCCAAAGGTCAGGGTCAGGGAGATGGAGTGGTGGAGGCCAGAAGGAAGTGTGGGGGCATAAGCCATGAAAGACAGGGTGAGAGGAGAGACAGGCCCATCCCCCAAAGGAGAAGGCATCCTGTGTGTGTGTGTGTGTGTGTGTGTGTGTGTGTGTGTGTGTGTGTGTGTGTGTGTGTATTCTCCATATGCTGCTGTTTTGTTATGTGGAGGTTTTTCTAAAACCTGGCCAGGTGGTCACCCTGAGGGCTATAGTCCTCAGTACTGGGCCACAGCCAGTCATTTGTGAGTCCTCCCTTCCCCTTCCCTCTTTCTTTCCCTATGCTCCAGGTATTTTGGGAGTCAACAGGCCGCACCTATTGGGTGCACTGGCACATGCTGGAGATCTTGGGCTTTGAGGAAGACATTGAGGACATGGTTGAGGCTGATGAGTACCAAGGGGCAGTGGCCAGTAGAGTCCTGGGTAGAGGTGAGCTCAGGGAGGAAGCAAGGGTCAGCTCTGAGCAGAGGAATGGTGGTCCTGCTGAGTTGCTAGTGACATCCTTGTGCCCCTTGGCCCATTTTCACAGCCCTGCCTGCCTGGCGCTGGAGGCCCATGACAGAACTCTATGCTGTGCCTTATGTGCTGCCTGAGGATGAGGACACTGAGGAGTGTGAACACCTGACCCTGGCTGAGTGGTGGGAACTCCTCTTCTTCATCAAGAAGCTGGATGGACCTGACCATCAGGAGGTTCTCCAGATCCTCCAGGAGAACCTAGATGGGGAGGTAGAGCCAGCCTGGAGACACTCAGAGGTTGGAGGGCTCTATTGCAAGGGCTGGACTGTATAGAGCATTTGGAAGGCTCAGGATGAAAAGTGGAGGTCAGAGAGTGGAAGGGGCTGCAGAGGAGGGGTCTGGAATTTTCAGAGGTGGGAGGGTGAGCTGTTTGGGAGGAGCCAGCTGCCAGCTGTGAGAGGATCAGGATGGAGGGTATGTGTGCAGAGAGACCCCCACCCCTACCAAGTGCTCCCTGGGGCCTCTGGGTCGGCAGGGCTGTCTGCAGTGAGAGCTTCTCCTTGATGGCAGATTCTGGATGATGAGATCCTAGCTGAACTGGCCGTGCCCATAGAATTGGCCCAGGACTTGCTGCTGACTCTGCCACAGCGACTCAATGACAGTGCCCTCAGGGACCTGATCAACTGCCATGTCTACAAGAAGTATGGGCCTGAAGCCCTAGCAGGGAACCAAGCCTACCCATCCCTTCTAGAAGCCCAAGAAGATGTCCTCCTGCTAGACGCGCAGGCCCAGGCTAAGGACTCAGAAGATGCAGCCAAAGTGGAAGGTGGGTGCCAGACACAGCAGCTGAGCTGACACACCTTCAGGGCAGTAGCACAGGAGAGATGTCTGTGCTGATTTTTATGCAATCCTTTCTGGAAGTGATGCCACCTTAGAAGCTGCAACTTAGAGAGAAGCAACAAACGGAGAAGCAGGCATTGTGTTCCCTCAAAGAATGAAGGAGGATGTAAAGTTAGAAAATTGCAAGAGAATTTTGAAGACTTAAAAAAGCCCCCACATTTAGCTTTTTCTCTTGTACAGAAACATATTCCATGCTTTGAAATAAAGGGAAGTGCTCTCCTGTTTTCAGATGAAGCTACTTTGCTATTTTAAGAATATAAAGGCCGGGCATGGTGGCTCACGCCTGTAATCCCAGCACTTTGGAAGGCCAAGGCAGGTGGATCATGAGGTCAGGAGATCGAGATCATCCTGCCTAACATGGTGAAACCCCGTCTCTACTAAAACTACAAAAAAAAAAAAATTAGCCGGGCGTGGTGGTGGGCACCTGTAGTCCCAGCTACTGGAGGCTGAGGCAGGAGAATGGCGTGAACCCAGGAGGCGGAGGTTGCAGTGAGCCGAGATCATGCCACTGCACTCCAGCCTGGGTGACAGAGCGAGACTCCGTCTCAAAGAAAAAAAAAAAAAAAGAATATAAAATTTGTCATGAAGCTGTCTTACAATGACATTCAGAGATTAGATCCCCAAACCTAACTTTTAGGGGGATTAAAAAATTTAAAACATTTTTTAGGAGAAATTAGAGAAAAAGATTGAGAGTTATGAATCTATTTCTGAGCCTTCACATTACTAACAATGGCCAACTCCTGTGACTGTCCCCTTCCTGTAGCAAAAGAACCCCCATCTCAGAGTCCCAACACTCCCCTGCAGCGTCTGGTGGAGGGTTATGGTCCAGCTGGGAAAATCCTCCTGGATCTAGAGCAAGCCCTCAGCTCAGAGGGGACCCAGGAGAACAAGGTCAAGCCACTCCTGCTGCAGCTGCAGCGGCAGCCGCAGCCCTTCCTGGCACTGATGCAGAGCCTGGACACTCCGGAGACTAACAGGACCCTGCACCTGACTGTGCTGAGGTGAGAGCATGGTGACAGGTGGGATCTCTGAGGGCAAAGGGGGTCCATGAGGCTGGCTACACATTTCTCTGCCCCCAGAATCCTGAAGCAGCTGGTGGACTTCCCCGAGGCACTGCTGCTCCCCTGGCACGAGGCCGTGGATGCCTGCATGGCCTGCCTGCGGTCCCCAAACACTGATCGAGAGGTACCCCTGCCCTGCTCTGGGGAGAGGCTGGGGGAGAGGATAAAGGCAGCCACTGGCAAGGCACACCTGCTGGGCAAGGCTCTGGAGGGCGTGATAGAGCCTTTGAGCTCTTGGTTTGAGTTTTGCTTTTAAAATTGAATTTTATTTTTTTTAAATAGGTAATACATTCACATGGTTCACAAATCAAAACGCTCTAACAAGGTATACACTGAGAATTCTTGCTCTCACCCAAATCTCTGTTCCCCCAGGGTCCCCCACACACCCCTTACTGGTAACTACTTGTATTAATTTATGTATCTTTCCCGTGTTCCCTTATGCAAATATAAGCAAACCCAAATGTGTGATCTTGCCACTCTCTTTTTTACACAAAAGGATATGGAGATATTATTACATAAAACATTAAGAGCTTCAATAGCTCCATTTTTGGCTGGGCCTGTGGGAGAAAGGGGGATGAAGGAGGCAGAGCGCCCATCACATACCAGAGTCCCCTGCAAGAGCTACAGAGAAGTCCTGGGCACAGAAGGCTTCAGAAGGGCTCAGAGAACTAGGGTCATGGTGACAGTAGGTATTTGCAGTGTGGCTATATTTTTGGCTGTTACCTAGAATTTACTTTCTAAGGCAGGCTCATTGGGTATAATACACACACAAACCCAGTCCCTGTCAGCCCCTTCCCAGCCATCCAGGTGTCTGTGCCTGAACATCTCAAAACACAGCCCTACAACTGGTTTTTGGGACAGTAGGGCCTGGATGAAAGAACCCAGGGATGCTCTCTGCCGTTTTTGCCAACATAATCAGCAGCCTAGAACCCTAGAGTAGCAGGGCATCTTGTGCCCTTTTCCATTTTGGTTTGTCTTTGGTTCTCTAACCACCTGGCTCTTGTGTCTCCCCATCCCTGTCTTTTCACTTCGTCACTCTGCCTTGCTCACTGTAGCACCCCTAGCACCCAGTACACAGAGTACACAGTGGGTACCTGCTACTGCAGGTGCCCTTGTGGCCCTCGCCCTGTCTTCATTCATCTCCTCCCTTATGTCCCCACCCAGGTGCTCCAGGAACTGATTTTCTTCCTGCACCGCCTGACCTCAGTGAGCAGGGACTATGCCGTGGTGCTGAATCAGCTGGGAGCAAGAGACGCTATCTCCAAGGCCCTGGAAAAGCACCTGGGAAAGCTGGAGCTGGCTCAGGAGCTGCGGGACATGGTGTTCAAGTGTGAGAAGCATGCCCACCTCTACCGCAAACTCATCACCAACATCCTGGGAGGCTGCATCCAGGTCAGGAGGAAGGGGAGCTTGTGGGCTTAGAGTGGCATCAGAATATGAAACCCAAGCAGTGGCGGGTAAGGGCTGTGTTCCCATGGCTGGGAACAGCAGGTGACTCTAGTGACCCTGGGGCATTTGTTCCCCTTCCCCTCTGCCCCATCTGGGCCTGCTCTGCTGGTGCTGTAGAGGAAGTCCCACTGCTGCATGGTCTCTCCTTCATCCGTGTTTCCGTGTGTGTCTCCGTGTTCCTTCTGCCCCTGTGCCCCTTCTCTCTGATGTTCTGGCTGCAGATGGTGCTGGGCCAGATCGAAGACCACAGACGAACCCACCAACCCATCAACATCCCTTTCTTTGATGTGTTCCTCAGATACCTGTGCCAGGGTTCGTGCCTGTTGCCGTGTTGCTCCACCTCCCCACACCTATGTCTGTTTCCCCTCTACACCCTACCTGACCGTGACCACCACCCCTTCCCACTTGCCCCCAGGCTCCAGTGTGGAAGTGAAGGAGGACAAGTGCTGGGAGAAGGTGGAGGTGTCCTCCAACCCGCACCGGGCCAGCAAGCTGACGGACCACAACCCCAAGACCTATTGGGAGTCCAACGGCAGCGCCGGCTCCCACTACATCACCCTGCACATGCGCCGGGGCATCCTCATCAGGTAACTCTCCCACACATGTGCTTTGCCACACACGTGTGCTTTCCTGTGACGCCCCTGTGTTTGTTTTGGGGGAAGCACCACCCCCTGGACTTGGCCATGGGCCCTGTCTACAAGTTCCAAATGGTTTTTCCTCCCCACTCCCAGGCAACTGACTCTGCTTGTGGCTAGTGAGGACTCGAGTTACATGCCGGCCCGAGTGGTGGTGTGCGGGGGTGATAGCACTAGCTCTCTTCACACGGAACTCAACTCGGTAGGACCCCAGGGCCATTAGCCATTACTCCACCCCTCACAGGATCTGCCCTCCTGCTTCTATCTGGCCCTATCCTACTTTTTTCTAACTCCCACCTGTCTTGAGCCCCACAGAAAGTAGTGTCCTTTATCCCTGTGCTTGTGCCACCAGGCCCTGAACAATGAGGGTGGCATGAGGACAGCTTTGTCAGGACCCTACACATCCCAGGGCTGGGGAAGGGAGGGAAACAGTGAGGGGACTGGAGCCTAGAGCCAACTTGGCTCTGCATGTGTGGAGGTGACAGCTTTCTCTGCCCCCTGCCAGGTGAATGTGATGCCCTCTGCCAGCCGGGTGATCCTCCTGGAGAACCTGACCCGCTTCTGGCCCATCATCCAGATCCGCATAAAGCGCTGCCAGCAGGTGGGGCCAGGGATGTGGGGTGTGGCCCTGGGTAGGGGGCTCTGAGCCCCATAAACAGGCAGATCTTAAGCCAGAGGACCAGCCTGGGTCTCGAGCAGCTCCAGGGGTGAGGTTCGAGGGCGTAGCTGACCCCAGCCCATCCCAAGGTGTGGAGCGAGTGAAGATAGTCCTGTGTGTGTTTCAGGGTGGCATTGATACGCGCATTCGGGGGTTAGAGATCCTAGGCCCCAAGCCCACGTTCTGGCCAGTGTTCCGGGAGCAGCTCTGTCGTCACACACGCCTCTTCTACATGGTTCGGGCACAGGCCTGGAGCCAGGACATGGCAGAGGACCGCAGGAGCCTCCTGCACCTGAGTTCTAGGTGTGTGAGAGTGTGCGTGTATGCTTGTGTCTGTGGGAAAGGTAAGGCTATTGCAAATAGCTGGCAGGCAGGGGTCCATAGAAGCTGTGAGATGGAGGTTTAATATGCGTGGGGAGGGGGCTGGAGTTTTCTGAGCTGTGGGAGGGGAAGAAAGGATAAAGAGAAAAGATTTCTCCAGTGGGCTGGGAATGGGATATACCAGTTAGCACAGAGCAGTTCTGAAGTACCAGGGGGCCTTCGGTTTGGGTGCTGGGGTTAGCTGGCAGTCTTAGGAAGGGTGGACACTGAGATAACATATGCTTCAAGCCCCTGACACCTTCCTCCTCCATTCTCACCCCCAGACTCAACGGTGCTCTGCGCCAGGAGCAGAATTTTGCTGACCGCTTCCTCCCTGATGACGAGGCTGCCCAAGCTCTGGGCAAGACCTGCTGGGAGGCCCTGGTCAGCCCCGTGGTGCAGAACATCACCTCCCCTGGTAACCATCCTGACATCTGGACCCATTACTATCTCAGGGCTTGGTTCCACTAATTAGTTCCTTCTTGCTCTACCCTAGAACCACCTGGATTATGTCCTGGCCCTTTTGGCACCTGCATTTGTAATCCCAGTGCTGTCTTCTCACAGCCCAGGGGCTGCCCCCTTTCCCATGTCTCTCAAGTGTCAGGGGACACCATAAGTGCTGGAGGTGCCTTGTTACCCACTCCCTTTATCATTCTTCTTTTTTTTTTTTTTGAGACAGATTTTCGCTCGTTACCCACGCTGGAGTGCAATGGCATGATCTTGGCTCACTGCAACCTCTGCCTCCCAGGTTCAGGCAATTCTCCTGCCTCAGCCTCCCAAGTAGCTGGGATTACAGGCATGCACCACCATGCCTGGCTAATTTTATTTTATTTTATTTTATTTTTTTGAGACAGAGTTTCGCTCTTGTTGCCTAGACTGGAGTGCAATGGCGCAGTCTCGGCTCACTGCAACCTCTGCCTCCAGGGTTCAAGTGATTCTTCTGCCTCACCCTCCCAAATAGCTGGGATTACAGGCATGGGCCACCATGCCCAGCTAATTTTGTATTTTTAGTAGAGATGGGGTTTCTCCATGTTGGTCAGGCTGGTCTCGAACTCCCAATCTCAGGTGATCCACCCGCCTCAGTCTCCCAAAGTGCTGGGATTACAGGCATGAGCCACCGCGCCTGACCCACACCTGGCTAATTTTATATTTTTAGTAGAGGTGGGGTTTCTCCGTGTTGGTCAGGCTGATCTCGAACTCCCGACCTCAGGTGATCCACCCACCTCAGCCTCCCAAAGTGCTGGGATTACAGGCATGAGCCACCGCACCTGGCCTTTTCTATTTTTTTATGCTTATTTCTTATTTTTAAAGATGGGGTCCTGCTATGTTGACCAGGCCAGTCTTGAACTCCTGCCTCAAGCGATCCTCTCATCTCAGCCTCCCAAAGTGCTGGGATTACAGGCGTAAACCACCCTACCTGGCCCCCCTTCCTTGTATCATTCCGTCCAGTTGCTCTATCTCCACACTCCTGTTCAGCCCAACCACTCCCACTTCCCTGCAGACATGGCTGTGCCTTGGTTTGTTTATCTCACCCTCTAGATGAGGATGGCATTAGCCCCCTGGGTTGGCTGCTGGACCAGTACCTGGAGTGTCAGGAAGCTGTCTTCAACCCCCAGAGCCGCGGCCCAGCTTTCTTCTCGCGGGTGCGCCGTCTCACTCACCTGCTGGTGCATGTCGAGCCCTGTGAGGCACCCCCTCCTGTGGTGGCCACTCCTCGGCCCAGTGAGTAGTGGAGATTCAGGTGGGGAGCTCTAGTCAGGAGCGTTTTCCTGGGCCCCATGTGTACACCACAGGCTTCTGTCCATCCCCATCCTTCCCCTCCCTATGGGCTCAGCCTGTTCATCTTCCAGGTTTGTGTCACCTCCATCCATGAACATCATTTTGGGTGGCAGCATGTCAGGAAAGGCCTCAGGGAACCCCCTTGGATGGGGACTTGGGAGTGGAGGGGCTGCACCCTCCTTGCCTCTGCCACTTTCTTGGTCTCTACAGAAGGCAGAAACAGAAGCCACGACTGGAGCTCCTTGGCTACCCGGGGCCTTCCAAGCAGCATCATGAGAAACCTGACGCGCTGTTGGCGGGCCGTGGTGGAGAAGCAGGTGGGCAGGAGCAGGCCTGCGGGAGAGAGGGGACACCATAATGGTGGCATGTTGGGTTGTGTCTTCATGCTCCTGCCCCTTCCTTCCAGGTGAACAATTTTCTGACCTCATCCTGGCGGGATGATGACTTTGTGCCACGCTACTGTGAGCACTTTAATATTCTGCAGAACTCAAGCTCTGAACTGTTTGGGCCTCGGGCAGCCTTCTTGCTGGCGCTGCAAAATGGCTGTGCGGGAGCCTTGCTGAAGCTCCCTTTTCTCAAAGCTGCCCACGTAAGCCTCTACCCTTGCCTCATCCTTGGGTCTCTTCCGACAAACTCTCCCTTCCTCACCTCCTCCAAATGACCCACCCTTCCATTCCCATTCTATGATGAACATATGTTAGTATATAGCCATGTTATAAGAAGTTTAAAAAATTGAAAAAAATAAATAGTGGCCAGGTGTGGTGGCTCATGCCTGTAATCCCAGCACTTTGGGAGGCCGAGGCAGGCAGATCATCTGAGGGCAGGAGTTTGAGGCCAGCCTGGCCAACATGGCCAAACCCCATCTCTACTAAAAATACAAAAATTAGCCAGGCATGGTGGCACATGCCTGTATTCCCAGCTACTTGGGAGGCTGAGGCAGGAGAATCGTTTGAACCCAGGAAGTGGAGGTTGCAGTTGCAGTCAGCCGAGATTGCACCACTGCACTCCAGCCTGCGTGACAGAGCTAGACTCATCTCAAAAAAAAGAAAAAAACAAAAAAACCCCCCACAATTGATGAGCTAAAATGCAAGAAGCACCCTGGAAAGCAGGGTACAGAGCAGCAGGAACATGAGGCTCCTTGTGTAGCCTCCAGTCCTAGTTTATCAGTGACACTGCATCAGGACCATCTTTGTGTATGTAACTTACCTCCTTGTGTCCGTCTTTCTTTCTCTCTCTCTTTCTCCCTTCCTGCCTTCCTTCCTTCCTTCCTTCCCTCCTTCCCTCCTTCCCTCCCTCCTTCTCTCCCTCCCTCCCTCCTTCTCTTTCTCTCTTTCTCTTTCTTTCCTTCTCTCTTTCTTTCTTCTTCCTTTTTTTTTTTTTTTTTTTTGAGACGGAGTCTCGCTCTGTTGCCCAGGCTGGAGTGCAGTGGCTCGATCTCAGCTCACCACAACCTCCGCCTCCCAGGTTCAAGCGATTCTCCTGCCTCAACCTCCCAAGTAGCTGGGATTACAGGTGCATGCTACCACGCCCAGCCAATTTTTGTATTTTTAGTAGAGACGGAGTTTCACCACATTGGTCAGGCTGGTCTCGAACTCCTGACCTCGTGATCCGCCCGCCTCACCCTCCCAAAGTGTTGGGATTACAGGCATGAGCCACCTCTCCCTTCCCTTCCCTTTCCCTTCCCTTCCCCTTCCCTTCCCTTCCCCTTCCTTTCCCTTCCCTTCCCTCCCCTCTTTTCCTCTCCTTTCTTTTTCTTTCTCTCCCTTTCTTTCTCTTTCTTTACTTCTTTCTTAACAGGGTCTTACTCCCTCCCACACTGGGATGCAGTGGTGCAGTCACAGCTCACTGCGGCCTCAACCTCTTGGGCTCAGGTGGTCCTCTCAGCCTTCTGGGTAGCTGGGACCATAGGCGTGTGCCACCATGCCCAGCTAATTTTTTCGTATTTTTAGTAGAGATGGGGTTTTGCCATGTTGCCCAGGCTGGTCTCCAACTCCTGGGTTCAAGCCATCTGCCTGTCTCAGCCTCCCAAAGTGCTGGAATTACAGGCGTGAACTGCGCCTGGTCTTATTTTCTCATTTTGAATGATTATTATTAGTTTGATTTTTTAGACACAATGTGAAAAGACACTTTCCATAATTGTTAATATTGCTAATTTGTACAATGGTTAATGATCTTATAAAATAGTTGTATGAAAGCACCAACCACCTTAGAAAGCTGCCAGCATTCATATCTACTTTCCAGACCCTCATCCCTCCTCCCCACTCACCTGCTCTGCTCGCTCATTCATGGCTTTCCTGTGCTCTGCCATTGCTCAGGTGAGTGAGCAGTTCGCCCGGCACATTGACCAGCAGATCCAGGGCAGCCGGATCGGTGGAGCCCAGGAAATGGAGAGGCTGGCACAGCTGCAGCAATGCCTGCAAGCTGTCCTGATTTTCTCCGGCTTGGAGATAGCCACCACTTTTGAGCATTATTACCAGTGAGTGTGGACCTAAGGAGCGGGAGCTGGCGGGAGGCAGGATGATGGTGGCAGAGCCAGCTCATGGGCCTGGAAGTCTGGGATAGAGGCAGGCTGGAGCCTTGGAGTGGGAGGCTGGGCCACACTGGTGCCCACACTGAGGCTTGGCCCGGGCTGCATGCACTGCAGGCACTACATGGCGGACCGTCTCCTGGGCGTGGTCTCGAGCTGGCTGGAGGGGGCCGTGCTGGAGCAGATCGGTCCCTGCTTCCCCAACCGCCTCCCCCAGCAGATGTTGCAGAGCCTGAGCACCTCTAAGGAGCTGCAGCGCCAGTTCCACGTCTACCAGCTCCAGCAGCTGGATCAGGAACTCCTGAAGCTGGAGGATACAGAGAAGAAAATACAGGTGAGTGCCTTGGAAGGGATAAGCAAATAAGAGGGTAGGGGGAAGAGGGGCGTGGAGCAGACTGGAGGAGGCCATGGCATCTGGGAACCCTGTGCTCCTTCAGGTGGGCCTTGGGGCCAGTGGCAAGGAGCACAAGAGCGAGAAGGAAGAGGAAGCTGGGGCAGCAGCAGTGGTGGATGTGGCGGAGGGAGAGGAGGAAGAGGAGGAGAATGAGGACCTCTACTATGAAGGGGCAATGCCAGAAGTGTCTGTGCTTGTCCTGTCCCGACACTCCTGGCCTGTTGCCTCAATCTGCCACACACTGAACCCCAGAACCTGCCTGCCCTCCTACCTGAGGGGCACTTTGAACAGATACTCCAACTTCTACAACAAGAGTGAGCAGCCAGGCAGAGGGACTGGGGACTGGGGAGAGGGTGGGCTGCTAGGAAAGGACCTGGGGTTGGGGGCAGACCCTGATGTTGGGAGGCTTGATGTAAAAAGAGATAGTCTTTGGCTGGGCACAGTGCTCACGCCTGTAATCCCAGCACTTTGGGAGGCCGAGGCAGGCAGATCACTTGAGGTCAGGAGTTCAAGACCAGCCTTGGCCAACATGGTGAAACCTCGTCTCTGCTAAAAATACAGAAATTAGCCGGGTGTGGTGGTGTGTGCCTGTAGTCCCAGCTACTCGGGAGGCTGAGGCAGGAGAATCACTTCAACCCACAGGCAGATGTTGCAGTGAGCCGAGATCGTGCCACTGCACTCTAGCCTGGGCGACAGCGAGACTCCATCTCAAAAAAAAAAAAAAAAAAAAAAAAGAGTTGGTCTTTTAATTTACATTTTTAATTTTTGTTTTTATAGATTCAGGGAGAGATAGTCTTTAGGGATAAGAATTCCCTAGGCCATGGGAAAAACAGTGGTTTTGAGAACAAAGGGCAGGAGCTTGGTGGCTGGGGGTGGCAGGTGCTGTCAGATACCTGATCCCCAGACCATTGCTTTTTCTGTTCTAAAATAAGACCTGGGAATCTCTTTGTGGGTGACGGGGAGGATGGAGGCAGGAGGCACCTGAGGCCACCAGATATGAGTAGGTGTCTGGCTCTTTTCTGGTCAGTCACCTGTCATCCTAAACTCCCCATCGGGGGCTGATCCCTGAGCTGGCAGCAACACAGGAGGGGGAAGAGGCTCAGACCTGTGGTCAGGGCGCCTCCTAATAGGGGAGACATTGTTTCCTGTCATAATATTCCAGCTTGATAAGAGCCCCAGTCCTTCCTCCCTTCATGGTTTTGTCTCCCTAAAAACACATGGGGCAATCCTCGAAGGCACTGATGAGAACCTGCTTGGCACCAGGCTAGGCATAGGATAGCTCCCAGATCCTGAGGCTTGCCATAGAGGCAGGCCCAGAGAAGGCTGAGATCTGGAAGCTCAGACCAGAAGCCCCAGTGTCCATAAATGCTGGGGTCACACGCCTTGCAGAGATAAACAGAGCGTGACCAGCGTGCACCCTCCCTCCAACACCAACTCCCTCCTTTCACCTGCTCTTTGTCTCCCTCCCCCTTCCTGGTCCAGGTCAGAGCCACCCTGCCCTTGAGCGAGGCTCACAGAGGCGACTGCAGTGGACGTGGCTGGGCTGGGCTGAGCTGCAGTTTGGGAACCAGACCCTGCATGTGTCCACCGTGCAGATGTGGCTACTGCTGTATCTCAACGACCTGAAGGTGGCCCAGCCCCGCTGCACCTCTCTCCTGTCTCCCACTTTGTCCCTTGCCTCTCTTCCCAAAACCTTGACTCCCTCTGCTTCTTCCCTCCATCCTCTTCTCTCCACTCCTTGGGGAGGCCCTGAATGTCTCCCATCTGTTCTCTGAAGGCGGTCTCTGTGGAGAGTCTGCTGGCGTTCTCAGGGCTCTCCGCAGACATGCTCAATCAGGCGATTGGGCCCCTCACCTCTTCAAGAGGCCCCCTGGACCTTCACGAGCAAAAGGATATACCAGGAGGTATGCACTTAGGGCCAGAGGGGCCTCTGCTCTGAGGCAGGGCCAGGCTCCTCGTGGGCTCTCCACTGAGTGAGTGATCAGCATTTATTTCAGGGGTCCTCAAGATTCGAGATGGCAGCAAGGAACCCAGGTCGAGATGGGACATTGTGCGGCTCATCCCACCTCAGACGTACCTGCAAGCTGAGGGTGAAGACGGCCAGAACTTGGAGAAGAGACGGAATCTTCTGAACTGCCTCATCGTCCGAATCCTCAAGGCCCATGGAGATGAGGGGCTGCACATTGACCAGCTTGTCTGTCTGGTAGGCAGGGGTGGGCACAATGGGTGACAGATCTTTGCTGGGGTTGGGGGAGCAGTCTACAGGACAAGGTGGGTGCACGTGTGGTGAGGCACCTGGTTCACTGTGTAGCCTGTAGGAGTGTGAGGAGTGAGGTCGGGATGTACCTCGTGTCCTTGGGGCATCCTGTCCTAGCAGCTGGTGGTTGGAGTGGAAGCTCAAGCAAGGAGGGGTCAGCTGCCTCTAAACTACCGCTTCTCCCTTCCTCCCCCACACCAGGTGCTGGAGGCTTGGCAGAAGGGCCCGTGTCCTCCCAGGGGTTTGGTCAGCAGCCTTGGTAAGGGGTCTGCATGCAGCAGCACTGACGTCCTCTCCTGCATCCTACACCTCCTGGGCAAGGGCACGCTGAGACGCCATGACGACCGGCCCCAGGTGCTGTCCTATGCAGTCCCTGTGACTGTCATGGAGCCTCACACTGAGTCCCTGAACCCAGGCTCCTCAGGCCCCAACCCACCCCTCACCTTCCATACCCTACAGATTCGCTCCCGGGGTGTGCCCTATGCCTCCTGCACTGCCACCCAGAGCTTCTCTACCTTCCGGTAGCCCTAGACTTGGGGTCAGGGGAAGGTAGAGCTGGAGCTTTTACAGAAATAAAACCCAAGAGTTTGATTATATGACGTGTGTGTTTGGCGACTGCTAGAGATTTGAGTGGGGAGGTGGGAGGGTTTTCCTTGCTGGTGGAGAAGGAGCCCTTGGCACTGAGGCTGTCGCATGATATGCCAAGGGTCTTGTTAGGGTGAGGATGGTAGACTGGGAGAAAGGCAGAGGGAGTCAGGTGTGACTTAGCACCCCCTCTAGGCAGAGATTGAGAGGACCAGGCAGGATGATGGCACTCAGCCCCTTCTCAGAGGGTGTGTGGTCAGAAGTGCTTTCATCTGGCAGGCTGGAGATCCAAGCCCAACTTGGCCACTCACCAGATGGTTTGTAACTTGGGCAGATTATCGAGCAGGGTTTAATTCTCCTCGTTTGTGGAACTGGCCCAGTCACTGTGGGACTGCGACAAGTAACAGGTATGGAAGCATTTGACGTGGTGAATGAAGGCATTGCCAGTGAGTCTCTATTTTGGCCACCATTGCCAACAGTGAATGTGGTTCCTTGGTGCCTTCCCTAAGTAAGACTGACATGATGAAGGTGAGGTCACTGACCCCTGTGGCCACTGCAGGCACCCAGCAACCTGAATGTGTATTCCATCTGATGGCATAGGCCCAGAAAGAACTGTTCTAGCACAGTTCTTACTCCCACAAGCTCCTCCGTTTTGCCCCTTTCTTCCCCTCCTCTGCCTCCACCCCTTCTCTGTCCTTGCAGAGCTGCACACGCTGTCATCAAACTCCTACCCCTTGATTCTCAAAACGAGGGATTTGGAAGAACAAGAAAAAAAAAAAGAAAGAAAGAAAAACTCCTACCCCTGCGGGCACGGCGCTATATGCACCTTTAGTCCCAGCTACTCGGGAAGCTGAGGTAGGAGGATCGCTTGAGCCCAGGAGTTCTGGGCTGCAGTGTGCTCTGCCATTCGGGTATCTGCACCAAGTTCAGCAACAATATGGTGAACTCCCAGGAGCAGGGGATCCCAGGTTGCCTAAGAAGGGGTGAACTGGCGGCTGGGCGTGGTGGCTCACGTCTGTAATCCCAGCACTTTGGGAGGTTGAGGTGGGCGGATCACGAGGTCAAGAGATTGAGACCATCCTGGCCAACATGGTGAAACCCCATCTCTACTAAAAATACAAAAATTAGCCGGGTGTGGTGGTGCACGCCTGTAGTCCCAGCTACTTGGGAGGCTGAGGCAGGAGAATTGTTTGAACCCGGCAGGCGGAGGTTGCAGTGAGCCGAGATCTCTCCGCTGCACTCCAGCCTGGCAACAGAGCAAGACTCCGTCTCAAAAATAAATAAATAAATAAATAAATAAATAAATAAATGAGTGAACTGGCCCAGGTCAGAAAGAGAGCAGCTCAAAACTCCCATGCTGATTGATCAGTAGTGGGATCGTGCCTGTGAATATCCACTGCACTCCTGCCTAGGTGACATAGACCCTCTCTCTATTTCAGAAAGGCAAAAACTCCTACCCCTAACTACCCCCATAGGTGAGCCTCTGCCCTGCTGCTGTTGGGGAGGTTTGCTTGTGCTACTATAATTGGCTCCATTGGCACCACCCCTGCTGAAGCAGGGCAGCTCAGGTCAGGCCAGGGGATCCTGTGCCAAAGGTGCAGCTCTGTGTCTTGGCAGGGCTACTGGGGAGGAGGAAAGGAGGGATGACCCAGGCATCCCGAGGCTCGTAGCCCAGAGGTGACAGAAAAAGCTATGGAAGGAGGGGGAAGGGGGATGAGGAAGAGTCAGGTGGTAAAGGAGGGCACAGAAGCCAGACAGAGAGAACTGAGTGCCACCAGGACTGAGATTTGGAGTCTAGGGGAAAAAAGGCCATGGCTTGTGGGAGAGTCAGGCTGCTCAGGATGAGGCTATAATACAGAGGGCAGAGGGGCTCCGTAGTGCTTGCTTTGCAGTGTTGGTCCCATGGTGTCGGTAGCTCTCACAGCAGGGGCCAGCCTGCTGAGTGACAGCTGCCCTTTGGGGCAGAGTCCAGACAGGCAGCAGCAGCAGGCTGGGGGCCCAGCACAGTGGGCCCAGGTACACTGGGGTTGCTGCAGCTGGTCACTTAGTGCCTCTTCACCTTGGTACCAGAGATTATAGGCTTTTATTGGCCCAGGCCCAATATTCTTGTGCTCACTCTCAAGTGCCAGAGCTTTCTGCCCTTCTCTGGACTTTCTTGCTTTTTATAAGATTATCCTTCTCCACCAGAAACTCAAAGAAGCTTCCTGCTGTGGGGTCCAGTAGTCAGGCCAGCATGAAGTGCATATAGGGTCAGACGATAGGATTTACTTGCACTACAGCCCCGTTCTGCTACTGTCCCGAGGCCTCCTCCATGGGCTGAGCTGTAGGCTATGCCTTGAACTTACTGCCCTCATCAGCCCCTGGGCATCCTACTCAGTCACCTTGCCAGTCTCCCATGGGGTACCTTCCTGCTCATCTGCGATGGAAAAAGTCTCCAGCAATAATTTTTTTTTGTTTTTTTTTTTAGACAGAGTCTTGCTCTGTCACCCAGGCTGGAGTGCAGTGGCACGACCTCGGCTCACTGCAACCTCCGCCTCCCAGTTTCAAGCGATTCTTCTGCCTCAGCCTCCCGAGTAGCTGGGATTACAGGCTCCCGCCACCACGCCCAGCTAATTTTTGTATTGTTAGTAGAGACAGGGTTTCATCATATTGGTCAGGCTGGTCTCAAACTCCTGACCTCAGGTGATCCAGCCACCTCGGCCTCCCAAAGCACTGGCATTACAGGCATGAACCACTGCACCCGGCCTTTTTTTTTTTTTTAGATGGAGTTTCGCTTTTGTTGCCCAGGCTGCAGTGCAATGGTGTGATCTCGGCTCACTGCAACCTCTACCTCCGGGGTTCAAGCAATTCTCCTGCCTCAGCCTCCCGAGTAGCTGGGATTACAGGCATGCGCCACCACACCCGGCTAATTTTGTATTTTTAGTAGAGACAGGGTTGCTCCATGTTGGTCAGGCTGGTTTCGAACTCCCGACCTCAGGTGATCCGCCCACCTCAGCCTCCCAAAGTGCTGGGATTACAGGTGTGAGCCACCTCACCTAGCCTACAGCAATTCTTAAGGGAAGAACACACCAGCTTTGGCCTTGAAACCCTGCATGTCGCCATCTGCAGTGCAGCTCCTGTGTTGCCCTCTTCAGCACACATCTCACCCCACCCTGAGATTCGGGACTGCTTGATTTGCCCAAATCCAGGTGAGAAGCTTTGATTTCAGGCACAGTCCAGCCTTCTGTCACCAGCCAGGAAGGACATGAACCTTTCTCTCCCTCAGGGCCATCCATTCTAGAGGGCAGAGAGTTGGCCTCATTTCTGAGATAACTTAGGGGACAGAAGTTCACTACCCTGAGCCCATTGTGAGGCCATCCTCACAGCCGTGACTCCTTATATTTCTACTGCTGGGTTGGGACCTTGGCTTGTCAAGACTAAGTAGTCAGCCCCCACCACCCCAAAAACAAAACCAAGCAAAGACCACATACAGATTCCATTTATAGGAAATGTCCCAAATAGGCAAATCTATAAAGACAGAAAGTAGATGAGTGGTTGCCTAGGGCTGAGGAGACTGAGGATGACTGCTAAGGGGCATAGGGGTTTTTTTGGGGGGAGGTGTCAAAAATGTTCCAAAATTGTAATAGTTGCACAATTCTGTAAATTTACTAAAAAACACTGTATACCTTAAATGGGTAAACTGTATAGTTAAGTGAACTGTATCTCAATAAAACAAAAACAAAACCCAAAAACCAACAGCTGAAGCTCAGAGGTTTCCAGTATCTCCCCTTGGTCCCTGTTGAAGGGGAAAAGCAACAATTTGAAGGCTTAGAGTAGCCAACACTGACTGCCTTTTAATGGACATTCACATTTTATAACCACATCATCTGAGCCCATTTCCCATGCTTGGGAAACTCCCCGCCACAAATCTACACAAAAGATAGGGCTCACTTCCTACCCTATAAAAGACCAGATCCTGGTTTTCCCAGTGCTATAAAGCCATGTGACCAAGACTTAGCTAATCAGAGCAAAGCAAGAAAGTAGAGAACACATTTTGGTGGCTATGTGACACTTTCGTATCAACACCATAATTCTGATAGGCTTTATCAGCCAGAATCCATTATTTGACTTTAAAGTAGGATTGACATATGTGACAACAGGGACCCTGCAGCACTGGGTCCCTCACTTCCTCCTGTCCCAGTAGCTACATCCCTAGGGTTAAAATCACCAGAAGAGCAGTTTCTCTTTCATCTCTCATTATGCTGCAGCTTCAACTTCTATCACCAGAACTACGTCTTACCCATCCCAGAAGCATCAAGCAATAGATGTCCTAACTTCTGATTCTACTTCTCTTCCTTTTCATTAGAGCTACCTTTTTCTTTTTTTTTTTTTTTTGAGATGGAGTCTCACTATGTTGCCCAGGCTGGAGTGCAGTGGCGCAATCTCAGCTCACTGCAACCTCCGCCTCCCAGGTTCAAGTGATTCTCCTGCCTCAGCCTCCTGAGTAGCTGGGACTACAGGCACGTGCCACCATGTCCGGCTAATTTTTTGTATTTTTAGTAGAGATGGGGTTTCACCGTGTTAGCCAGGATGGTCTTGATCTCCTGACCTCATGATCCGCCCTCCTCGGCCTCCCAAAGTGCTGGGATTACAGGTGTGAGCCACCGTGCCCGGCCCAAGAGCTGCCTTTTTTTAGATACAGGATCTCACTGTGTTACCTAGGCGGCAGTGCAGTGGCTGTTCACAAGCGCAATCACTGCATACTACAGCTTTGAACTCCTAGTCTCAAGTGATTGTCCCACCTCAGTCTCCTAACTGGGGGCATAGAGCTGCTTTTAAGGTAGGCATTCTTTCTTTAAGAAAGGGTCTTGCTCTGTCACCCAGGTTGGAGTACGGGTGGCACAATCACGGCTCACTGCCTCGACCTCCCAGGCTCAAGTGATCCTCCTGCCTCAGCCGCCTGAGTATTCTTTGTAGAGATGCAGTTTCACCATGTTGCCCAGGCTGGATAGACTTTCAAATGTTCCTGGCTTATGATTTATCTAGCCTTAAAAAAAAAACAAAAAAAACAAAAAAAAAACTAGGCCAGGTGCGGTGGCTCACACCTGTAAACCTATCACTTTGGGAGGCCTAGGTGGGTGGATTACTTGAGGTCAGGAGTTTGAGACCAGCTGGCCAACACGGTGAAACCCCATCCCTACAAAAAAAAAAATTAGCCAGGTGTGGTGGCATACACCTGAAATACCAGCTGCTCAGGGAGCTGAGGCAGAAGAATAGCTTTAACCTGGGAGGAAGAGGTTACAGTGAGCCAAGATCGTGCCACTGCACTCCAGCTTGGGCGACAGAGGGAGACCCCATCTCAAAAAAAATTCTAGAAAATGCCCAGCCTCTTTGAAATATTCTTTCCTGAAATTTTGATTGTCAAGTCTCACATTTATCTTCATTTTGTTGTTTTATAGACAGGATCTTGCTCTGTCACCCAGGCTGGAGTGCAGTGATGCCATCATAGCTCACTGCAACCTCAAGTTCCTGGGGTCAAGCAATCCTCCAGCCTGAGCCTCCAGAGAAGCTGGGACTATAGGCATGTGCCACATGTCTGATTTTTTAATTTTTTTTTAGAGACAAGGTCTCCTTATGTTGCCCAGGCTGGTCCCCAACTGAGGACCTCAAGCAGTCCTCTCTATGCCTCCCAAAAAGTTGGGATTACAGGTGTCAGCAACTACACCCAGCCTCTTCCATGTTTTTTAACCTCTTTTCCTTAGTTTCCACTTCTCTGTATGTCAGTGCTCTCTCTGTGTAACTTCAGATCTATTTCCAGTTCATTCTCCCTTTAGGGAGAAGTCTAATCTGCTGCTTAACCATAAAGTTTCTAACTTCTCGTAGTGTACTTTTTTTTTTCTGAGGTGGAGTATCACTCTTGTTGCCCAGGCTGGAGTGCAGTGGCGCAATCTTGGCTCACCGCAACCTCCGCCTCCTAGGTTCAAGCAATTCTCCTGCCTCAGCCTCCCAAGTAGCTAGGATTACAGGCATGCGCCACCACGCCCGGCTAATTTTTTGTATTTTTAGTAGAGACGGGGTTTCACCATGTTGGCCAGGCTAGTCTCGAACTCCCAACCTCAGGCGATCCACCCACCTCAGCCTCCCAAAGTGCTGGGATTACAGGCACGAGCCACCATGCCTGGCCCTACTTTTCATTTTTAAAAGGTTTTCTTTTTAAGTTTTACTTTTTTTTTTTTTTTTTTTGAGATGGAGTCTCGCTCTGTTCCCCAGGCTGGAGTGCAGTGGCACGATCTCGGCTCACTGCAAGCTCTGCCTCCCAGGTTCATGCCATCCTCCTGCCTCAGCCTCCAGAGTAGCTGGGACTACAGGCACCCGCCACCACGCCTGGCTAATTTTTTGTATTTTTAGTAGAGATAGGGTTTCACTGTACTAGCCAGGATGGTCTCCATCTCCTGACCTCGTGATCCACCCGCTTTGGCCTCCCAAAGTGCTGGGAACACAGGCGTGAGCCACCGTGACCGGCCTTAAGTTTTACTTTTTAATCACACCAGTTTAGTACCTTTTGATATTCATTTGTCACACTTTTTCTTTAAACATAAGACATTTTGTATTTTTTATTTTATACTTCTCACATTTTAATTTTTGCCAGTCTGGACGACAGAGTGAGACTCCATCTCAAAAACAAAAAACAAACAAAAAAAAAACAATCCTCAAGAAAGGATTACATTTGCTTCTGCCAGGACCCTGGAGACACTATCTACTTGAGACTTTTTTTTTTTTTGAGACGGAGTCTCGCTCTGTCGCCCAGGCTGGAGTGCAGTGGCGCGATCTTGGTTCACTGCAACCTCCGCCTCCCGCGTTCAAGCAATTCTCCTGCTTCAGCCTCCTGAGTAGCTGGGATTACAGGCGCCCACCACCACACCCGGCTAATTTTTGTATTTTTAGTAGAGACAGGGTTTCACCATGTTGGTCAGGCTGGTCTCGAACCCCTGACCTCGTGATCCACCTGCCTCTGCCTCCCAAAGTGCTGGGATTACAGGTGTGAGCCACCATGCCTGGCCATTTTTTTTTGGGGGGGGGGGCGCGGTGGTGATTTCACTCTTTTTGCCCAGGCTGGAGTGCAGTGGTGCGATCTTGGCTCACTGCAACCTCTACCTCCCAGGCTCAAGTGATTATCCTACCTCAGCCTCCTGAGTAGCTGGGATTACAGGCACCCACCACCACACCCAGCTAATTTTGTATTTTTAGTAGAGATGGGGTTTCACCATGTTGGCCAGGCTGGTCTTGAACTCCTGACCTCAGGTGATCCGCCTGCCTCGGCCTCCCAAAGTGGTGGGATTACAGGTGTGAGCCACCACGCCCAGCCTACTTGAGACTATTTTAAACTAAGTTATCAGCCTGAGGATTTTCCAGACCACATGGGTTATAAACTCTTGTCCCAAACAGTACTGAAGGCCAGCTGTGCTTGTATATTACCATGGAAGCTTTATATCCCTACCTCTTAACATCCCTTGCATCCAAAACCAAAGCCAAGTAGGGGAGTTGTGGGATTGGTTCACCCACTAAATGATCTTGTCATCCTTGAGGGGCCCAGATTTAAGTGGGAGGGGTTTCTGATCTGACTTCCCAGTTGTAGATGCCTTAGGCTTTATTGCCTATCCCAATATGTGGCCCACTAAAAAGTAGTTCTAGGCTACCCACAAATCCCACATAAAAGCAGAGGCCTTAAGGCCGGAACGGTGGCTCAACGCCTGTAATCCCAGCACTTTGGGAGTCTGAGGCAGGCAGATCACTTGAGGCCAAGAGTTTAAGATCAAACTAGCCAACATGGCAAAACTCTATCTCTACTAAAAATACGAAAGAAATTAGCTGGGCTTGGTGGCGGATGTCAGCTACTCGGGAGGCTGAGGCACAAGAATCACTTGAACCTGGGAGGTGGAGGTTGCAGTGAGGCGAGATTGCACCACTGTACTCTAGCCTGGGTGACAGAGCGAGACTCTGTTTCGGGGGGGAAACACAAAAAGAAGGCCACAAAAAACAGAATAAAAAGATGAGTAAAGAGAATGTTTATGAAGTGGCTCCTACATAATGTCCCAGCCCTGGGAGTCACGAACAGACTCCATGGTTTTCATTGGCCCCTCTTCTTCGGTATCAGAATCCCTGGTTTAAGGCAAGGATGAGAGAAGAACACGAGGACGCAATGAACCAGATTCAAGCTGAGGCTGTGTGGCATGGCAGAAGGCTGAACTATTCTTGTGTAGCCCTAGGGATAGTCCAAGAGCCCTCTAGTCTTCTCTGAGGCAATGAGATTCAAGGGCAGCTGTGATCCTTGCCCTTGAACGGAAACCAGCCGTGGCCAAATCTGTCCTCACAGATCCATGTCTCCCTGGGGCAGTGGCAGAGCAGAGGATAGTTCCTTATTACTCTTTGCTCAAAGGGAGATGTCTCCTGTCCTTGCCTGCATTTCGTCGCCTCTTTCGACTCAAGAAGTTCTCCAATTTCTTGCTGCGTTTCAGCTCCTTGAACTTCTCAGCTAGTGCCAACTGGCGCTGCTCAGCTAAATGACAGGGAGAATGAAAGTTGGTGAACAAAGAAGGAAGCCCCTATTCTTTCCCAAACCAGGTCAGTAACTCCAAGCCATTATGCTGGATACATGAGTTCTTTAAAGCTCACTGGTGCCCCTCTATCTTTTTTCTGAGACGGAGTCCTGCTCTGTTACCCAGGCTGGAGTGCAGTGACGCGATCTCGGCTCACTGCAACCTCCGTCTTCTAGATTCAAGTGATTCTCCTGCCTCAGCCTCCGGAGTAGCTGGGATTACAGGCGCGCACCACCACATATGGCTAATTTTTTTGTATTTTTAGTAGAAACAGGGTTACGCCATGTTGGCCAGGCTGGTCTCGAACTCCTGACCTCAGGTGATCCGCTCTCCTCAGCCTCCCAAAGTGCTGGGATTACAGGCGTGAGCCACTGCGCCTGGCCAACGGGTGACTTTTTTTTTTTGAGATGGAGTCTCACTCTGTCACCCAGGCTGAAGTGCTGTGGCACGATTTCAGCTCACTGCAACCTCCGCCTCCCAGATTCAAGCGATTCTCCTGCCTCAGCCTTCTGAGTAGCTGGGATTACAGATGCACAGCACCACACCCAGCTAATTTTTGTATTTTTAGTAGAGACGGGGTTTCACCATGTTTGCCAGGCTGGTCTTGAACTCCTGACCTCGTGATCTGCCCTCCTTGGCCTCCCAAAGTGCTGGGATTACAGGTGTGAGGCACTGCGCCCGGCCCAACTGGTGACTTTTTTTTGTTTGTTTGTTTTTCCTGTGAGATGGAGTCTCACGCTGTTGCCCAGGCTGGAGTACAACAGTGCAATCTAGGCTTTCTGCAACCTCCACCTCCCGGGCTCAAGTGATCCTCCTGCCTCAGCCTCCTGAGTAGCTGGATTACAGGTGCACGCCACCAGGCCCGGCTAATTTTTTTATATCTTTAGTAGAGACAGGGTTTCACCATGTTGGCCCCCAGGCTGGTCTCGAACTCCTGACCTCGTGACCCCCCCACACTGGCCTCCCATAGTGCTGGGATTATAGGCGTGAGCCACCGTGCCCAGCCCAACTGATGACTTTTTATATGATCTCAGTACTACTCAATTCAACCAACTATGAACACCTATGTGCCTGGCCCAGCGTGTGTGCATGTGTGTGTGTGCAGTGTAGACCAAGAAACAAAACTGATTGTGTGTGTGTGTGTGTAGACCAAGAGATAAAACTCTGTGTGTGTGTGTAGTATAGACCAAGAGATAAAACTGATTGTGTGTGTGTGTGTGTGTAGACCAAGAGATAAAACTGACTCTGTGTTTGTGTGTGTGTGTGTGTGTGTGTGTGTGTGTGTGTGTAGTGTAGACCAAGAGATAAAACTCACTGTGTGTGTGTTGGGGGGGGGGGGTTGGGAAGTGGGGAGTGTAGACCAAGAAATAAAGGTGACAATGCCTGCCATGATCTAATTAGGGATACAAGACTGGTTACAAACAACTCCCTACTATTTCTACTTTCCTCCAAGTTACCATGGGATCCAGCCTTCATGCCTTCCTTAAAGGGGATCAGGGACACCCCAACACAAGACTCTACCACCATGGCCCCTGCACCCCTGTCCCTGTTAGCAACAGTTGTGCCCAACTCACATTTTTTCAGGAAGTATGGCCGATGGCCCTGCTGGGCCTGAGCCCGACGTTCTTGCTTCAGGGCCAGGTGCAGCTCCTGCTGTTGCTTTCGTTCCTGCTGTGCCATTTCTTGCTGCTCCTGAGGAGCAAAGATGAGATGGGTGAACGGGAGGGATCTGTTCAGATCTGTGAATATCTCCCACCTTTAATTGCTTTCATTACCCACCACAATTATTACCCACTCACCATTCGCTGAAGCAGTTGCTGCAGTTTCTCATGCTCCTCTCCTGAAAGGTGCTTCTTCAACTGTTTTTTCACAAGCTCCACATTGGAAAATGAGTATCATGGTTAGCATTCTGCAAATGTTAGCTGAAATTTTATGTAAAGCATTATCCTAAGAAGTTCACACACATACACACACACACATTTTTTTTTGAGATGCAGTCTTGCTCTGTCACAGGCTTGAGTGCAGTGGTGTGATCTTGGCTCACTGCAACCTCCGCCTCCTGGGTTCAAGCAATTCCCCTGCCTCAGCCTCCCAAGTAGCTGGGACTACAGGCACGTGCCACCACGCCCGGCTAATTTTTTTTTTTATTTTAGTAGAGACTAAATTTCACCATGTTGGCCAGGATGATCTTGATCTCCTCCTTTTGTATTTTAGTAGAGACTAATTTCACCATGTTGGCCAGGATGGTCCCAATCTCCTGACCTCGTGATCCACCTGCCTCGGCCTCCCAAAGTGGTGGGATAACAGGCATGAGCCACCGCACCCGGCCAGAAGTTCACATATATTAACTTGATAACACCAAGACAGTAACTGTTTGTTTGGAGACAGTCTTGCCCTGCTGCCCAGGTTGGAGTGCAGTGACACGATCTTGTCTCACTGCAACCTTTGTCTCCAGGGCACCAGCAATTCCCATGCCTCAGCCTCTTGAGTAGCTGGGACTATAGGCATGCAACACCACACTTGGCTAATTTTTCTATTTTTAGTAGAGATGGGGTTTCACCATGTTGGCCAGGCTGGTCTTGGAACTGCTGGCCTCAAATGATGTGCTCACCTCAGTCTCCCCAAGTGCTGGGATTACTTACAGGCGTGAGCCACCACACCCGGCCTCCAAGACAGTAATTATTATTTTATTTTTTTATGATTAGAAAACTAAAGCATAGAGAGATTAAGTAACATGCCAATAATCACACAGCTAGTAAACTGATGAGCCAGGATTTGAATATGAACTGAATTGGAGAGAGTTAAATCTGCCCACCACTATACTTCCCACTCCCCCTGCCCAACTCTCTAACCTGTGCCCTCATTTTCCACCCCACAAAATTCCCCATAAACCAGTCTCAAGCTGTATACCTCTTTCTCTTTCGCTCGGATGTCATTCAAGAATTGGTATGTTTTGTCAAACACCTCAGGATTATATTCCCCTGACAGATCATCAAAGCGAGGGTCCCGGGCTACCTTTGGAGAGAAGAGAGAGAATATAAAACACAACTGTTCAATCTCCTTTCACTGAGAAAAAGTGCTTCCTGTCTCTTCCTCATCTTTCTTTTTTTTTGCTTTTTGAGACACAGTCTCGCTCTGTCGCCCAGGCTGGAGTGCAGTGGTGCAATCTCGGCTCACTGCAAGCTGTGCCTCCCAAGTTCACACCATTCTCCTGCCTCAGCCTCCTGAGTAGCTAGGACTACAGGCACCCGCCACCACGCCCGGCTATTTTTTTTTGTATTTTTAGTAGAGACGGGGTTTCACTGTGTTAGCTAGGATGGTCTCAATCTCCTGACCTCGTGATTCGCCCACCTTGGCCTTCCAAAGTGCTGGGATTACAGACATGAGCCACTGCGCCCGGCCTCTATTTTTTTTTTTTTTTTTTTTTTTGAGACAGAGTCTTACTCTGTCCCACAGGCTGTAGGGCAGTGGCATGATCCTGGCTCACTGCAACCTTCACCTCCCAGGTTCAAGCGATTCTTGTGCCTCAGTTTTCCAAGCAGCTGGGACTACAGGCACACACCACCATGCCCAGCTAATTTTTGTATTTTTAGTAGAGACAGGGTTTCACCATGTTGGCCATGCTGGTCTTGGAACTCCTGATCTCAGGTGATCGCCCACCTCGGGCTCCCAAAGTGCTGGGATTACAGGCGTGAGCCACAGTGCCTGGCCTTCTTCCTTACCTTTTTACTAATGGGAACAACCTGACGTAAAAATGGTACTCGGATCTTGGCTGACATTTCCAGAGGCCTATGGAGAAATTAAAAGCCAAGTCAAGAGGACTCCAGTGTTGGTCAAAGGCTTCCCACCTGTCACCCAAGACAACATACCTATTCAAGGTCCCAGTTATCTTCCAACTTCTAGGGCAAGCCTTGCTTACCTGTGCTTATCTGCAACACATGCATTTTGGATAGGTGGTCTAGAAGCTTGTTTCTTAGGACTATTTCCAGCTACCAATTGTTTGTACGTCTTAGTCCCCACTTGGCTCTGCAATTCCAACAGCTCCTCAAATGACATGTTAGATGTGCCTGTGGAAGTGGGGAGGGACATACAACTCAGCTCAGCATGTCCCACTGCAGAAAAGACATCTTCCCATCCCCATTCCTTAGCTAGCTAATCCTAATACCCCATCAGACCAATCATTATTAGAAGTCCTAGGCAGCAGAGGCTGTGATAGTGTTAAACTCTCCAACTATTTCAGCAACCTGGGGCCTCATCTTGCTAAGGAAGGTGTATATGTAAGGTCAAAGGTGCACCAAACCATAGTCCCTTCTTTTTCTCTTTTACTCATTCTTTTACTCTCTCTTTTACTCATTCACAGGTTTCCCCAGAAGGGCATCTGCCTCCCTTGCTCAGTTACCATTGCCAGTGTCCTGGTCCACATGCTCAGCATCTCTCACCTCAATCAGTGCTCTAGCCTCCTAGTCTCCCAACCACCAGCCTCACTCCTCTCAAAGCTATGCGCCTCAATTCAGCCTGAGAGAGGCATCGAAAATAAAATCAGATCTTATCACTCCCACACATAAACTTCAGATCATGTTACTCCTACAGGCAAAAGTCCCCAATGGCTTCCATCTTGCTCACAGTAAAAGCCATGTACCTTAATAATGGCCTGCAAGCCCCCAAGTGACCTGGCCCCTGTCATATCTCTACTCTACTCATCTCCTTCTCACTCCTCTCAATGTGTCTCCTAGCAGCATATTCCCACCTCAGTTCCTCTGCACATGTTGCCTCTGCTTGGTACACTTCCCCCAGAAACTGTACATAGGTACAGCTCCTCCCTCAGTTCCTTCAAGCCTTTATTCAAAATCACCTTCCCAAAGAGGTCTTCTCTAAGTTATTTAAAATTGCGACCCCTCGTCCAGGTGTGGTGGCTCACGCCTGTAATCCCAGCACTTTGGGAGGCTGAGGCAGATCAATCACCTGAGGTCAGGAGTTTAAGACCAGCCCGGTCAACATGGTGAAACCGTCTCTACAAAAATACAAAAATTAGCTGGGCATGATGGCAGGTGCCTGTAATCCCAGCTACTCGGGAGGCTGAGGCGGGAGAAGAGCTTGAACCTGGGAGGCAGAGGATGCAGTGAGCCGAGATCACGTCACTGCACTCCAGCCTGGGTGACAGAGCGAGACTCCATCTCGGAAAAAAAAAAAAAATGCAACCTCTCCTAAGCTTTATTTTTTCTCCATATCCTCTATCACCTTAAAAAAAATTGAGCTATAATTCATATTCCACAAAATCCAGTTCTCTAGTCTACAATTCAGTGTTTTATTGCCTTTTAATGTAATAATTTACTTGTCTCCCTTAAATTTTACTTATTTATTTTGAGCTGGACTCACTCTGTCACGAGGCTGGAGTGCAGTGGCGCGATCTCGGCTCACTGCAACCTCCGCCTCCCAGGTTCAAGCGATTCTCCTGCCTCAGCCTCCTCAGTAGCTGGGACTAAGGCACGCACCACCAAGTCCAGCTGATTATTGTATTTTTAATAAGGACGAGTTTCACCATGTTGGCCCAGATGGTCTTGATCTCCTGACCTTGTGATCCGCCCACCTCGGCCTCCCAAAGTGCTGGGATTACAGGCATGAGCCACACCTGGACTTAAATTTTATTTATTTTGAAAAAAGGTCTTGCTCTGTTGCCCAGGCTGGAGTGCAGTGGCCTAATCACTGCTCACTGCAGCCTCGACCTCCTGGGCTCAAACTATCCTCATGCCTCAGCCTCCTCAGTGGCTGGGAATACAGACGTGGGCCACCACCCTGGCTAAATTTTTTTATTTTTAGTAGAAAAGCGGGTCTCATTATGTTTACCAGGCTGGTCTTGAACTCCTGGGCTCAAGCGATCCTCCTGCTTCAGTCTCCCCTGGTGCTGGGATTACAGGTGTGATCCACCACACCCGGCCAGGATAGGAGTGTTTGACTACTTTATTCACAACTATCTCCAGCAGCTAGAACTGTGCCTTAACAAAAAGCCTGCAGCATTTGCTGGGCACAGTAATCCTGTAATCCTTGGGAGGCTGAGGCGGGTGGATCACTTGAGCCCAGGAACTGGAGACCAGCCCTGGCACCTGGTAACATGATGAGACCTGGCTGGGCGAGGTGGCTCACGCCTGTAATCCCAGCACTTTGGGAGGCCGAGGCGGGCGGATCACGAGGTCAGGAGATAGAGACCATCCTGGCTAACACGGTGAAACCCCATCTCTACTAAAAATACAAAAAATTAGCCGGGCGTGGTGGCGGGCGCCTGTAGTCCCACTACTCGGGAGGCTGAGGCAGGAGAATGGCGTAAACACGGGAGGCGGAGCTTGCAGTGAGCTGAGATCGCGCTACTGCACTCCAGCATGGGCAACAGAGCGAGACGCCGTCAAAAAAAAAAAAAAAAAAAAGGTGAGACCTTGTTTCTACATTAAATAAATAAATAAATAAATAAACAAACCCATCCGTGCAGGCGTGGTGACGCGCCTGCAGTCCCAGCTACTCGAAAGGCTGAGGTAGGAGGATCTCTTGGGCCCGGGAGTTCGAGGCCGCAGTGAGCCGTCATGGTGCAACTACACTCCAGCCTGGGCTACAGGGCGAGACTTTGTCTCAAAAAAATAAAAAATATAAAAAATTTAAAAAACAGGCTGGGCGCAGTGGCTCACGCCTGGAATCCCAGCACTTTGGGAGGCTGAGGCGGGCGGATCACGAGGTCAGGAGATCGAGACCATCCTGGCTAACAAGGTGAGACCCCGTCTCTACTAAAAATACAAAAAATTAGCCGGGCGTGGTGGCGGGCGCCTGTAGTCCCAGCTGCTCTGGAGGCTGAGGCAGCAGAATGGCGTGAACCCGGGAGGCGGAGCTTGCCGACATCGCGCCACTGCACTCCAGCCTTGGCGACAGAGAGAGACTCCGTCTCAAAAAAAAAAAATTAAAAAAACAAAGTCTACGGAATCTGCTGAATTCTGATCTACTAAGCCTTCAGCAGCCATGCATGCCTTTTCCTGCCTCCATGCTATTGCACATACGTTCCCCATCGCCGAAAACCCTCATCCTGCCGTGAAGAAACTTCTCAGGATGTCCTAATCCCGGAAGCATCTACTCTCACCCCCCACTTTCCACTGCACTGGGGGCACCCCTAGTGTAGCGTCTGCCTCTTAGAGAACTTGGCAGTCTTACCGGCACCGTCTCTGCAGGCTCAGGGCCCCGCCTGGGAATCTCCTTCCCCTCCCCAGCCCGCCCTGCCCCATGCCCTCACCCCTCAATAGGTCGCGGGCCACGGCCGCGGGCTCCAGGCCCCCGCCGTCCTCCTCGCGGTCCCGGGCCCCGCGGGGACGTCGGGCCCCGGCCCCGGCCCCGGCCCCGGCGCGGTAGTTAGCTCCCGGCATCAGCTGGCAGTAGCGCTCGGAAGACGAATGGCGCCGCTTCCGCTCACGGCAGCCCCTGCCCCGCCTCTTCCGGCGTTCCCGGTCTCAACGTGGTGACGAATGGGCAGAAAACTGCGCGGTCGAGGGCCAGGGAGCCGGGCCCAAAGGATAACCCGCTCTGGAGACATTGTCGCAACCTTCTGCCCGAGTCGCAGGGTGCTGGGTTCCACGCCCGAGAAGCTTGGACCAGGCCTTGGTGGCATTTGGTTTCCTAATACCCTTGGCTGAGAAGCCAGAACCTCAGGGTGCTTGTCCTCGGCACCCTGCCCCCACTGCAAACTCCAGCCTTCTCCACCATATTCCACAAAAACACACAACACGTTTGGAGATTTTAATTAATTTTTATAAAATCTGAGCTGGCTGAACTTCAGAGTACAGCGACAGCTCAAGGAAGGGTGGGATTTATCTGCTGGTCCCCACCTCCCCAAGACGGGGAGAAGGAGGTCTCATGCCAACAGCTGCAACTCCTTTCAGCTCCCAGTCAAGGCTCAAGGCTCAAGCAGAGGGGAGGGGATAGGCAAAGGGGGAGGGGGAAGCTCCTGAGGCTCAGACACTGCTTGCTTCTCCCTTCTCCCCATTCCCTTCCCTTCCCAGCAGAACCTGGCTGGCCCTGGGCAGAGCTGAGGCCCAGGAGCAGCTGAAAGGAGGTGGATGGGGACAGAGCACCAAGGGGAAGGGGCCCTCGGCCCAAGGGGGGAGGAACCTAGCCCCCACCCCGCTACAGCTCCCCACTGAATTCACAGCACAGAGAACACCTCTCGCCCAACAACTCCACATGGAGGTATACCAAGTCCAGGGGTCAAAGGAGCAGGTGGGTGACAGATGGGCAGGGGCAGTGAAGATGACAGCAGGCTCAGGAGGGGAGGTGGCAGAAACTTCCTCCTACCCATGGGAGGAGACGATGGGGCGACTGATATTGCTGTTGGTGGTCATGGCATTCAGCTCCCACCTGGAAGGCCAACAATAAGAGACAGAAAGAAGAGGGGGCCCTCAGCCCAAGCTAAGGGATGTTTGAACCAAGCTAAAAACACACCAGTCTCTCCAACTTCCTAAAGGTCAACCACCCACAGCCACCTCTTACTTAAGAGACCTACTAGGTTGAACAATCAGAACCCACCCACCACCAAATCCAACACCACCCACTCCTCTACCTCCAAGCTCATATGGATTTCCGGTTTATGTTTATGTATGTATGTATATTGCAGTGTCCAGGCACCTGAGATCTGTGTATACATGTCAGTCAACATCCCAACCTGCCTTTCCTGCTTTGCTTAGAGCCAACCAGGCAGCCCCTCCACCTTACCCTCACCAGGAATGCCTCACCCCACCAGGAATACCCATTTTTGCTCTTAACTCCCATCCTTTTAAGGCTCTGACTCAGCACTCCTATCCTTCCTGAGGCCTTCCCCACCCACCCAACCATATTAATTTTTTTTTTGAGTCTTGTTCTGTCACCTAGGCTGGAGTACAGTGGTGCAGTGGCACAATCTTGACTCACTGAAACCCCCGCCTCCCGGGTTCAAGCAATTCTCTTGCCTCAACCTCCCAAGTAGCTGGGACTACTGGTGGCTGCCACTATGCCCAGCTAATTTTTGTATTTTTAGTATAGACAGGGCTTCACCATGTGGCCAGGATGGTCTCGAACTCCTGACCTCAACTGATTTGCCCACCTCAACCTCCCGAAGTGATGGGATTACAGGTATGAGCCACCATGCCCAGCCAGCAAGAGTTAAACTGAACTGATACAAAGAGACGAAGTATCTCAGAATGACCCAGACAGGAAAAATTATATACAAAGTAACATCTGGTGGTTAATTTGAACCTGAAAAATTATACATAAAGTAACATCTGGTGGTTAATTGGAACCTAAGAACGAAATTCAAAGGGAAGCAGCCAGATCTTCTGGAACCAATGTGATCCAGAGGCTCCTAAACTTGTCTTTACTTTGCAGCTAGGTTCTAAGATTTAATCAGTTGTTCTCAGCATGGTCACAAAAATAACTGTATAAGCTTAGGTCTCAGAAAGTGATGCTGCCGAGCTGTATTTTTTTTTCATATAATTTATTCTGCTGACAGTTTTATATGATGGCTGTCAATTCACCTCCTTCCATCTCATTTCCCACAAGTACACTACATCTCCAGCAGAACAAAAATGTCTGTCTCCTCCATACTGAAACCAAGCTAATCAGGTCACACCTGTGCTGCTCACTCACCCTCACTCAATCCCTCCCTTCCAACCACTCGCTGTACCTGATATCATGAGGCAAACAGGACTGGTCTAGGTTATACTGAATCACGGCCAGTTTGCACAGAGTCTTCAGACTAGGGCCTTTAAGGGAGAAGTTGTGGAAAGGAGATGGTCAAAGGTGAGGAAAGGATCCAGTCCTGGATATCACCACCCAAAGACAGGGACCTTGATGGCAGGAGCAATTCAGGAATAACTATACTTACTAAAGTCCAAAATGTGTAAGTCAGAATGATCTATAAGGTCAAATTCATCTCCCAGGCCTTCCTCAGGAGATGGACTGTCGGGATCAAAAGAGAGATGAAAGTAGGACAAAAACTACCCACGAAACCCCCTTTTCAAATACCTCCCACTCTCCCATTAGTGACTTCCCTGAGCCCCTTCCCTCTCTCCTTCTAACCTGGTACCCCCAAAGAGGACAATCTTGTCACCAACAATACAGCAGCACTGGCGCCGGCGGGGACATGGCCCCTTCCCCTTCGGTTCAATCTTTTTCCAGGTAAAGGACACTGAAGAGAAATTTATATGGAAGTTCAATACCTGCCTAGTCCAGGTATCTTCCCCACCCCCATCCCTCACCGCCTCAGGATTATTTTCTTTTCCTCCCACCTCAATTGCTCCTTGTTCCTGCCCTAAATGCAGTGCTCTTTACCAGGATTAAACTTCCAGAGGTCATGGAAGTGCCGGTTCAGCCTTGCATTATAACCACCAAAGATGTACAGCTCCCCATTGTAGCCAACTGGAAGGAGAGAGGAAGTGTCAGGAGTGTGAAGAGGGCAGGAAGGGAACTCCACAGGGAAGTAACAAACACTCACAGGCCGAGTGGCTCCGGCGCCCCTCAGGCAGCACTGGAGTCGGGGGACAGTCCAGCCAAGCCTCAGTTCTGGTGTCAAAGACTCGAATGCGGTTGCAGTAAATCTCATTGTTGGAATGGAATGGCCCAAAGCGGTCGGCACGGCCCCCAAAGACATACATGTGACTTCCCAGCATTGTGGCTGAGTGGAAGTCCCTCCAGCGTGCAGGGCTGCCCTGGGCAGAGGCAGAGAGATGGTGGAGGGGTCAGCACAAAGACTGGAAGAGGATCTCCTCTGACTGAGCTTCCTATCATTGCTTCAACAGAGGGTGGGGATTTGGGAAAAAAAAGAAAGAGCAGACCTTTGTACAGATAAGAGTCCATGTCATGGTGCTGGTATCTAGCTTGTGAATGTCATTGGAAAAACAGTCCGCCTGAGTAGGAAGAGAAAAGGAGGAAGAAAAGAGGGAGCCAATGGTCACTCTCTGACCCTCCATCCCTCCCCTCAAAACCTGCAAACAAGCCAAAGCCTCCCATTTCACCATCCTAAATTGCCCTTCCCCTCTTTCTCAGTCCCACCCTAAACCTCTTATTTTATTCCCAGACCTACCTGCTGCTCGTAGCCCCCAAAAATGTACATGATCTTGCCTAGGACACAGGCTGAATGTCCATCCCGGGCCCCAGGAACTGTCCCTGACACTCGGGGTGTGAACCACTTGTGCGTATCTGAAGGAGATGAGAAAATGGCTCAACTAAGCACCCTCTATGACAGTCCCTCCTCAGCTCTGGGGTACTCTACTCCCCAAGACCCCCAACCCAAACCTTTCTTGGGCAACTGAGGCAACATCTGGAAGGACATAGCCTCTCTGAGATCCATACTCACTGACGTCAAAGGCATAGAGCACATTGCAGGCCCCTTCGGTGTCATTCCGCCCGCCCCAAAGGAGGACTGTGTCGTCGATGAGGACGGTTGAGTGTCCATAGCGCATGTAGGGTACCACAGGAGCTTGCCCACGGATGGCAGACTTCACCGGGGGCAGCTTTGTCCAACGCAAGGACACTGTGGGCACAGCTCTGCTCAGCCCTGGGAACCTCCCTCCAGGCTGTCCACTTTTCCCAAACCAGATGTTTGTCCCCAATCCCCTTGGTCCCAGAGACCACAGCCAAACCTCATCAGCAGCCCGTTCCCACCCTGATGTGGGGACCCAGGGACAGCCCCAGCATTGGCTTACCTGCATTGAAAATGTGCACATCTATCTGACGCAGTGTCTCATAGTCTTCACCAGAGCAGTAACCCCCGAAGGAGTATACCCGATGCCCGACAGCCACTGCAGCATGGTTCACCCTGCGGGGCCCGCCCTCCAGGTGCACTGTCCACCGTAACATCCCCTGGGCCACTGGTTACAGCAACATGCCCCCCCGGCACGGCCTGCTGCCTCTGCTATCTGCACACAAATTGGGGCCACGGGATCCTCAGGCGAGGCTTCTGCCCAGCTCACTGTGACTCTGCCCAGAACCAGCCTTTGCCTCCAAGTGTCACCCTGGGGGCCCTCCCACACTACCCCTCCACAGGGGCACTAGTCTCAGCTCAGGTGGCTGGCCCTGCCCCAAGGGAGCTGCCGAGGTCAGGGAGCAGCCTGGGCCCAGTGTTCTCCAACAGTGAAGGGTGGGGCCACCCCCACCTGATTGCCAGCTCAGAATCTGCATATCATGGTCACAACCTACTCGTGGAGGCTCCACTCTGTCCCTGGCTTGGCACAAACTTGAAGCCCCCTTCCCAAACGGTATATTCTCTTGTCTCTGCTCTGCTTACTGCCACCTCTCTAAGAATCTGTGTTCTTTGAGGTGGGGAAAGGGATCTCAAAATACTCACAGCTATTAATAGCCCAGCCAGCCTCAAACAGTCCATTGAAAGCTGGCATGAGTGCCTCAAAGCAGAAAAGCTTTCAGGCTTTTAGAGTGGAACAATCCCCCTACCCAAGATAGGGCGGGACTGATCCAGGACAGGGACCTCCATGTTACCGCGGTTGGTTAGCCCCTCACAGGGAGCTCCTGTCAAGCTGAGTTGTTGTCATTGGGGTCACCCAGGGCCCCCCACAGGCACAAGGAGTTCCTTTGACAGCTGTGCCTGGTATGCTGCCAGGACTTAAGCCAGAAAGGTATGTGTATGCTTAGGCTTGGGGGATGGTGATAGAGGGAGGGGTTTTCTCCTCCTGCCACTTCCCCATCCCTGCTACTGTGGTAGAGAACAAGCCATTTCCAGTAGAAAAGAGAGAACAAGCTCTTCCACAACTTGGGTTCCTGAAAGGCGGATAGAGGTGGGAGTGTGCAATGCAAAGGGGAAGGGGCTGGGCACAGTGGCTCACACCTGTAATCCCAGCACCCTGAGAGGCCGAGGCAGGTGGATCACGAGATCAAGAGACGGAGACCATCCTGGCCAACATGGTGAAACCCGTCTCTACTAAAAATACAAAAATTAGCTGGGCACGGTGGCGCGCACCTGTAGTCCCAGCTACTCAGGAGGCTGAGGCAGGAGAATTGCTTGCACTCGGGTGGCGGAGGTTGGAGTGAGCCGAGATCACACCACTGCACTCCAGTCTGGCGACAGAGCGAGACTCTGTCTCAAAACAAAAAAAAAGGGGAAGGGAGGCAAAAAATGCCCTTGGGCAGGACAAGAGAAAGATCCAGCATGAGAAGTCATGGTCTTTTTTTTTTTTTTTTTTTTTAGATGAAGTCTCGCTCTTGCCCCCAGGCTGGAGCGCAATGGTGCAATCTCAGCTCACTGCAAACTCTGCCTCCCTCCCGGGTTCAAGCGATTCTCCTGCCTCAGCCTCCCAAGTAGCTGGGATTACAGGCGCCTGCCACCATGCCCAGCTAATTTTTGTATTTTTAGTAGAGATGGGGTCTCACTATGTTGGCCAGGCTGGTCTCAAACTCCTGACCTCAGGTGATCCACCGTCCTCGGTCTCCTGAAGTGCTGGGATTACAGGCGTGAGCCACCATGCCCAGCTGGTCATGGTCTCTTAAACACAACCTGTCAACCTAGTGGCACGTACACCTGGGTACATCTGAGGTTTTTTCAGGCAAATCCTTGCAACTGACAATGCTTTTGCTGGCAAGCATCTCCTGAGTTTGGGTGTATCATCATCTGCTCCCTGTTTAAGAAGCCCTGGCAGAGGAAAGGGCCAGGCAAAACCTCAGGCACTAAAACAGCTCAAATAAGGGAGGCCCCTTGCAGGAAAGAGACATGGCTTTCAGCTGGCTTGCTAGTCCCACCCACCCAACCTCCCCCAACTCCACACCCTAAGCTTTAAATAGCCATGGGACCCATCCTGAAATAGCCCCAGCAGGAAGCTACTCTCACTTCATTACTCCCGCTCTCCAAAATATCTTGGGTCTGGGCTTGTGGAGACTGTTAGGAGGTCGATGGGCTTAAGAATGGAAGTCTTCCATCCTCCCTTATATTCTCTATTCTTCCCTTCAGATATGTCAAGGTAAAGTAAAATATGCACAGGAGAGGAGATAAGCAATTCCAGCCAAAGGTGGAGAAAAAAAATTTTAGTTTCTCTGCCATATAAACAACTCAAATTCAAGGAGAACAAGCCCCCAGGCGCTCAGGGGCTCCTCTTATCCCTGGGTCTCCCCAGTCCTCCATCACCACCAAGCATTTTCAAACTTCTTCTATTCCCTTAATGTATCTACCCGCCTGGTCTCTTGCATTTTTTATTCCCCATTTCTCGCCCTTCTTGATCTCGTGAGAGCTTTGCAGTTTTCTCATTTTTCCTTCTCCTACCATTCCAAGCTCCACCCAACAGCCCTCCATTTTCCCACCTCCACTAAGGAAAGAAAAATTAGCATGCACTGACCACGATACCCCTCTCTGCATATGACTCTATCCCTGTCTTCTTCCAGACATTCCGGCCTCCCCTAGCCCACCACGCCAGACACCCCTCCCCTTCCATTATGCTCAGCTTCCCTGTTTTCATGGCCCAGTCTTCCTTCCCATTTCCTTCATTGCTTCCTCCAGACACCAGGTCTCTCCTACCCATCTCCTCGCCATCCTCCCCTAGCCCTGCTTTCCCCATTAACACTCTCCTTTCCCATCATCCCCCTAGCTCCCTCCCCACCCCCACCTCATCACTCTCAGGCCCCTCCCCCGCCACTCCAGCTCCAGACAGCACGTCCTAAGCCCCCTAATTCTCCCTTGCCCTTCTACCCATCCCAGGCTACCTGCCAGGCCGAGCCGGGGCGGGGCCGCGGGTCCTCGAGCTGCCTGCAGCCTAGAACCCGTTGCGCGCCAACCGACGCCTTAGTCCCCAACGAGATAAACACAGCCAAGCTCGGTTCTTCCGGCGGGCAGCTGTGCGCGCACGTGCAGTCGTAGCTAAGTGCCGGAGGCATTTCGGGACTTGTAGTCCATACGTTTCCTGAGGGACGAGAGGGCTGAGGAGTGGGCAGGGGCGTAGGAGAGATTCTGCGCATGTGCAAATATGTGTCGAGACCGAGGAGGCCACTGGGTAATGCAGTCCTTTGTTTTTTGGGCTGGGAATGACGGAGGCGGGGCAAGGGGCGGACTCCTCGTCCTCGCCAGCGTCAATCATGGATATGGGGCGGGGCTGGAGGACTAGGCACCTCTGCACGTCCTGCCCCGCCGGAAGTGGAGGCCGCGGGCTCTGAGCGGGTGAGGCGCGCGGGAACACCGGCGCCGGGATTCGGATGGGGGCGGGTGGGGGACGCTGCAGCTGGGGCCATTTGAGGGGAGCCCATGGGGCCTGAAAGGCATCTGTCAGGCGGTACAGAGGGGGTCCTCTAGGAGAGGGGAGAAGGGGGCGGGTACGCCGACCTGTTTAGGGGAGTCTGATGACCCAGAGTTCCCAAGTCGCGGGGGAGGCGTGGCGCGGGGAGCCGGGGTTCTGGAAGGGGTGTCTTTTAGGAGGTGGCAGGGCCTCCGGTTGGGCGTTTAACTAGGAAGTGGCGGAGCAAGTTGGTGGGGCCTGGTTCAAGATAAGAACCCCGACTTAGGAGGGGGAGGAACGAGAGGCTGGAATTGGGGCGGAGGGGTGGAGGATGCAGGAGCCTCGGGGAGGAGCTGGTTTTTTGCACGCAGGAGACTACAAGGAGATGATGAGAGGATGAAGATGGGCCTGGTTTCATCCGATCCCTGTCCTACCGCCTCCCTGTTCTTGCAGCCCCTGCCCGGATGGCAACAGTAGTTCTAGGAGGAGACACCATGGGCCCTGAGCGTATCTTCCCCAATCAGACTGAGGAACTGGGACATCAGGGCCCTTCAGAAGGCACTGGGGATTGGAGCAGTGAGGAGCCTGAGGAAGAGCAGGAGGAAACGGGGTCGGGCCCAGCTGGCTACTCCTACCAGCCCCTGAACCAAGATCCTGAACAAGAGGAGGTGGAACTGGCACCAGTGGGGGATGGAGATGTAGTTGCTGACATCCAGGATCGAATCCAGGTAGGGTGGAGGAGGGATGGTTCCTGAACAGGTGAAGCTGGGCTCCCTGAAAGCCTAGACCCAAACGGTCTTCTGTGGCTCTGCAGGCCCTGGGGCTTCATTTGCCAGACCCACCATTAGAGAGTGAAGATGAAGATGAGGAGGGAGCTACAGCGTTGAACAACCACAGCTCTATTCCCATGGACCCAGGTAAAAGATCATTCTTTCATTCTGGAATAATTACTAAGGAAATGAACTGGCATGAGTCAGTAGAAGGAAGTTTCAGAGGAAGACCCTATCCTAAAAAGATAGTTTGTAAACTAAGATTTTGTAGACTTCAGAGTCCAAGTGAAATGCTCTTTTGCTAGCTTTGGGGATGGGCAGGCTTGCCTTAAAGTAACAAGGTGGATTTGGTGACCCTAGCAGCCCAAGGGCTCTGGGTTGATTCGGGGATTGGGGAGGGGAGCTGGTCCCATTATTTCTATGCCTGAATGGCCTCTGGCTCTGATTTCAGAACATGTAGAGCTGGTGAAAAGGACAATGGCTGGAGTAAGCCTGCCTGCGCCAGGGGTTCCTGCCTGGGCTCGGGAGATATCGGATGCCCAGTGGGAAGATGTGGTACAGAAAGCCCTCCAAGCCCGGCAGGCATCCCCTGCCTGGAAGTGACCACAGTGAGAGCTGCCTTATATTCCTACATTCCAGGCCAGAACCAGCACAGGACTGAACACATCCCTGGTTGTAATGTCCATTTCCATCTTCCCCGTCTCCCTTTCCACATCAAGGCACATCAGACTTCTCAGAGACCCACTTTATTCAGTTCTGTACATATGGGGACATCGGTCCAAGCCCAACCCACCTTAGCATGTATCACTCTGTGGAGAATAAAGCACCCTATGTACACAGCCAAAAGCCGCACTGCCTGCGCCCCTGGAACCTGGGTCCGGCCTTCCTCAGCCCCTGGCCCCTCCAAGGTACCTATAAGGGACAAGAGAAGGCCTGCCCAGCATAGCACAAACAAGGAAATAAATAGGTGTTGGCAGGAGCCATGCTTGGGGCACCGCTCCCTGCTTCCTTCTTTCTAGTTTTGGGAACCAACAGCACAGAAAAGCAGTCAGCCCCAGGGTGGTCCCTTCCATGTCTGTGACCCCAGGGCTGCTGCTCACCAAAGACAGGGCACGGGGTAGGGTGTTTATTCATCCCTCCCCGGCCCCACTTGGTCCATCTGGGCCCTATATTCATCAGTTATTGTCCACAGCCTATACTTTTCTCCTTTTGACCTCCCTTGGTCAGGCATGGGGTAAGAAGAAATAATACAACCCTATCTGCCAGCACACGGCTGGGACTGGGGGGCCTATTTGTGCTGCAGGGGGGTTGGCTTCCCTTCAGCTACTCTGGGACCAATGGGGCTTGACATAACTTTGGTGAGAATAATCTCCTGCTGTTCCCTACATGCCTCTGCAGGGGAGAGAGAGGAGGGGAGATACCTGGCGTTCAAATGAGGATGAAGGGAAGAATAGAGGAGCGTATGTATTCCTGTGTGTACTTCTCAGAGCAGCCTCAGGTAGCTGTGGGTGAGGAGCAGGTAGGGGACAGGCATCCCCAGGTTGTCTGAGCACTAAGCATCTTAGTGCTCAGCCTGTACTAGCCACAGGGAGGCATGAACACCTTTTGGGGAGAAGAGGGACCATTCTGTGGGTGTCCCTGCTTCAAGTGCCCACATCCCCCTCCCTTGAGTAGCTAGAGAGGCGCTGCCTTCCCCCAAGACAGCCAGTAGGGAGCAGAGTATGGAGGGCCAGGGCAGTGTCCCAGGGCTGTGTGGGCTGTGGCCCTGTGGTAGGAACGTGAGGGGTCAGAGAGCCTCCTGGCTGGCAGTTAGGAACTCTTCCGCCCGCTTGTGCGCCTCCAGTGCCTTGATGGTGTACACGTCCTGGGGCAGCTCCGACTTCCTCCGCAGCAGCACTTTCTCCTTCTTGATGTCTTTTAGCATCTGTGTGTGAATAGGGACAAGGTGAGGAATGGTGACCAATTCCCAGTGAATTCTATTGTTCCGTCCCCTTATTCTTTGGCTCTGCTGTTTCTGTCTCCTCTCCCTTCCAGAGCTATTATTTCTGCTCCATCCCCCTACATTGCCCTCCCACCTGAACAGCCTCAGTCTCCACAGTCCTCTTCAGAAGCTGGATGTCCTCAGCTGTGGGGGTCTCTGTCTCCATCGAGTACACAGGGGGCAGTGGTGGAGGGGCTCGGAACATGGGATACTGAGTGAGGAGACATGGACAAGCGTTAAGAGCCACTTCAGAGGCTTGGGGGCCTGTGTGCCCCATATTCCTCCCCCAACAAACTCTCCCCCAGCTCAAGATGGGCTGGCCCCTCAGTTCACAACAGTGGCAGGAAAACCTCACCTGGGGATTAAGCCGGGCCAGCTCCTCGATTTTTTGCCACATCTCTTCCCTTTCCTTCATTCGGAACCGGCCCCTGAGGAGCAAAAGTAGGATTGGGGTTGGGCTTGAGAGAAACACAGTGAGCTGGTGGTAGAAGATGAAAGTCTCCCGGGGAGAGAGATACTCACTTCTGCTTCTCTGCCTTGTATTGTTGTGTGCAGTCATCAAACAGCTTCTGATTCATTTCCATAAACAACTTCAGGGCATTATAGATCAGTCCATGGATTGTCCTGCCACCAAGAAGAAAGATGAGGTGTAGGAGGCCAGAGCCTGCCCTTAGCGTGAGGAACCCAATTTGTTCTCTCACAGGGGTATCTCTGCTAAGAGCTTTGTCATTTACTACTTCCAGTTCACAAACCTCTGTGCAGTATCAGAAGAGAGCTCTGGCCAAATCACCTGGTTTGAGACTGGCATTTCATGGTTTTCACAAATATCGGTCCACCTGTCCATCCTTCCCTCACCCCATGCTCCAAGGCCTGCCTACCTCCCATCCTTTCCCACTCTAACCCACACTAATGGCCTCCCAGCAGCATGATGGGCATGTAGATGCAGCATGACAGACTGCATCTACACCACAGTGTGCTTGCTTTTAGCAGAAAAGTCTTTTCAAAACCCTGAGTTTTTTTTTTAAGACGGAGTCTCACTCTGTTGCCCAGGCTGGAGTGCAGTGGCACGATCTCGGCTCACTGCAACCGTCACCTCCCAGGTTCAAGTGATTCTCCTGCCTCAGCCTCCCAAGTAGCTGGGACTACAGGCATCCACCACTACACCCAGCTAATTTTTGTATTTTTAGTAGAGATGGGGGTTTCACTATGTTGGGCAGGCTGGTCTCAAACTCCTGACCTCGTGATCCACCCGCCTTGCCAGCCTCCCAAAGTGCTAGGATTACAGGCGTGAGACACCGTGCCCGGCCTAAAACCCTGGGATTCTTTACACATACTCTCAAAGAAGGTCACATCAGCTTCTCACTGCATAGAATTACATCTCCAAAGCTGTGATAGGACCTGTAGAATAGCTGAACCCAAGGAGCGGTGTAACAGGCCGCTGCCCTGCTGTTTGGTATCACAGAGATCTTGCACACAGGCATCTTTTCGCTCCAGTCAGCCCCTCAAGGTCCTATCAACATGCAGGGGACATCAGCCCCACTTGCTGGGTGACTAGGTGAGACCCCTGGCTCTTTAGTTCTTCCATACCCTCAAAGTTTCCCAAACTGGATCCCCACCACCCAGCCCCACCCCAGCGCCTTACTTGTTCCAGTGGCTCTTGGAGTTCCTGTAGAGTGCAGGGAACATGATGGGGAGGACTCGGGCAGCATTGTCACTTATCAGGCTCATGATGTACTCATTGTTCCAGTAATAGAGAGCACGCTCTGCCACCTGGTGGGGAGAGGCAGACTCGGTGGGTGCTGCTCATTTCACTCAAGACCTCAGTTTCTGGCAGGGGCTAGGATATGCTAGGTTGGAGTCTCACCTGGAAATGGGGGCTAGAGACACACTTGGCCAGCTGGCGGAAGAGGGGTTCCATCACTTTGCTGAACTCAGAAGGTTCAATGACGTCCAGAATCTCCTCCAGCTCATTCAAGAACATCACCTCCTTGGGGCTGTGGGTCTTGGGCCAAAACTTGAGAAGTCCCACAATTACCTGGGAGACAAGGAGGGCATGGGGATGAAAATTCTTTGCACCTGCCTAGGTCACCAGGAAGTTTTCCTACCTGCTCTCTCCCCCACCCTGGTGGGCACAGTTTGGGTGATCTCAGCCAGCTACCCGTTTCTTTGCCTTGGATCTGTTTCCTAGGTGTATATAGGTTTTGCTTCCCCTTCAGAGAGGAAACCATGTTACCGGTCAGGTCACAGCCCTCCTGAGTTCCCCCTTATGGCACCCCCAGTAGGTACAGACTGGCAAGTGATGCTGACAGTAAGAGGTGGGCCTTGGGGCCCGGAAGGGGAATTACCGGCTCAGTCAGACTGCTCTCCTTCTCCAGGAATTGTACCACACAGTATGCCAGCTGCAAAGGTGTGAGGTAGAAGGGAGGTGAGGTGTAGGTCCTAGAAGCTCTCAGAGAAGTCAGTGATAGAAACAAGATCCCAGAAGGGAAGGGGAGATGGAGGGAAGGAATTATCCCACCTGCTCCCTATGCTTCCCCTATCCCAGCTGGAACACTTTCCTGCCGGCTCTTTTCTCTGCTGCCTGAGTTGGACATTATAAGGAGGAAGGCAGCTCACCTGAGGGTGGTAGACACTCAGGGACTTGACCTTGTGAAGGGGAAGTAGGACACGGATGAGGAACATCTTGTGCTCTTCTTTAAGGGGCAGGGCAAAGCCATTGATGATGCTAGGAATTAAGGGACATTTGTTAGGACCAGAGGGTCAGATCCAAGTTCAGTACACCAATCCTGCCAACCTTTTTCAGGCATCTGTGCCCCCACCCGGCCTCTCACCTGCCCAGGATCTCCAGGAGCTCAGCAATCCCGTTGTGATGCTCCGTCTCGTAGATGAACCTGAGGGAAGAAAAATGGCTCTCTTGACAACCCCTGATGTCCCTCCAGCATTCTGTACAGTCCCCCCACCTCCCTGCTCCCACCCCACCTCAGTAGCAGAAGGTTTTGCTCCTAAGCCTGGGCTCCTGGCCTCACCTGTAGAAGATGTGGTTGATCTGCCTACGGATATAAGCCCGGAGCCCCAAAAACTTGCCATAGATGCGATGCAAAATGGTCTTGAGGAAGTCCCGCTCTCGAGGATCCTCACTGTCAAATAGGTCTAGGAGCTGGGGGTACAAGGGAGGGAAAGCAGCCAGTGAGGCAGCAGCCAGGGAAGGCAGTGGCCAGGGTGACATAGGTCCCGCCAGGGGAAATGCAGAGGTCCCCTGGAGTGGGGGCCAGCAAGTCTTAGAAAGCAGTGATTCTATTATATTGCTGATTCTATTGTATTTGTACTGAGACTTCCAAAGTGATGCCTCACTATTGACCTGAGAGAGGTACTCTGTTGCTTTTTTGTTTCCTACCATTATGTTGTTAGTTTCTTAAGGCCAGAGTAGGGTTTTGTTTTGTTTTGTTTTTTACCCTTTATAGCCTCCTCGTACCAGACATGGATGAAACCCAATATATTCAGCTTAAGGGGAAAGAGCCACTGGGACACAGATGAAGGGGGCATGGAATGGAAAGAGAGGGCAAGGACAGGAACTCGGGGACTCACAGCAAGTACAAACTTCTGGTCGATGTACTTCTTGGCTATGTTTGGCTGGAAATCAGGAGACTCAAGGAAACGTAAGAAGAACTCATACACGAGCTATAGGGGAAAAGGCACGCCACTGAGGGGATGTTCCCAAGGACTTGCAGGCCTCCAAGTGCCCCACTCCCTGCAGCCACGGCCAATCTGCCCCCTTGCCCTGGTACCTGGAGATGTGGCCAAGCAGCTTCCAGGGTGGGCTCATCTTCCTCTGGGTCAAACTCAGCCCCTGTGGGATTCGATGAAGGTGGCAGCGTCCGGAAGAGGTTCACTGAAAACTGAGGGGTAGGGCCAGTTAGAGCTCCACCTGGGCTTCTCCAGAGCCCCTCACCAGTCCCCCCTGTGTCCTTTCCCTGTGCCCACCATGGTGACAGCCTCAGGGTAAATGGCCTCAGTGACAACATCACGGCTATGGGTGATGTACTCCACCATCTCGTTGAGTCCTGCCCGCTTCACCTCCTTGAATTTGAGGTCACTGAGTGGGTCTGACACGAAGTCAAAGAGGACACAGCACTGGCGTAGCTTCTGGATAAACAGCTCCTCCCGCTCCTGGGTTGGCGAATCTGTGGGGGCCCCAGCAGTCAGGTTCTCCTCTGTAGTCCTTCACTGCGATGCCCTGCTTGCCTTCAAGGGCTTTCCCTTACCCCACCCTGCCACCATCCTGCTCCCTGGCACCCCCTTCCCGCATTCTCTGGAACTCCCTTCCCCGCAAAATACCCCAAAACTTCCATTCCACCAACTCCCGATGCCCACTAGAACTGGTAAAACAGCCCCTGTGACCAATTGCCAAGTACCTTTCAGGGCAGGAAGCTTCTGCAGCTCCCGATTCTTGCTGAGGTTGAAGCGGGAGGAGCTTTGCCGTCGCTCCTTCTTGACAATCTGGGGCCCCCCTGAGTACTTGATTTTGCTGAGCTGCGTGGGGGGCGGCGTGCTATTGCTGGGACGCTTGTTGGATGACGGTGGCTGAGACTGGGCTTGGGGCTGGGGCTGGGGCTGGGGCTGCGGCTGGGCCTGGTCAAACAAGTCACCTGTTGAAATCCACTTCCCAAGATATGCCTCCCACCCTGGGCCTGGCCATCCCCAAGTCTGTTTATGCCTGCACAGGCCTGGGCAGTGAGCAGCTGTCTCCTGCCCCGAAGGAGCTAAGGCCAGGGTTACAGAGATAACTGTGCTGTAGCCCTGGCAGGGAGCAGTCAAGAAGTCACATCACCCAAAGAGATGCCCACTGCTTGTGCATCAAGAGCCTTTAAAACGTTCATTCCAGTTCATGAACAGGTAAAGCTAATTGATAGATTGATGGTGACAGAAGTCAAAAAAGTGATTACGTTGCCAGGGGAAATGGGGTGGGTATTGCTAAGAAGACACATGATGAATAAGAAGACACATGAGGAATAAGAAGAGACATGAGGAGCCTTCTGAGTAATGTAAACATCCTGTATCTTGACTGGACCTGCAAGGTGGTGCATGGCAGATACATACCTAAAATTTATTGAGCAGTACACTTAAGATCCTTTACTGAATGTATGACAGTCTCCAATCAAAAGGTAGAAGAGGCCGGGCGCAGTGGCTCACACTTGTAATCCCAGCACTTTGGGAGGCCGAGGAGGGCAGATCACCTGAGGTCAAGAGTTCAAGACCAGCCAGGCCAACATGGTGAAACCCCATCTCTACTAAAAATACAAACATTAGCCAGGCGTGGTGGCAGGCGCCTGTAATCCCAGCTACTTGGGAGGCTGAGGCAGGAGAATCGCTTGAACCCAGGAGGCGGAGGTTGCAGTGAGCCGAGATCATGCCATTGCACTCCAGCCTGGGGGACAAGAGCGAGACTTTGTCTCAAAAAAAAAAAACAAAACAAAAGGTAAAAGAAAGGCCAGGCACAGTGGCCAAAGCCTGTAATCCCAACACTTTGGGAAGCCAAAGCAGGAGGATTACTTGAAGCCAGAAGTTTGAAACCAGCCTGAACAACGTAGCAAGACCCCATCTCTACAAAAAATTTTTTTTAATTAGCCAGGTGTGGTGGCACATGCCTGCAGTTCCAGCTACTCAGGAAGCTTACTGGAGTTCCAGCTACTCAAGGTTGGAGGATCCCTTGCGCCCAGGAGTTCAAGTCTCCCATGAGCTATGATCACACCAACTGCACTCCAGCCTGAACAACAAAACAACACTGTCTCTAAAGATAAAAATTTTCAAATTTAAAAAGGTAAAAGAAAGAAATTCATTCCCATGTCTTAGGACTTTACTAGAAATTTAGCTTAATAAAAATCCTAAATTAAAAAAAAAAAGCTTTGGAGGAGACAGAGGTAGCCAGGCAAAAAGAAAAAAAAAAAAAAAAGCTTTGTGCACAAATACTTTTAACAACCTCATTTATAACAGAAAATGAATAAATGGAATATCAGGAGTTAATATTATGTTTATAAAAACTATGGGCCAGGTGCAGTGAGTGGCTCATGCCTGTAATCCCAGCACTTTGGCCAAGGTGGGTGTATCACTTGAGGTCAGGAGTTCCAGACCAGCTGGCCAGCAAGGTGAAACCCCATCTCTTACTAAAAATACAAAATTAGCCGGGTGTGGTGGCGGGTGCCTGTAATCCCAGCTACTCGGGAGGCTGAGGCAGGAGAATCACTTGAACCCAGGAGGTTGCAGTGAGCCAAGATTGCGCCATTGCACTCCAGCCTGGATGACAGAGTGAGACTCTGCCTCAAAAAAAAAAAAAAGAAAAGAAAACTATGTAATACATAGTTTAGTTGTAAAAAATATTTTCACGTTCATAGTAATTTGCCCAAAATGGTGGTATTTTTGGAGGAAGGGAAATGTCTGCAGAAAGGCATAAGAATGATGAGGACTTATTTTCCATGGTAGAAAGTCAATTGATAATATCTAAATCTCAAAAAAAAAAAAAAAAAAGTAGGAAAAGAATCCAATGTGAAAATCTAAAGGAATCTAATCTAAAGTAGGAAAAGAATCTAATGTGAAAATCTAAAGGAATCTAATGAGGAAAGAGCTAAGAGTTGCATTCCAACCCCAATAGTAGTAATATCTGAACAATGTATGTGTTATCATACTGATAAAATTTTGAAATAAAACAAAAGGCCTAAAACTACATAATGACAGAAAATTGCTTCCTATGCTAAGTTAAATAATGATAGTACAAGGCCAAGTGCGGTGGCTCACGCCTGTAATCCCAGCACTTTGGGAGGCCAAGGCAGGTGGATTGCCTGACCTCAGGAGTTTGAGACCAGCCTGGACAACACAGTGAAACCCTGTCTCTACTAAAATACAAAAAATTAGCCAGGCCTGGTGGTGGGTGCCTGTAGTCCCAGCTACTTGGGAGGCTGAGGCAAGAGAATTGCTCAAACCCAGGAGGCGGACGTTGCAGTGAGCTGAGCTCATGCCACTGCACTCCAGCTCCAGCCTGGGCGACAGAGCGAGACTCCATCTTCAAAAAGTAAATACACAGGCCGGGCGCGGTGGCTCACGCCTGTAATCCCAACACTTTGGGAGGCCGAGGCGGGCAGATCACGAGGTCAGGAGATCGAGACCATCCACCCCGTCTCTACTAAAAATACAAAAAATTAGTCGGGCGTGGTGGTGGGTGCCTGTAGTCCCAGCTACTCGGGAGGCTGAGGCAGGAGAATGGCGTGAACCCGGGAGGCGGAGCTTGCAGTGAGCCGAGATCACGCCACTGCACTCCAGCCTGGGAGACAGCGAGACGCCGTCTCAAAAAATAAATAAATACATACATACATACATAAAAAAAAAATACAGTACAAAACTAGATACACAAAATGAGCTCGCTCACATTAAAACACATGCACAGAACCAAAAACGAGGTTCAGAAAAGGTAAGAACAAGCCCAAGTCCACCACTGTGTTAATGACTATCTCCTGTAGTAGAATTAGATTACTTCTGCATTTCTAAATTTTCTACAAGCTGACACTGCTTTTTTTCTGCCTTACTTCCATTGTGTAGTATGATACTGCTTTTATAATGGGAGAAATGCAGCTAATTTTTAAAATTATCTCTTTTTATTTTTATTTTATTTATTTATTTTTGAGATGGAGTCTCGCTCTGTCATCCAGGCTGGAGTGCAGTGGCAGAATGTTGGCTCACTGCAACCTGCACCTCCCAGGTTCAAGTGATTCTCCTGCCTCAGCCTCCCGAGTAGCTGGGATTACAGGCACCCGCCACCATGCCAGCTACTTTTTGTATTTTTTGTAGAGATGGGGTTTCTCCACGTTGGCCAGGCTGGTCTTGAACTCCTGACCTAAATTAATCCACCTGCCTCGGCCTCCCAAAGTGTTGGGATTACAGGTGTGAGCCACCGTGCCCAGCCTAAAAGCTATCCCTTTTTAAAGGCATAGCTCCCAGACACAGGTGTTACAGCCCCATGAAGTCCATTTTCAGAAGTCTAAATACAGGTATTTGCAGGGCTGTCTGCCCACAGGTACTCCTGGACTGTCCAGGCAGCCCCCTGTTGGGAGAGGAAAGAAGCTAAACCACAGGACAGCCCTTGCCCCCAAACAGAGTCTAGAATAGGACTAGGCAGAGGCCATGTCCAGCTGGGTACCCTCACCACAGGGAAAGGGAAAGGTGACCTCTTGGCCTCATACCTGCCATCTCCCGCTCCTCTCCAGCTCCCATCCCAAACTCTTACTCCTTACCATAATAATAGAAGAACTTGAAATCCTCTGGGGTGGGGGAGGGAAGGAAGACAGAAATGTTATTAATTGCATCCTCTGAATTTTTTATAAAAACAATGATGTGGACTTGTCACCTATCTAGGGATGAGAGAACAGGAGAGGAGCACCGGGTCCAGCCTGTGGGTCCCGTGTATTAGACATGGCAAGGCATCTGGAGGTCTGAGGTCTCCCTTTCTACATATGGCAGATGAGTTGCACCTTGGGGTGGGGGAAGTGGTAGTAAGAGAAAAGCAGGTTGGGGGCCAGCACTTGGTGTGTATCCAGACACTCCTCTGCCTCAGGCCTCCATTTCCCTGCCTTAAGAACAACTAGGCCAGGCACGGTGGCTCACACCTGTAATCCCAACTCTTTGAGAGGCAGAGGCGGGCGGATCACGAGGTCAGGAGTTTGAGAGCAGCCTGGCCAACATGGTGAAACCCTGCCTCTACTAAAGATACAAAAAATTAGCTGGGCGTGGTGGCACGTGCCTGTAATCTCAGCTACTCGGGAGGCTGGGGCAGGAGAATCTCTTGAACTCGGGAGGCAGAGGTTGCAGTGAGCTGAGATCATGCCATTGCACCCCAGCCTGGGTGATAGGGCGAGACTCCGAATCAAAAAAAAAAAAAAAGAACAACCAAACCCTTATCTGTGGAGCTTGGTGCTCAATAACACCTTGGGCCAGACTGCCTGCCTGGGTTCAATCCTGGCTCGCCACTTATTAGCTGAGTAATATCCAGAAAGTCTGCACCTCAGTTTTCTCATCTACAAAATGGGATGACAACCATACCTACCTTATAGCACTATCGTAAGGATAGAGATGAACAGTTCCTCGCACTAAAGAAGCATTTTTTTTTTTTTTGAGACAGAGTCTGGCTCTGTCACGCACTAAAGAAGCATTTTTTTTTTTTTGAGACAGAGTCTGGCTCTGTCACCCGGCTGGAGTGCAGTGGCGCAATCTCAGCTCACTGCAACCTCTGCCTCCCGGGTTCAAGCAATTCTCCTGCCTCAGCCTCCGGAGTAGCTGAGATTACAGGTGCGTGCCACCACGCCCGGCTAATTTTTTGTCGTATTTTTAGTAGAGACGGAATTTCACCATGTTAGCCAGGCTGATCTCGATCTCCTGACCTCATGATCCGCCCGCCTCAGCCTCCCAAAGTGCTGGGATTACAGGTGTGAGCCACCGTGCCCAGCCCTAAAGAAGCATTTTATAAGAGGTACCTTCTACTACCACCACTACTATTACTATTATTTCCCATATCCAGGTTTTAGGAATGCAGCCTAGAATCTCCTTCCTATGCTAGCACAACTCAAATGTTCCGTTGAGTCCATTATCCTCATTTAAAAATGGGGGATCCTGGCCGGGCACAGTGGCTCATGCCTGCAATCCCAGCACTTTGGGAGGCCGAGGCAGGTGGATCACCTGAGGTTGGGAGTTCAAGACCAGCCTGACCAACATGGAGAAACCCCAACTCAACTAAAAATACAGTTAGCCGGGCGAGGTGGCGCATGCCTATAATCCCAGCTACTCGGGAGGCTGAGGCAGGAGAATTGCTTGATCTTGGCAATGAGCTGAGATCATGTCATTGCACTCCACCCTAGGTAACAAGAGTGAAACTCTGTCTCAAAAAAGAAAAAGAAAAGGAAGAAAATCAGGAACCTAGGAAATCACTGCATCTTCCAAGACTCAGTTTAAGTCCCACCTTCTTCCAAAAAGTCTTCTCAGATCTTTCCAGCCCTTGGGTGTCACCCCCTCTTTTTGATACCACTTGTCTCTTCCCTTGGCGCTGTGACTGCTCACCCCCTAGTGACACCTCTTAGTCTCTTCATGTGTCATTCCCCTAACTAGATGGCAAGTCCTTTGAAAGCCAGGACCCTGTTTGTACCCCTCTGGGTGCCCCCAGCACTAACACCTAATAGGAATTCAATGAAGGTTTGGTTGGTTGGTTGACCAGGAGCCAAAGCTCTCAGGTCCTGCCCAGGCTCCTCCCCACAGACTCTTCCTCTCCTGCCCCAACTCAGGAATCCTCAGAACAGGGGGCTATACAGCATTAGGAGCAGAGTCTGAAGGAGAAACATCAGTGATACTAGGGTGAGGGGCTCAGTGCCAACCTGACAACAAGACTCCATCCTTCCAGGTAAGATGCAGACACCCTGTACTTCCACACACCTCACACTGAGGAGGCAGCCAGAGAGGGGCATTCTTCCCAGAAAGGGAAAAGGAAGGCCTCAATGTTTTCTGCTAACAAGAAGGTAGCCAGGCACGGTGGCTCATGCCTGTAATCCTAGCACTTTTGGAGGCCAAGGCGGGTGGATCACTTGAGGTCAGGAGTTCAAGACCAGCCTGACCAACATGGTGAAACCCTGAGTCTACTAAAAATGCAAAAAAACAATTAGCTGGGTGTGGTGGTGCACGCCTGTAGCCCCAGCTACTCAGGAGGCTGAGATGGGAGAATTGCTTGAACCCAGGAGGCAGAGGATGCAGTGAGCCAAAATCACACTACTGCACTGCAGCTTGGGATTCAGAGCAAGACTCTATCTCAAAAAAAAAAAAAAAAAAAGGTGGCCAGACGTGGTGGCTCACGCCTGTAATCCCAGCACTTTGGCAGGCCAAGGTGGCTAGATCAGGAGGTCAGGAGTTCGAGACCAGCCTGGCCAACATGGTGAAACCCCGTCTCTACTAAAAATACAAAAATTAGCTGGGCGTGGTGGCGGGCGCCTGTAATCCCAGCTATTCCGGAGGCTGAGGCAGGAGAATCGCTTGAACCTGGGAGGCGGAGGTTGCAGTGAGCCGAGCTCACGCCACTGCACTCTAGCATGGGCGACAGAGCAAGACTCCATCTCAAAAAAAAAGAGGTGGCAGGACTAGATCAGTGGTTTCCCAACGATTATTCCGGTAAGGTTTAGAGAGAACAGGGGGTCTTATGCTCCACCAATGGCCAGGCATGGTGGCTTATGCCTGCAATCCCAGCTCTTTGGGAGGCCGAGGCGGGCAGATCACCTGAGGTCAGGAGACCAGCCTGGCCAACATAGCAAAACCCTATCTCTACTAAAAATACAAAAAATTAGCCAGGCGTGATGGTGGGGGCCTGTAATCCGAGCTACTCAGGAGGCTGAGGTGGGAGAATCACTTGAACCTGGGAGACAGAGGTTGCAGTGAGCCGAAATCGTGCCACTGCAATCCAGCCTGGGCAACAGAATAAGACTCCATCTCAGAAAAAAACAAAACAAAACAAATGAAACAAAATAAAAACCACCCAATGAGCTGATATCTAAGGTCTTTTCTACACTAGCATTGTGTTATTGAAGGCTAGAGTGGCTGGAGAGCAGCTGAATGGGCTTAGTCTGCCCTGCCCCCTACCCCACTGAGCTGCCCTGGTTTATAAGGACCATTGGCTCCCAAGATCCAGACACAAGAAGCATCTGAGAGACAGCTGTTTCTGCCAGCGAAGCCCCTGGCTGCCAAGCCCCAATGAGGTATCCGCTGTCTATTCACCCTTCACTAGGAAACATGCATGTCAGAGGGAGGTGGGGGATATGTCAACTACTCATGGGCATTCAACCATTTCTCTTAAAAGCCCCAGCCACTAACTTGTGCATTCACCTGGGTTGGGGGTAGAAGGCAAGTGAGTCCCCTGAGAAGCTTCTGCAGCCATCAAAGCAGGGGTGGACACTGACCAAAGGCAACTTGGCCAATCTGTCCTCTACTCGCTACTTTGTCCTGCCCAGTTTCACTTCGGGACTCTATTTATTTATTTATTTTGAGACAGGGTCTCACTCTGCCACCCAGGCTGAAGTGCAGTGGTGCAATCTCAGCTCACTGCAACCTCTGCCTCCCAGGCTCAAACGATTCGCCTGCCTGAGCCTCCTGAGTAGCTGGGATTACAGGCGTGCACCACTAGGCCTGGCTAATTTTTGTATTTTCAGTAGAGACGGGGTTTCACCATGTTGGCCAGGCTGGTCTCGAACTCCTGACCTCAAGTGATCTGCCTGCCTCAGCCTCCCAAAGTGCTGGGATTACAGGCGTGAGCCACCGTGCCTGGCCTACTTTTCTGTAGTTTTTGTAGAGACAGGGTTTCACCATGTTGCCCAGGCTGGTCTCAAACTCTGGAGCTCAAGCAATCCACCCGCCTCAGCCTCCCAAAGTGCTGGGATTACAGGTGTGAGCCACCATACCTGGCCCTCACTTCTGGGACTCCATAGAGGCCATCTCTTCTGCCTGAAGTACTACTACTTTCACTTCCAAACTCTCAACAGGATCCATACTCCAAGAAGCCTTCCTAGATTCAGGCCTCCAGCAATCAAGTGGCACTGTGAATTTCCACACGACACTCATACTCAGAAAATTCCAACTAAACGTGCCTACTCTGAACCTATCCTGGTCCAGCCTATTCCGAACACGGCCATCATTAATAATTAAACCCACGCTGGGCACAGTGGCTCATGCCTGTAATCCCAGAACTTTGGGAGGCCGAGGCAGGCAGATCACGAGATCAGGAGTTTGAGACCAGCCTGACCAACATGGTGAAACCCTATCTTTACTAAAAATACAAAAATTAGCTGGGCGTGGTGGCACGCACCTGTATTCCCAGCTACTCAAGAGGCTGAGGCAGGAACATTGCTTGAACCCGGGAGGCAGAGGTTGCAGTGAGCCAGCATCACACCACTGCACTCCAGCCCGGGTGACAGAGTGAGACTCCGTCTCAAAAAAAAAAAAAAAAAAAAAAAAAAAAAAAAAAATATATATATATATATATATATATATATATATATATATATATAAATAAAACCCAAATATTCAAATATAAATAAAGAGATAGGGGCCTGGCATGGCGGCTCACGTCTGTAACCCCAGCACTTTGGGAGGCCAAGGCAGCAGATCACTTGAGAACAGTTCGAGACCAGCCTGGACAATATGGCAAAACCCCGTCTCTACTAAAAATACAGAAGTTGGCTGGGCATGGTGGCTCACCCCTATAATCCCAGCAGTTTGGGAGGCTGAGGTGGGCGGATCGCCTGAGGTCAGGAGTTGGAGACCAGCCTAACCAACATGGTGAAACCCTGTCTCTACTAAAAATACAAAATTAGCTTTTAGTACAAAATGTACTTTTAGTACAAAAATTAGCAGGGCATGGTGGCGGGCGCCTGTAATCTCAGCTACTTGGGAGGTTGAGGCAGGAGAATTGCTTGAACCCGGGAGGTAGATATTGCAGTGAGCTGAGATCGCGCCATTGTACTCCAGCCTGGGCAACAAGAGCGAAACTCCATCTCAAAAAATAAAATAAAATAAAAATAAAAATAAAAACGGCCAGGCACAGTGGCCCACGCCTGTAATCCCAGCACTTTGGGAGGCTGAGGTGGGCAGATCACCTGAGGTCAGGAGTTCAAGACAAGCCTGACCAGCATGGAGAAACCCCATCTCTACTAAAAATACAAAATTAGCCAGATGTGGTGGTGCATGCCTGTAATACCAGCTACTCAGGAGGCTGAGGGAGGAAAATCACTTCAGTCCGGGAGGCGGAGGTTGCAGTGAGCTGAGATCACGCCATTGCACTCCAGCCTGGGAAACAACAGCGAAACTCCGTCTCAAAAAATAAATAAATAAAAATAAATAAAATAAATAAAAATACAAAATTTAGCCGGGCGTGGTAGCGGGCGCCTGTAATCCCAGCTACTCAGGAGGCTGAGACACAAAAATCACTTGAACCCGGGAGGCAGAGGTTGCAGTGAGCCAAGACACTCCAGCCTGGGCAACAAAGGAAGAGTCTGTCTCAAAAATAAATACATAAAAAAACAAAGAGATAACAATATAATTTAAGCACTATAGAAAGTATTTAATATAAGAGAAAGATGAAACATACAATTACCAGAAAAAATGCAAAGATTAAATATTATATCTCTTTTGCATAATGAATTAACTGGCCTAATAAATGAAGATCATTTTAGTTTAAAATCCCAAAAATCAGAGGCCTTCTCTCCAGTAGTGACATCCAGAGCTCCATCTAGTGTTGCTTAATTCTTTCCTTCCTTCAATTATTAACTAAACATCATGCTAAGCATTAAAGATTAAAAGTTTATATGCAAATTCTATACCATAAAAAAAGATTAAAAGGTGACTAAGACATGGCCCTTGCCATCAAAGAGCTCACAGTCCACTAGGCAGGACAGACACAAATGCAGCTAACTGAACAAGGAAAATGCAAGAACAGAGAAGGCTGAGCTGTAAACTCTGCTTGGAAGAATTAGGGAAGATATCCCTGAAGAGGTGGCTTTTGATTTGTTTGTTTTTTTTTCTTTTTTGGCCCTTATTTTTTTTTTATTTTTTTTTATTTTTGAGACGGAGTCTCGCTCTGTCACCCAGGCTGGAGTGCAGTGGCGCCATCTCGGCTCACTGCAAGCTCCGCCTCCCAGTTTCAGCCATTCTCCTGCCTCAGCCTCCCGAGTAGCTGGGACTACAGGCGCCCGCCACCACGCCCGGCTAATTTTTTGTATTTTTTAGTAGAGACGGGGTTTCACCATGTTAGCCAGGATGGTCTCAATCTCCTGACCTCGTGATCCGCCCCGCCTCGGCCTCCCAAAGTGCTGGGATTACAGGTGTGAACCACCGCGCCTGGCCCCTTTTTTGGCTCTTAAAAAATAAACATGAGTTTAAATGGCCGGGTGCAGTGGCTCATGCCTATAATCCCAGCCCTTTGGGAGGCCGAGGCGGGCGGATCACGAGGTCAAGTGATCGAGACCATCCTGGCCAACATGGTGAAACCTCGTTTCTACTAAAAAAAAAAAAAAAAAAAATAGAAAGTCCCAGCTACTCGGGAGGCTGAGGCAGGAGAATGGCGTGAACCCCGGGGGGCGGAGCCTGCAGTGAGCCGAGATGGCGCCACTGCACTCCAGCCTGGGCGACAGTGAGACTGTCTCACTGTCTCACTCTCACAGGCTCGTGCCTGCAGCCCCAGCTACTCGGGGCTGAGGGGAAAAGATCCCTTGAGCCCAGGAGGTTGAGGCTGCAGTGAGCCATGATTGTACCACTGTACTCCAGCCTGGGGAACACAGTGAGACCCAAAAAAAAAAAGGAGAAAAATTAGTTGGGCGTGGTGGTGAGTGCCTGTAGTCCCAGCTACTTGGGAGACTGAGGCAGGAGAATCGCTTGAACCTGGGAGGCAGGGGTTGCAGTGAGCTGAGATCACACCACTGCACTCCAGCCTGGGCGACAGAGCGAGACTCCGTCTCAAAAAAAAAAAAAGAATAAACATGAGTTTAATAGGCAAAAAAAGACACAGGAGAAATAAAGCAGTCCGGGCCAGTGGAACTGCATCTGTGAGCACCCTGAGTCATAAAGGGGTTGTCATATCAGAAGATAGGAAGTTGGGCAGGGCACAGTGGCTCACACCTGTAATCCCAGCACTTTCAGAGGCCAAGGCAGGAGGATTGCTTCGGTCCAAGAGTTCGAGACCAGCCTTAGCAACATAATAAGAAACCTATCTCTACAAAAAATACAAAACTTAGCTGAGCACAGTGGCTCGTGCCTGCAGCCCCAGCTACTCAGGGGGCTGAGGGGAAAAGATCCCTTGAGCCCCAGGAGGTTGAGGCTGCAGTGAGCCATGATTGTACCACTGTACTCCAGCCTGGGGAACACAGTGAGACCCTATCTCCAAAAAAAAAAAAAAAAAAAAAGAAAGAAAAAGTTCGGTGGGACACAAAGGCAGGACTGGTGCTAGAAGAAGAGTGGGGCCAGCTCAGAGGGGTTGAGGGTGCCATGCTAGTGAGTTTGGATTTTAACTTGTAAGCAGTGAGATGCCAAAAATGGTTTTTAAGTAGAGGACTGATAAGACCAAGAAGGTTTTTAGAGTAACAACTCTGGCCTCAGAGAGGACAAGCTGAAGTGTGGGAAAATTTATTCCTCCCTCTGTCCCTACTCCCAGACTCAGGACAGGGCTCAGCACGTAGAGGAGTCTATGACATTAATTTTTTTTTTTTTTTTTGAGATGGAGTTTTGCTCTTGTTGCCCAGGCTGGAGTGCAATGGCGTGATCTTGGCTCACTGCAACCTCTGTCTCCCAGGTTCAAACGATTCTCATGCCTCAGCCTCCCGAGTAGCTGGGATAACAGGCTGGGATTACAGGCATGCCCCACCATGCCCAGCTAATTTTTGTATTATTAGTAGAGATGGGGTTTCACCATGTCGGCCAGGCTGGTCTCTAACTCCCAATCTCAGGTGATCCGCCCGCCTCGGCCTCCCAAAATGCTGGGATTACAGGCGTGAGGACATTGAATTTTTTTTTCCAAGGACAGATCAAGAAAGACCCTTACCTGCAGAGGCAGGTCAGTGGGGTCTCACCTGATCTCCCAAGGCTCCTTTCCATTCTAGGATTCACTTCTAGAATCTTAGAGCCAGCAGTATCACTTCATTCAAGACCACAAGAGACTCCAGAGTCACACAGACCTGGGTTGAATTCCAGCTCTGCCTTACTGCCTTACTGGCTGAATAAAAGCTACTTAACATTTCCTTTTGAGACAAGAGTCTTGCTCTCTCCCCCAAGCTGGAGTGCAGTGGCACAATCTCAGCTCACTGCAACCTCCACCTCCCAGGTTCAAGCAATTCTCCTGCCTCAGTCTCCCAAGTAGCTGGACCATGCCAGGCTAATTTTTGTATTTTTAGTAGAGACAGCGTTTCACCATGTTGGCCAGGCTAGTCTCGAACTCCTGACCTCAGGTGGTCTGCCCTCCTCGGCCTCCCAAAGTGCTGGGATTACAGGCGTGAGCCACTGTGCCCAGTTAACATTTCTAAGCCTCAGTTTCATCTGTGAAATGGGAATAATAATAATAAAGGAATCTCAGGGGAGTATTGTGAAGGTTAAATGAGACAATGTATGCAAAGTACTTAGCACAGTGCCTGGTACATAGTGTTGCACAGTATCCAGTCCCCTACCCCCTCCCCTCACCAAATTCATGTCCACCTAGAATCTGTGAATGTGACCTTACTTGGAAACAGGGTCTTTGCAGATGTAATCAAGTTAAAATGAGATCATACTGGATTGGGGTGAAACCTAAGTCCAATATGACTGGTGTCCTTAGAAGAGGAAAATTTGGACAGAGACAGAGACACATGGAGGAGAATGCTGTGTGAAGACAGAGGCAGAGATTAAAGTGATGCATCTACAAGGAATGCCAAAGATTGTCAAAAGCCACCAGAATCTAGGAGAGAGATGTGGAACAGATTCTTCCTTAGAACCTCAGAAGGACATGGCCCTGCCGACACTAATTTTACAACTTTTGGCCTCCAGAGCTGAGAGAGAATGTATTTCTTTTTTTGTTTGTTTTTTGTTTTTTGAGACAGAGTTTCCCTCTTGTCACCGAGGCTGGAGTGCAATGGCACGATCTCCTCTCACTGCAACCTCCGCCTCCTGGGTTCAAGCAATTCTCCAGCCTCAGCCTCCCCAGTAGCTGGGATTACAGGTGCGCCACCACTACGCCCGGCTAATTTTTGTATTTTTTTTTTTTTTTGAGACGGAGTTTCGCTCTTGTTGCCTAGTCTGGGTTGCAATGGTGCAATATCGGCTCACTGCATCCTCCGGCTCTTGGGTTCAAGCGATTCTCCTGCCTCAGCCTCCCTAGTAGCTGGGATTACAGGCATGTGCCACCACGCCTGGCTAATTTTTGTATTTTTAGTAGAGACAGGGTTTCACTATGTTGGTCAGGCTGGTCTTGAACTCCTGACCTCAGGTGATCCACCCGCCTCGGCCTCCCAAAGTGCTGGGATTACAGGTGTGAGCCACCATGCCCAGCCCAATTTTTGTATTTTTAGTAGAGACAGTGTTTTACCATGTTGGCCACGCTGCTCTCAAACTCCTGACCTCAGGTGATCCACCTGCCTCAGCCTCCCAAAGTGCTGGGATTACAGGTGTGAGCCACCGCACCCAGCCTATTTCTATTGTTTTAAGCCACCCAATTTGTAATAATTTGTTTTGTTTTGTTTTCTTGAGACAAGGTCTCGTTCTGTCACCCAGGCTGGAGTGCAGTGGTACGATCATGGCCCACTGCAGCCTTGAACTCCTGGACTCAAGCGATCCTCCGCCTCAGCCTCCCGTGTGGCTGGAAGTACAGGGGCACATGCCCCCACATCCAGCTAATTTTTTATTTTTTATTTTTTTGTAGAGACAGGGTCTCTGTATGTTGCCCAGGCTGGTGTCAAACTCCTGCCCTCAAGCAATTCTCCCACCTCAGCTTCCCAAAGCATTAGGATTACAGGTGTGAGCCAGCATGCCGGGCTTATTTGTAGTAGTTTATTATGGCTGCCCTAGGAAACTAACACAAAGTAACTGCTCTATAAAATAAATGTCAGCTGCTATAACTATTAGATCAATTAGAAAGGCTCTGGCAAATGCCTGACAGAGCAAAGCTGGCTAGAAGAGCCCAAAATTCCGGACAAGAAAAGGGCAAGGGGGCCGGGCGCGGTGGCTCACATCTGTAATCCCAGCACTTTGGGAGGCCGAGGCGGGTGGATCACGAGGTCAGGAGATCGAGACCATCCTGGCTAACATGGTGAAACCCCATCTCTACTAAAAATACAAAAAATTAGCCAGGCGTGGTGGCGGGAGCCTGTAGTCCCAGCTACTCGGGAGGCTGAGGCAGGAGAATGGCGTGAATCCAGGAGATGGAACTTGCAGTGAGCCAAGATCGCGCCACTGCACTCCAGCCTGGGCGACAGAGCAAGATTCCATCTCAAAAGAAAAAGGGCAAGGGAAGGACTGTGCCAAACAGCTTTTGAAGACCACAGCCTCACATCCTAGCTCCAACTTTTCCCCATACCCCTGCCATACCAGACGTGGGTACATTTCTACAAAATCATGGATAATTCCTGCTGCCATCTCATACCTGTGAACCCTGAGCAGCGTTTCACCAAACAGCCCAAGGTGAACTCAACACCCTCCTTTCCCAGATTGCTTGTAATAGACCCATTGTCTTAGGCATATTTGTTTGAAAGGCAGTGGATAAATCATAGCAGTTGGTCTCAGCATACTCCTTAACCTGTTCAGGCTTCATTTTCCCATCTATGAACTGATAACGTTAGACCCTAAGGTCCTTTTCAGCTCTAATGTGAAATTGGTGCATTTGTTCATTCACTCGTTCACTCATTCACTCACTAATACATTCAAATGCTGGGTGCTTCTGCTGTGTCAGGCCCTTCAGGAGTGAATGAGAGCCTCATGGAGCTCTCGTGCTAACACAAGAGACAGCCGATAAAACAATGAATTCACAAGGAATTATTTCATGACAGTTGTGGTTAGGTGCTACCAGCGCTACCAGGTACTGAGTGCCAAAACAGCAACTAACAGAAGCCCTCGCGAGGTCCTGGGGATAGGGGTGGGTGGTCAAAGAAGGCTGCTTTAAGGAAACGACATCCCATCTAAGAACTAAAGAAGTAGGAGTTAGGCAAAAGGTGGGAACTCCCCATTAAATTTTCCTTCCTCTCCCAGGATTTTCAGGACTTAGAAAATCCTGTTTCTTGCTGCTCTAAATGTCAAGTTACCAGCTTCCAACCACCTTCCCTGTGGGTCCCACAATTATAATCATTCCTGAAAGGGAGACTGAGCCCATAGTGTGTCTTCCCAGAAGCATTTACTATGAACCAACTGCACAAGTACACAGAGGTAGGAAAGAAGCAATGCAGAATAACATAGCTCCTTCCCTTGGAGTTCACAGTCTGAGAGGAGAGACACAGATGGGGACAAATCGTCACAGAGCTGAGTGATAAGGATTATTAAGGAGATATTTAGAATACCGCATAAGGGCCGGGTGCAGTGGCTCACGCCTGTAATCCCAGCACTTTGGGAGGCTGAGGCGGGTGGATCACCTGAGGTCAGGAGTTCAAGTCCAGCCTGGCCAACATGGTGAAACACCGTCTCTACTAAAAATACAAAAAAATTAGCCAAGCATGGTGGCATGCGCCTGTAATCCCAGCTACTCAGGAGGCTGAGGCAGGAGAATTGCTTGAACCCGGGAGGTGGAGGTTGCAGTGAGCCGAGATCGTACCATTGCACTCCAGCCTGGGCAACAAGAGAGAGACTCCATCTCAAAAAAAAAAAAAAAAAAAAAAAAAAAGTAGAATACTGCATAAGTGCAGAGGAAAGAATAATTCCTCTTCTGTGGTCCTCAACTTCCATGCCTATAAAATGGGGAAAACCTACTCAGCTTCTCATTACTTAAATGAGGCCTAAAATGAGGTGTGAAAAGTGCTTGTATCTCTTTAGAGGTGACCTATCACCAGAAGTACTGAGAAACATCTAAACGCATAGTTAACCCCAAACATTTGCTCATCAATCTCTTCTCCCAAAAAACCATAAGACCTGTCCATAACTAGAGAGCTGTGTTTCCAGTTCTCTTTCATCCCTCTGAACAGTTTAGAGCAGAGGGAGAAAGCAGAGAAAGCACCAAACACCAGTTTCCAGGTAGGATGTGGTGGATGCTCGCTGTGTATGTTCACAGGATCTTTCACCATCCAGAGCATCCCACTGTGCACACTCCCAAACTTTCATGGACATACTGTGTACTTCCTTAAGTCTCTCCCTCTTCTGGTGTTCTCTCGGCTTGCTGTTTATTGCTTTATAACCCGAGATTGCTAAGCTGCGCTGAACTCTGCTCAGGACTGTCTTTTAGTCATGCTGCCATTCAATCAGGACCAAGGGCAGTGGGCCCAGCTGGGCCCAACTCAGGGACACCAGCCCCTCCCAATCCCCTGCCCCACCCGAGCCATGCTGAAGTCACTTGTTACCCCATCAAGTGTCTGTGGACTTTTCCCCTTTTGCCCAGGATCCCAGAACCTCCCGCTTTTTGCCCTAAGAAAAAGGAATTCTCAACATTCCAAGTTGGTAAGCAGAGAAACAACTTTCATAGGAATCTCTGGGGAGTCTGAAGAACTAGAGAATGTATTTGGTCTATACCAACCAAAGGTAAATCCTGCCTGAGGGCAGTCTGGATGGGCTGTCCAGGTCCCTCCCAGGATATGGAAGCCTTCCCTTCTGCCTCACCCCCTGGGATCCCCTACCCAACTAGCCATCATGGAGTTGCGGGTGGCACCTGCACCACATCTAAGGCTACGCCTACATTCATTACCTCCTCAGTGTTCTCGCCTCCACCATCCTTGCCCGAGCTGCTAGGCTTGGCTGTGCATTTGGCAACCTTGGGGGGCTCCTGAAAGGAAAAGATGAAAGTAAAGTTAGCAGATGCCAGGAGAAGGGAGAGGTCTTATCTGGCTCCCTTAGATCTTTGTTGCAAATATCCTCTGTCCAGTTGAATCAATCAATTAGAATCTACCTTGTGCGGAGCTGGGGTGGGTGGAGGGATCTACGCAGAAGGAGATTCAGCCCCTCCAAAGAGTTTAGAATCTGGTTAGGAAGTCACCCCAAACACACACTAATTCAGCGTGAGAATGCTCCATCTTTCACCTCATCAGGCTGGTGCAGAGGTTGGGCCTGGGAGGGCCTTTGCTCAGGTCAGAACCAGGGTGAGGAGGCTTAAAGAAAAAGCATCAGGGAACAGCTGCTCACTGGTTTCTGGCTAAAGTGGTCAAAGGTGTGCCGGAGGCTTTCATGCTGGAGTGCAGGGAGTCACCACTCTCCCCTCACAGCCACCTGGAAAGACTGGGAGGCAATTTTTGGATGTCACAAATAGCGCACAGACAAGAGGGTGCTACTCAGCATTTAATCAGTAAGGCCCAGGAATGCTAACAGGTACAGAACTGTCCCACTCAAAATGCCAAGAGCACCTCAGTTGACAAGCACTAAGACAGGGATGGGGGTAAAACCCTGAACTGTTACAAAGAGTGAGCACTAGTCTGAAGTCTCCTTTGGGAACCTGGCAGCTGGCTCAGAGCCCTGGCCTGCCCAGCATCTCTTCCTATGCTTCGAGCCAAAAAAAGCAACTGCACAGGGACAGGATAGGGAAAATGTGAAAAAGACTTGGGGATTTAGGTCTGACTGCAAGCTCAACACAAATCATCCATGTGCAGCTCATGTGACCTTCCATCTTGTTAAAAGACCTGTGCAGACTGCTTGGCACTGACAGGGCTATCCTGGAGGATCTGGTTCAGTCATGAGCATCAGGCTTGGGAGGGGCCATGACAAATCCTAGTGTTTCTTAGAGGGAAATGCAACCCATACTGGGAGTGGATTCAAAGGCATGTCCCAAGACCAACAGCTGCAGGAACTGGGATAGTTAACAATGGAAGGGAGGAGTCATGAGGGATGGAGAAGCAAGATGGATCTTAAACAAATGAAGATGCAACTTGGATGCCTTGGATGCAACTTGTCCATATGGACCAGAGGCACGAGAGCAATGGGCTGAAGTTGCAAGCCACCTGAAGCTCCAAACAAGGAAGAATTTTATCATGGAGCAATTGCACTAAAACTGGCCACCTAGTGAAGCCGAAAGCTCCCCAACCCCTGAGAACATTCAAGCAGGGGCTTGGTGACCTCCTGTAAGGCATGTTGCAAAAGAAATTCAAGCCTTTAATGAGGACTGGAGGATCTTGGAAATCACTTCCAGCTCTGAGATTGTGCAATTCAATAGCAGCCAAGCCCCTTCAGTGAGAAGTGTTAAATCGAGTTATTGTGACTATGGGGGCAAAAGGATTTCAGGGAGAAGAGAGCTCTGTGTGGGCTGGAGTAGGGGGAAGGCTTCTTGGAGGTGGGGAGGAAGAAAGGTGTGGTGTAGAGCAGCTCCATGCAGTAGGGGGAAGGAGTTCCTTCTTTGGCCTGAGCACGCTCCTGCTGTATACTAACCCAGCTGGCCACACTGACCCTTATCAGTGGCTGAGAGCATGGGGTGGAGAGAAATAGGCCGGGGGCAGGGTGCAGGCAGGACACAACATTGAGGTGTCTGCACACACCCCAGACATGAACCCCTTGAACAAAGCTGACCCATCTTCATACATCTCCAATCTATTAGACCATAAGCTGCTTATTCTTTTTTGTACCCCTCCACCCACCCTACAGCACTCAGCATGATGCCTCAGACGTATCTTTCAAAGAATGAGCCTAAGAGAGATCCAGCTGCCTTAGTGTGTGGGTGTGAGTGGGCATGGAGGAACCAGGCCTACCACCCTTGCTCCCTGGCTCCTGCAGAACAGGTGAAGCACACACATTTCAGCCCAGCTCAGTAGTCAAATGCTGTGTAGCACAGAGGTTAAAAGAACATGTTTGGACTCAGCCCTGTGTTTTGGGCCCAACTCTTACTGGCTGTGTAATCACAGGCAAGTTAACTAGCCTCTCTGAGCCTCAGTTTCCTCATCTATTAGATGATGACAATCATAATACCCTCTTCCCTCAGCACAGTGTTAAGGCACATGAAAACCGTAGTGCTGGTCAATGTTATTACTATTATTATGAACAAGAAAAAAATCGGAGGGGGCAGGGGCACCCTACTCAGGAAAATAAAAGAGGTAAGTCCCAGAGGAGAACATGAAGGAAGAGGAGAGATGCGAATCCCTCCAAGAGATTATCTTAGCACCTATCCACTAAGCACGTACTTACCGTGTGAAAAGGAGTTGTCAAACCAAAATGAAACTTAGTTATTATCTCAAAGGGGAAGAAAAGTCTTGTCCACAATTAATTCCCATCCAAGGCCAAACACAAAAGGACCATAAGTGGCCTACTAAGTGTTCTGCAAATCCAGAAAAGAAAGGAGAGTTCACTCCTGACTGAGGGCTCAGAAAGGCTTTAGAGAGGAAGCTGTGAAAGATGGCCAGGAGAGAGGGGACAGGTCATAGATGAGCAATAAAGATCCTCCACCCACAGCCATCCAGACAAACCTCAGTCACACTGGCAACCCCCCTGCCCCTTAGAGCCTGCCAACCATTGAAGAAGGCCAAATGCAACTGAAAATCAAGAGCAGAAAAACCTTATAGGGAGGTGAGAGTTATGCCTGGCTCCATGCACCCCGTTACTTCCAACACCCTTTCCCAACCAAACGTTTACACCCATGGTCCTAGCAAATCTCACTGGCAATTTGTCTTCTTCACAATCTAGTAGGCTATTGCTTTCTGTGGATGGGACAGTATCTAGTCCAACAGACTAAAAATTACAAATGGGTGGGGACCTCACCAGCTTTCCCCGAATTCCATTTCCCTTAGCCCCTGTTGTGGCTGATTTCTGTGTGCATTGTCTACGACTGAGCTACCCAAACCACCTCCGCATGCCCACTCCCCAAGGACAGGGCCTGGGTGGGGCACAAAACCCTGTCCAGCTCACTACTCCCAGGAGGCTCACTATCTAGTACACCATCACCAACCCTGTACTTAGAACCTCAGGCCCTGAAAGGTTAAGGGGACAACTCAGAATCAGAGCTGCCTGGCAAATACAGAACAGCCCCAGGAGAAAAAGTTTGATTGAAAAGGTCAGAGATGGCAGCCCAGTAACCCAGCCAATCAGAGGGCAAATGAAAGCAATATACCTCTGGGGTCATCGAGCAGGTGGCCAGAACACCAGGCCAGAGCCAACCCCCACCAAAAAGGGCCAGCCCCAGGAGAGGAGAAGCTGGGGGAGGCTGGAACTGGTATCCTAGCATCCTATGTGTGAGTCTGTACCTCAAAGGAACCACACCTCTGAGTCAGACCTCAGCAACAGCAGGAAACAGAGGGTAGAAAAAGGCACGGATGAGGAGCAGGGGAAGGCAGCACCGAGGTAGATGAGGAAGGTGAAAGAAGGCAACATTAAGAACTGGCCTGTGGGCCAGGCACGGTGGCTCACACCTGTAATCCCAGCACTTTGGGAGGCCGAGGGGGTCAGATCACCTGAGGTCAGGAGTTCAAGACCAGCCTGATCAACATGGAGAAACCCCGTCTCTACTAAAAATACAAAATTAGCCGGATGTGGTGGCGCATGCCTGTAATTCCAGCTACTTGGGAGGCTGAGGCAGGAGAATCGCTTGAAGCTAGAAGGCAGAGGTTGTGGTGAGCCGAGATCGCGCCATTGCACTCCAGCCTGGGCAACAAGAGCAAAATTCCATCTCAAAAAAAAAAAAAAAAAAAGAAATGGCCTGTGTCAGGACATCATGATAAAGACATGGGTGTTCAGGGGTGGCTGGCCTGCAGGCTAAGAAGGAACAATAATCTGACAGTGAGGACAAATTCCCAATTTGAAGATGGTGTAGCTTAGGAAAGGCAGAAATCCAGCACTGGTGCGAAAAGAAAAAAAAAAAGGAAAAATGCAAAGGTTATCCTAGGATTAAGAATAAGGGTGAGGAGCCTACTCAGATTAGGAAAGGTGACTGGTCTAGGATGCACTTGGGTGACAGTTAGGAGGGCTTTGATACAAAAGAGGCCTTTAAGTCAGGAGACCTGATATTGCAGCTGGGCCTCCAGCAGGCTGTGTGACCTTGGACAAGTCCCTTGCCCTGTCGGGGCCTCAGTCTCCTCATCTGTACCATTAGGGATTGCACTGCATGCGCTCAGAGGTCCCTTCCAGCACCAACGTTGTGAGGTTCCATCAACAGAAGGGCTCAGTCCTGCTTACAAGTTTGTGTGTGAAGGAAGAACTAGAGGGAGGGGCCTAGGCCAGATTTGGGTGGAGGAGAGAGAAAGCAGCGCTGTTCTAGGTCAGGGGCTTGGCATGGAAAGAGAAGGGGCCGTAGGGGACTGCGGGGCGGCTGTCCCAGGCGGGTAGGAAGAGGAGACAAGGGGCTGCTCAGGGCGGGGCGAGGGGGCAATTCTGGAGGAAGGTGCAGTTTCAGATGAGGGGCTGCCCAAACCGAAGGGGGATCGGGGCCAGGGGTGATGGGGGGGACAGAAAAAGCAGGACAGTGACCTGGGAATGGGGCAGATCTGGAAGAAGGAGGTTACCCTGGGCCGGGGGTAAGAGAAGGGAAGAAGGGAGGGAGGTGTATGTGGGGGGAGTCTCTCCGGGGCAAGGTGGGGGAGCTGTCCTAGCTGCGGCACAAGCTGGGGGTGCTGCCAGCCGCGGGGGCGGAGGGCTGGCCCCAGGAGTCCTGCGGGGGCTGGACGGGAGGGTCAGTCTGGGGCTGTCCCGGGCCTGGCTCCGGCCCCTCCCAGAGCTCCGCGCAGGCTCCAAGGCGGCGGTGGGGGAAAAAGGGCCACGCTCACCTTCTCCTTTTTCAGTTTATAGGGCATCTCGGCCCGTCCGGACCCGGCCCGTCTCCTGCGGCCCCGCTCCGGCTCCGGCTTTGCTCGGCCGCACTCGGCCCGCTCGGCGTCTCTTCGCCACCGCCTGCGCGCTGCGCCCGGGTCGAGCGGTGCCTGCGCCTCCAATTGGCCCGAACTCCTACAAAACTGCCTGACAACCAGGCGCCGCCTCCTCGGATTGGTCATTGGAGCCAAGCTGCTTCCTTTTTTTCTTATTGGAAAGAAATAGTACAAACCGCCAGGGTTCGGCTTCCAGAATTGGCTGAAGTGGGTGGTCCCGCCCTAAAGTGGGTCGAGCTTAGAGAAGGAGGCGGGGATAAGGGGAAACCCAAGCTTGGCTAGGAGGGCTGCACTCCAGCGTCTGCTGTGCGTCGGCCTCGGCCATTCTTCGCGGCGCTTGGAGCCCTGCTCTTTCCTTCTAAAGGCTCTCACACTTTGCCCGCTCTGCTACCCTGTCCAGTCGGAATTGGAGGAAGGAAGCCCTAATACGGAGGGCACCTTTCTTCACTGGGGTAAAGTAGCCCTAATTGCAGATGCAAAATTGATGGAGGGAGCTCCCAAGGACCTTCCAAGACACCCGCCTCCCTAGACAGGGGTTGCAGAGGAGCAAAGGGGAAGCCTGGCAGGGCTAGGACCTGGGCGAAATGAGTGGAGAATCCCTGGCTTGGTGCAACTTTAGGAAGAGGGTCCCCGTTGCTACTGCAAGTGTACTGGGATTGGGGAACCAGCTAGATTTGAGCAGTTGGGAACGCAGTGGAAAAGCAACTTCATTGTTGACTGTCTCAGGAAATCCATCCCTTACTTGCCACCCTGCTCAAGTCCGTGTTCTAATGGGTAAGACTCAGTTTATGCCCACAAAGAGTTCGCAGTCTGGTGAATCACAGATGTGTATAAACAAAGGATTAAGAGAGAATGTAAACCAGGCAGGCACGGTGTCTCACGCCTGTAATCCCAACACTTTGGGAGGCTGAGGCAGGAGGATCACCTGAGGTCAGAGGTTCGAGACCAGCCTGGCCAACATGGCGAAACCCCGTCTCTATTAAAAATACAAAAATTAGCTGGGTGTGGTGGTGCACGCCTGTAATCCCAGCTACTCGGGAGGCTGAGGCAGGAGAATCACTTGAACCCGGGAGACGGAGGTTGCAGTGAGCCGAGATCACACCACTGCACTCCAGCCTGGGCGACAGAGCAAGACTCTGTCTCAAAACAGCAACAATGACGACAAAAAGAATAAACCTGTGGCCAGGCTCGGTGGCTCACGCCTGTAGTCCCAACACTTTGGGAGACCAAAGTGGGCAGATCACGAGGTCAGGAGTTTGAGACCAGCCTGACCATAGTGGTGAAACCCCATTTCTACTAAAAATACAAAAATTAGACAGGGTGCGGTGGCTCACGCCTGTAATCCCAGCACTTTGGGAGGCCGAGGTGGGCGGATCACGAGTCAAGAGATCGAGGCCATCCCGGCCAACATGGTGAAACCATGCCTCTATGAAAAATACAAAAATTAGCGGGGCGTGGTGGCGCGCGCCTGTAGTCCCAGCTACTCGGGAGACTGAAGCAGGAGAATCACTTGAACCCGGTAGGAGGCTGAGGCAGGAGAATTACTTGACCCCGGTAGGTGGAGGTTGCAGTGAGCCGAGATCATGCCACTGCGCTCCAGCCTGGGCGACAGAGCAAGACTCCGTCTACAAAAAAAAAAGAAGAAACCTGTGATGCAAAGGCATGAGAATGATACAATGGAGGCCGGGCGCGGTGGCTCACGCCCGTAATCCCAGCACTTTAGGAGGCCGAGGCGGGCGGATCACGAGGTCAGGAGATCGAGACCATCCTGGATAACACGATGAAACCCCGTCTCTACTAAAATAATACAAAAAAATAGCCGGGCGTGGTGGCAGGCGCCTGTAGTCCCAGCTACCCGGGAGGCTGAGGCAGGAGAATGGCGTGAACCCGGGAGGCAGAGGTTGCAGTGAGCCTAGATCATGCCACTGCACTCCAGCCTGGGCGACAGAGCAAGACTCCGTCTCAAAAAAAAAAAAAAATACTACACATTGGGTACAGTATACACTGCTTGGGTGATGGCTGCATCAAAATCTCATAAATCACCACTAAAGAACTTATTCATGTACAAAAAATAAATTTTTAAAATTCTATATAAAATAAAATATTTAGTCTTAAAAAAAAAAAAGGTCAGGCGCAGTGGCTCACGCCTGTAATCCCAGCACTTTGGGAGACTGAGGAGGGCGGATCACCTGAGGTCAGGAGTTCAGGACCAGCCTGGCCAACATGGCAAAACCCCGTCTCTACAAAAATACAAAAATTAGCCAGGCATGACGGTGGGTGCCTGTAATCCCAGCTACTCAGGAGGCTGAGGCAGGATAATCCATTGAACCCGGGAGGTGGAGTTTGCAGTGAGCCGAGATCGCACCATTGCATTCCAGCCTGGGCGACAGGGCAAGACTCCATCTGAAAAAAAAAAAAAAAAACACAAAACCTGTGTCCCTTACCCAGGTACCCAGGAGAGCAATGTTACAAGACAGTGGCCGTGGGGATGGAGAAGAGAGGATGGAGCATGAAAATGTGTAGAATCAACAGGATATGGTGATTCATTGTATTGTGGGGGGGACGGTAACGGAAAGGGAAGAGTTGAGGATGATTTCTGGAAGTGATCAGAGTTGTAGGAGGACAACTGGTGTCATAATGGCAAAGGAAATAAAAGACAATTGGTCAGTAGTGTCAGAGAAAGAACAGCATCATCTTGATTCTGCAATTAGAAGATTATGGGTGATTTTTTCAGAGAGTGGAAGACCGTTTTTAGTGAGTGGAAGAGTGAGCATCAAGAGGTGAGGAAGTGAAGATGGCAAATGTAGGGTCCTGGCGATCTTACAGAAGTAGTATTTGGCTTTCGGTGACTAATGACGATTTCAGGGTAACACAAAGTGGACTACATGCCCGCTGTTACCTGCTGGGAGAAAAGCTTGGGAGAAAAGGACATTTATTTGTGGGTGGGTATTTGTGTCTGTATGAGTGCTGATCCAGGCAAGATAACTGATGTTTTTACCCATCTCCAAGGCCTCAAGGAGCACTATAGTCCTGAGGCCTAGAGCTTGCCTGCTACTGAGGAAAGCAGGCATATCCTCTTTAGGCCCATGTACCATCTATCTAGCCCTTGGTTCCTCTGGGACATAGGGGACCAAGAAACATATAGTAGCACTACCAAATGGGAACTTTCATCCATGTGAATCTAGGTACCTAGAACATTCTTTATTTAGTTTTTTTTTCTTTTAATTTTATATATTTTAAGAGACAAGGTCTTGCTCTGTCACCCACTTGGAGTGCAGTGGCACAATCATAGCCTCAAATTCCTGGGTTCAAGTGATCCTTCTGCCTCAGCCTCCCCATAGCTGGGATTATAGACACAAGCCATGGTTCCTGGTTAGTACATTCTTGCATGCTATTTTATTTATTTTTTTCTATTATTTATTTTTTTGAGACGGAATCTCACTCTGTCACCCAGGCTGGAGTGCAGTGGCGCAGTCTCGGCTCACTGCAAGCTCTGTCTCCCGGCTTCACGCCATTCTCCTGCCTCAGCCTCCCGAGTAGCTGGGACTACAGGCACACACCACCATACCCAGCTAATTTTTGTATTTTTAGTAGAGACGGGGTTTCACCATGTTGGCCAGGCTGGTCTCAAACTCCTGGCCTCAAGCAGTCCACCCACTTGGCCTCCCAAAGTGCTGGGATTACAGCCATGAGCCACTGCGCCCAGCCCCTTATAATATGCAAATCTAATAGTTTTCATATATTTGTCTTTCAAATTTTCAGGAATGTATAATGTACAAAATAGAAGACTGCCTCAAGAAGAAAGGAGAGATGGAGAAAGCTGAGCAGTAGCTGAAAGAGAATGTAAGGTCTAGAAAATGGAGATTGGCACCATCCAATTCATTTATTGTAAGTGAAAATAATTGTTAATAATTGGAAATGCAGTGGGACATGATGGCTTATGCCTGTAGTCCCAGCACTTTGGGAGGCTGAGGCCTGAGGATCTCTTCAGACCAGGAGTTTGAGACCAGCCTAGGCAACACAGAGAAACTCTGTCTCTACAAAAAATAAAAAATTAGTCCAGGCGCAGTGGCTCATGCCTGTAATCCCAGCACTTTGGGAGGCGTAAGCAGGTGGCTCACTTGAAGCCAGGAGTTCGAGACCAGCCTGACCAACAGGGTGAAACCCCGTCTCTACTGAAAATACAACATTAGCTGGGTGTGGTGGCACACACCTGTAATCTCAGCTACTTGGGAGGCTGGGGCAGGAGATTCTTTGAACCTGGGAAGCGGAGATTGCAGTGAGCTGAGATCGTGCCATTGCACTCTGGCCTGGGCAACAAGACCGAAACTCCGTCTCAAAAAAAAAATTGGCTGGGTATGGTGGCGTGTGCCTGTGGTCCCGGCTACAGTTACTCGGGAGGCTGAGGTGGGAGATCACTTGAGCCTGGGACGGTAGAAGCTGCAATGAATGGGGATCGTGCCACTGTACTCCAACCTGGGTGACAGAGTAGGACCCTGTTGCCATAAAAAAGGAAATGTGGCCTACCACTAGCTGAGTGTCTTGTACAGAACAGTGGAGGTGAAGAGAAGGATGGAATCTAAATAACAGCACACGCAGGAAGTCGACTGTTGGTGTTATGCTGACAGAAGCCTTGAACTCCTTTCCTTCTGCCTGCTCTGCTGCCTGCCCCGCTCTAGGATAGAAAGTGAATGGGTTTCCGATCTGCAAGGATTTGGGGGGGGGGGGTGAAAGAAAAGCTGTTTTGTCTTCAACTTAAGTTTGGTGGGAGTAAAACAAACAGAACAATGAACAGGGCAAGAAGTCCTGGAACATGGGTTTTGTGCCAGATGTGCTGGAACATGTGTGGTGGCACCAAGCACTCCAGGGCTGTATGAATCACATCTAGTAATTCACTCAGCAGCCACTATATACCTATAAGCAAGTGTGAGACAGTTTTCTAATCCTGCTACTCCCTCCTGCAACCTTTCCTGCAACCCTCAAACCTCAGTGCTCACAGTTCCACAGGGGAAGCTGCAGGAGCTCCGCAGAGGAGCGGACTCCTTCCGAAACATTTCACCTAGAGCTCCCAGTACTGGGCCCAGTCATCCCGAGCATGCTGACTGTTCATTTATCAGTCAATAAACTGTTACGTTCATGCCACGGGGAAAAATAGTTAAGAGAACATTACTTCCGTAGAAGGCAAAGATAAATCCCTTAAGCACAAGTTCAAATGGCGCATGGGTAAACGCTACGCAACCGCAGCGATGAAGGTTACTGCCTATCGAGGCACGACGCAGATCAATCCGAGGCGCAGCTAACCCCCTCAGAGCAAGTTCGCGGCACCCGACCCCCCTCCCCTTTTCCTCTGGCCTCCCCTGACGGAAGCGGAAGCGGCCCTCGCGCACACTAGTCGTCTGGCTCTCTGGCTCCGGAAGCTGCGCTCCTTCACCCTCCTCGTTGGTGTCCTGTCACCATGGCGCTGGCTGTCTTGCGGGTCCTGGAGCCCTTTCCGACCGAGACACCCCCGTTGGCAGTGCTGCTGCCACCCGGGGGCCCGTGGCCGGCGGCGGAGCTGGGCCTGGTGCTGGCCCTGAGGCCTGCAGGGGAGAGCCCGGCAGGGCCGGCGCTGCTGGTGGCAGCCCTGGAGGGGCCGGACGCGGGCACCGAAGAGCAGGGTCCCGGGCCGCCGCAGCTACTGGTTAGCCGCGCGCTGCTGCGGCTCCTGGCACTGGGCTCCGGGGCCTGGGTGCGGGCGCGGGCGGTGCGGCGGCCCCCGGCGCTAGGTTGGGCACTGCTTGGCACCTCGCTGGGGCCTGGGCTCGGACCGCGAGTCGGGCCGCTGCTGGTGAGGCGCGGAGAGACCCTCCCAGTGCCCGGACCGCGGGTGCTGGAGACGCGGCCGGCGTTGCAAGGGCTGCTGGGCCCAGGGACTCGGCTGGCTGTGACTGAGCTCCGCGGGCGGGCCAGACTGTGTCCAGAGTCTGGGGACAGCAGTCGGCCCCCACCCCCGCCCGTGGTGTCCTCCTTTGCGGTTTCTGGCACAGTGCGGCGACTCCAGGGAGTTCTGGGAGGGACTGGAGATTCACTAGGGGTGAGCCGGAGCTGTCTCCGTGGCCTTGGCCTCTTCCAGGGCGAATGGGTGTGGGTGGCCCAGGCCAGAGAGTCATCGAACACTTCACAGCCGCACTTGGCTAGGGTGCAGGTCCTAGAACCTCGCTGGGACCTCTCTGATAGACTGGGACCCGGCTCTGGACCGCTGGGAGAGCCCCTCGCTGACGGACTGGCGCTTGTCCCTGCCACTTTGGCTTTTAATCTTGGCTGTGACCCCCTGGAAATGGGAGAGCTCAGAATTCAGGTAGGATAAAGGACTGGGGTCAGGAGTGCTTCCTCTTTCTTATACCCTCTTCTCTGTCTTAGGTAAATTGGAAGATTTAGGACTCGTGCCCCATATCATCCCGGACTTTGAACATAATGTTTCTAGCCGGGCGCGGTGACTCACGCCTGTAATCCCAGCACTTTGGGAGGCCGAGGCGAGCGGATCACTTGGGGTCGGGAGTTCGAGACCAGCCTGACCAACATGGAGAAACCCCGTCTCTACTAAAAAAATGTAAAATTAGCCGGGCGTGGTGGTGCATGCCTCTAATCCCAGCTACTTGGGAGGCTGAAGCAGGAGAATCGCTTGAACCTGGGAGGCGGAGGTTGCGGTGAGCCAAGATCGCGCCATTGGACTCCAGCCTGGGCGATAAGAGTGAAACTCTGTCTCAAAAAAAAAAAAAAAAAAGCATAATGTTTCTTAGCCTCATTTATCTATTTTCTTTTTCTTTCTTTCCTTTTTTTTTTTTTTTTTTTTTTTTTGAGATGGGGTCTTGCTCTGTCACCCAGGCTGGAATGTGGTGATGCGATCTCGGCTTACTGCAACCTCCGCCTCCCAGGTTCAAGCGATTCTCCTGTCTCAGCCTCCTACTACTGGCTCGCGCCACGACGCCCGGCTAATTTTTGTAATTTTTAGTAGAGACGGGGTTTCACCGTATTGGTCAGGCTGGTCTCGAACTCCTGACCTCAGGTGATCCACCCAAAGTGTTGGGATTACAGGCGTGAGCCACCTCACCCGGCCTATTGATCCATATTCTGTAATCAAAATATCATAAGCCTCCATAATGTAGTGGGGCATACAAAAGGCTTTCATCCATTCAGGTGAAAGGTGAAGTTTGGGTGTGGTGGTGCATGCCTGTAATCCCAGCTACTTGGGAGGCTGAGGCAGGAGAATTGTTTGAACCTGGGAGGTGGAGGTTGCAGTGAGCCCAGATCACACCACTGCACTCCAGCCTGGACGACAGAGCGAAATTCTGTGTAAAAAAAAAAAAAAAAAAAAGTGAGGTTTCAGATGTGTATGTTAATCTACTCAATCTAATTAGTTTATTGAATTGCTACAATGTATTCAGTATTGTGCTTTATAATATGGAGGATGATGTCTCTGTGCTTTTGCTCATTCTTATCCTTGACTTCAAATTGTTTCCTATTATTCTAGCCTCATCTGTTAAAATCCTACCCTCCTTTCCCTCAAGAGCCATCTAAAGATGACACCTTTATCACAAAGCCTTTCATGATCTCACAGCCACGAATTTAGAACTTCCTCCTATAGCATTTTCTATCTTTTTTATGGCATTTATTTTATTCTATCTTGTTATGATTACATAATCTGTTTAATCCCCAATTATATATTGTAAATACCTTGAAGGAAAGGAGTCTTTATTATCTTTGGTGCCTGGTGTTTAGTTTTAATATTTTATTAAATACATCCAAGGAAAGTTTTTGGTTTCTGCCTTTACTTCAAGAAGAAAGTTGTAGAACAGATAATAGTTGTTCCATTTCCATGGGTTACTGAGTAAAGACTCACCAGTTCGCCATAACAGACATAAGAGTGACAAAAAAATAAACCTTCATTGTGTAAAAAAAAAAAAGGCCAGGCGCAGTGGCTCATGCCTGTAATCCCAGCACTTTGGGAGGCTGAGCCAGGCAGATCACTTGAGGTCAGGAGTTCGAGACCAGCCTGGCCTACATGGTGAAACCTCATCTCTACTAAAAATACAAAAATCAGCCCAGTATGGTGGTGCACACCAGTAAACCCAACAACTGGGGAGGCTGAAGCAGGAGAATCGCTTGAACCTGGGAGGTGGCAGTTGCAGTGAACCCAGATCACACCACTGCACTCCAACCTGGGTGACAGAGCAAGATTCTGTCTCAAAAAAAGAAAAAAATGAAAGTTGTGTTTAGGGGGACAAATACAGTATAGTGTTTAATTAAGGACCTAGATATATGGTTTAGATGGTGCTGTCCAATATGGAAGCCACCAGCCACTTTGTGGCTTTTTAAATTTTTAAATTTAGTTAAAACTAAATAAAGTAAGCCTGGCTAACATGGCGAAACCCCATCTCTATTTTAAAAAATACAAAAATTAAATCCCAGCACTTTGGGAGGCCAAGGCAGGCAGATCACAAGGTCAGGAGATTGAGACCATCCTGGCTAACACGGTGAAACCCCGTCTCTACTAAAAATACAAAAAAAAAAAAAATTAGGTGTGGTGGCACATGCCTGTCGTCCCAGCTACTCTGGAGGCTGAGGCAGGAGAATCCCTTGAACCCAGGAGGCGGAGCTTGCAGTGAGCCGAGATGGTGCCACTGCACTCCAGCCTGGGTGACAAGCGAGACTCCATCTCAAGAAAAAAATAAAACCCACAAAAATTAGCCAGGCATGGTGGTGCACATGCCTATAGTCCCAGCTACTCAGGAGGCTGAGGCACAAAGAGAATCATTTGAACCCAGGAGGAAGAGGTTGCAATGAGCCGAGACTGTGCCACTGCACTTCATCATGGGCGACAAAGTGAGACTAAGTCTCAAAAAAAAAAAAAAAACTAAATCATGTTTTTTAGTTGCTTTAGCTACATTTCTTTGTTTTTGTTTTGTTTTTAGCCACATTTCAAGTGCTCAATAGCACATGCAGATATAGACTATTCCATTGTAGAGAGTTCTACTGGGCAGTACTAGAGTAACCAGTTAATACTTTGGGATGTCAGGTAGAGATACATGTGAAATACATGTGAAAGGGAGTGGATGTAGGTTTCCTCCTGAATGGAGGAAAAACTACTGGGGTACTCAAGAGTAGAGCTCATTGAACCAACCAATGACTGAACCAACCCGTTCAGCTTTTCCCACAGCCTGAATTCAGTTTCCCCACTAATGACCACTTAATGTTAATCCCTGTGGATGCCTGGTGTCACTAATAGGTCTTGTGGGAATAAATGTCTTTACCATTTCACTGGCTCTGGGCCAAGTTGAAAGTGTCACAGAAAGGTTATCTTTACTGAGAAAATTTTTTGGAGCCAGAGTCGGGATAGGAGGTGATATTCTCTTCCTGGTACCCATTAGAGGGAGAGGTTTTCAGGTCTGCTACCTCAGGCCCCACCTTCCACAAGCCTTGTGGTTATGGGAAAGACAGGATGGAAATAGACATGTTGGCTGCTGAGAGACAGGTTAGAGCCTGCCCCCTTAGGAGAAGGTTATAACGTGGTGGTTATTTCTCTAATAGAGGTACTTGGAAGGCTCCATCGCCCCTGAAGACAAAGGAAGCTGCTCATTGCTGCCTGGGCCTCCATTTGCCAGAGAGTTACACATCGAAATTGTGTCTTCTCCCCACTACAGCACTAATGGAAATTATGACGGTGTTCTTTACCGGCACTTTCAGATACCCAGGTTAGCTACCTAACCTTTTAAGGAGGATAGCTTCTCACCCTCATTACATTCCTCCTATCCCATGCCTTAGAACCAAGTACCCCAGAGGCCCTGGTTAAAAGAAGCCACATTTGCGGCTAGGTGCTGTGGCTCACGTCTGTAATCCCAGCACTTTGGGAGGCCGAGGTGGGCGGATCATGAGGTCAGGAGATTGAGAGCATCCTGGCTAACATGGTGAAACCCCGTCTCTACTAAAAATACAAAAAAAAAATTAGCCGAGTGTGGTGGTGGGCGCCTGTAGTCCCAGCTACTTGGGAGGCTGAGGCAGGAGAATGGCGTGAACCCGGGAGGTGGAGCTTGCAGTGAGCCGAGATCGCACCACTGCACTCTAGCCTGGGCGACAGAGCGAGACTCCGTCTCAAAAAAAAAAAAAAAAAAAAAAAACAAAAAAAACATTTCAGACAGATTGTGGTAGGCGCCTCTTGGTATATCAGGGAGACCACAGAAGAGAAATCTGAACCATGAGGTTAATTTGGACATTCCAAACAGAGACACCTGTGATTAAAGAGGGCTCCAAAAGAGCCAGGATCCTGCTCTGCCACTCATCTGTCTCTGATCCCCCTTTCTAGTCTCTCCACCATTTCCCCTAGCTCATCCTAAGACTGACTTGTTCCTTGGAGAACTGCGTGGGATCTCTGGGCGGGCAGTAGACTCAAGAAGTAGTCTGCATGTCGGGGGTGGACATGTGGTAATGAACACATGCTCATTACTCCCATTGTGACCTGACCAGGGCCACTGCTGTGTTGCAGGGTAGTCCAGGAAGGGGATGTTCTATGTGTGCCAACAATTGGGCAAGTAGAGATCCTGGAAGGAAGTCCAGAGAAACTGCCCAGGTATGCAGCTGCCTTCTGTCCTACAGCTGGGATTTGTAACCTGGGTGCATGAGTTCTACAATCCCCTCCCTGCAAATCATGTGTAATTTGTGCCCAAGAGGATTTCGTTGTCATGTATTTTGTGTGTGCGTGTGTGTGTGTAACAGGTTCTTGCTCTGTTACCCAGGCTGGAGTTTAGTGGTGCAAACACAGCTCACTGCAGCCTCTACCTCCATGGCTCAAGTGATCCTCCCACCTCAGCACTGCCTCTGCCCCAGTAGCTGGGACTACAGGTTCGCATCACCACGCCCAGCTATTGGTTTTTGTATTTTTAGTAGAGATAGGGTTTCGCCATGTTGACCAGGCTGGGCTCGAACTCTTGAGCTCAAGTGATCTGCCTGCCTTGGCCTCCCAAAGTGCTGAGATTACAGGTGTGCACCACTCACCCCCAGCCTGTGTACATTTTTTTGGAGAGAAAATTCACCTGTCCTTCAGTTCCCAAACAAGTGTATGACTGAAGAAAGGTTAAGAACCAGTCAGGCATGGTAGTGCATACTTATAATCCCAGCTACTCAGGAGGCTGGGCAATATAGCTAGACACTGTCTCAAAAAACAAGCAAACTAAAAGAACCACTCCCTGCTGGCTTTGGGAGGTGTTTATCCTCAAACTGACTGGTGGCCCTATGTAAAGCAAAGCACTAAGAAGAGTTTAGGCCAGGTGTGGTGGCTCACGACTGTAATCCCAGCACTTTGGGAGGCTGAGGCAGGCAGATCACTTGAGGTCAGGAATTCAAGACCAGCCTGGCCAATATGGTGAAACCCTGTCTCTACTAAAAATACAAAAATTAGCCGGGTGTGATGGTGGGCATCTGTAATCCCAGCTACTCAGGAGGCTGAGGCGGGAGAATCACTTGGACCTGGGAGGCAGAGGTTGCAGTGAGCCCAGATCGCATCACTGCTCTCCAGCCTGGGTGACACAGCAAGACTCCATCTCAAAAAATAAATAAATAGGTAAAATTTAAATTCTTTTCTTTTTAAAGAAGAGTTTAATGGCCTAGACCAAGACGGGATTCCTTCCTTTCCGTTCTTAGCCTTCGTGTTATTTGGACCAAGACTTGGGCCATACCATCCATATCTCAACGTAAGGATATACAGGCTCTGATTTCTGCCTTAACTACGGAGTGTGCACAAACTACTTCTCAATCCTATCTCTGAAAACAGGAGAGGGATTTCTCTTTTTTTTTTTTTTTTTTTGAGACAGAGTCTTGCTTTGTTGCCCAGGCTGGAGTGCAGTGGCGCAATCTTGGCTCACTGCAAGCTCCGCCTCCCGGGTTCATGCCATTCTCCTGCCTCAGCCTCCCAAGTAGCTGGGACTACAGGTGCCCACCACCACGCCCGGCTAATTTTTTGTATTTTTAGTAGAGATTGGGTTTCACCGTGTTAACCAGGATGGTCTCGATCTCCTGACCTTGTGATCCGCCCGCCTCGGCCTCCCAAAGTGCTGGGATTACAGGCGTGAGCCACCGCACCCAGCCAGGGATTTCTATTGTTTTTGAGAGGGCTACCCTGTCCTATCAACAGAGAATGAGAAATAGAGCATAACCGAGCCAAGAACCCAAAATAAGGAATCCAGCTTTTCTCCTCTTGTTGACTCTGACCACAGAGGTTCCATGTAAAATGGTGAGGCAAAGAATTGAGACACTGCTTTAGCCTTATGTGTAGGGAGGAAAATGTATAGCTCTGTATCCCAGCATTCCCTGTATTCTGGACTCATTTCCTGCAGCAGTTTACTAGAAGGAGAGCACAGCTGATAGATGCACTAACTCATACATAAGAGCCTTCATGTCCAAGGTCTGTGGCATAGCCAGCCTGGGTCCTCTGCCAGGAGAGACAGTCCTTGTTTGGAGTGCCTGATGTTCATCCCTGGTCAATATCCAGTGCTTGGTTCTGGCCAGTGCTCAGTACCCCCAGTCTCAGGGTGGTGGTGCTCTGTGGAACCCCATTTAGGCTCCATGTCACCTCTTCGAGGTTTTCCAGATTAAGTCCACGAGTCTGGTGGAAAATGCCAGGCTGGCACTTAGCAGTCACTTCCCACCTCTCTCTCCTATCATAAATTTAGCAAACGTCTTTGAGCTAGCTTTCAGTAGGAAAACTACAGAATGCCCACTCTTTGTACTTTCAAAGGAAAATAGGCACTAGAACCTCATGAGACAGGCTGGCAAGCCAGTTCTGTTCCTGAACTTCTATTGTCTCAACTCTGTAGAACCCTGCTTTCCTCCTGAGTGCCGAGCACATAGTTCTTTTCCCCGCAAGGAAAGCAGGGTTGGAGTAAGTGGCCCAATGGGTCCAAGGACAGATACAGATGAGCGTTTTAAGCTGCACTGGGCTTGAGAAGGGAAGCCCTGCAGAAGTTCCTGTGAGCCCTGGAAAGGAATTCCACTGTTGGTGTAGCCTCTTCATCCTGTCCCTGGTGCTCCACTTCCCCAAACCAGGCTGCATGGGAGCCAGCTCCACTATCACCTATCTGGCTGGCTGGAGCACAGCTCAGTGTTCCTTAGCAGTGTCCACATAGGTTCCAGAGCTCTGGCCTTTCTATTCACTGAGGTGGTCCAACCACCCTCCACTGAAGAAGGTGGTCTCTCCCTATGCCACAGTGCTGTCCCCCATCTCATTCCTATGCAGGGCTTCCATGGTGAGTCATACACACCATGACTCAGCTGTTGAGCTTGATCGAGATCCTAGGTTAGAGGCCCACTGTCACCTATTTATAATTAATTATAGGCAGATTCAGGCTTCCTGATGTTCCAGGTTTACTGTAGTACTTAGAAGAGTTTCATAATACTAACCTGGTATGCTTCCCCTCCACCTTGCTGCACTCTCACACCCCTTTGCTGCTAGAGAGAGCAGCTTTGAGACTGTGGGGCAGTGTGAGCAGAGGAATTTGCAGCCTGATTGGACCTTAAAGAGGACTAGGTTATAGCCTGACTCTGTCATTGCCTTGCTGCCTGAGGATTAAAGAGGGAAGTAGTTCATGATTTCTTTATCTGGAAAATTGGGTTAGTAGCTGTTCCTGCTACCCATCCTATTCCCCGTTAGTAGGTTGAATAACCCTAACTCACTATGACACTCGCCAACTACTGCGCAGCCCTGGTTATGCATCAGAATTGCTGGGGAAGCTTTCAAAAAATACAGGTGCCTAAGCCCCACCCCAGATCTATTGGGGCAGAATCAGGGTGAGACTGGAGCCTGTGCTTTTTTTCCTTCACAAAGGAAGGAGAAAGGTTAATTTTAAAAACATAAAATTCACACACCATAAAACCATACTTTTAAAGTATACAATTCAATTTTTTTATTCATAAGGTTGTACAGCCAACATCACTGTTTCATTCCAGAACATTTTCAACATCTCAAAAAGAAACTCTGCACCCATTAGCAGTCATTCCCTGTAGCTTCCCTCATAGGCAATGGCAACTGCTGATCTGCTGAATAGAATCATATAATATGTGAGAAATGTTTAGTTTTTAAAGTTACACAGATAATTCCAATGTGCAGCCAGAATACAGAACCATTATTCATCAGATGGCATTATTAAGGACTCCGCCTGCAATGAGATTTTGTGGATTATTGAGTAAGAGCCAAGGGACCCTTCCCCCTAGGGTTTTTGGGGCCTGGATGGCTGTGTATTTGAGGGGGAGACCGAAGCCAGTAGAAGTAATCAGATGATCCACTGCTTAGTGCAGCAGCAGCTTCTCCCATTGGTGTGGGTGGGTAGGCCACATGCCTGGAGAAACACACCCCCTCAGAGCTCTCATGGCTGTCATGGGGGATGCAGAGGGACAGGCATAGCTCTTGCCCTCAAGGTGTGTATGGTCTGTCAGGAAGATGAGAAAGTCCATCTGCATTCCTTTTCCCCACCATGACTCGGGACACGCTCTTGTGGTGCTTTTGTTTGTCCTCTGTGATTGAGAAACCTTGTCCTTGAGGAGGGGGGTTTTTGGACTCTGGATCTGGGGTTCATTGGGCCTTTTTCCTGCAGGTGGCGGGAAATGTTTTTTAAAGTGAAGAAAACAGTTGGGGAAGCTCCAGATGGACCAGCCAGTGCCTACTTGGCCGACACCACCCATACCTCCTTGTACATGGTGAGGCCCCAAGGATGGGTGTAGACCAGCGCAGGGGGTAGAAACGATTTTTAGAAACGAAAGCTTTTTATTACCTTTCACAGGTGGGTTCTACCCTGAGCCCTGTTCCATGGCTCCCTTCAGAGGAATCCACTCTCTGGAGCAGTTTGTCTCCTCCAGGCCTGGAGGCCTTGGTGTCTGAACTCTGTGCTGTCCTGAAGCCTCGCCTCCAGCCAGGGTGAGTGAGGTCATCACCCCAGGGTGTGAGAAAAGCCTGCTTAGAACATCCCTGGAGGAGCAGCAGCCAGATGGGTAGTTCCTAATGAACTGGCCAGAGTGGGATTGGGAGGACCTTCCTCAAACCAGTATGTCCTACACAAGGCCACCAGGCCACTCCTTTCTGTAAGCCAATTCCCAGGCTCCTTTCCTGGGATAACCTCTGTCCTCCAGGGCTGGCTCTGGAGGAAGAATCTCCAGCAGGGGCATCTGTTTCTGAGACTGCCCTTCCCCTTGGGGAGCTCACTGGCCATCCTGCACTTTACTGCCCTGGCCCTGAAGGACACAACTCCTCATACCAGTGGCCCAGGTGTGGACGCAGATCCCCACCTCAGTGCCACCACAATGTCTCTCAATACCATTCAGACCAGTCATAACGTTGAGGTTTTATTGGCAGCACAGCAATGCCAAAGGGAATTAATTAGTCTTTGGCTGTTGGATATGCTGGATGCCCCGGCCAGAGCACCGCAGGTGGTGTGGGAGACACAGCCTCACTACATGGGGACAGCCCTGTCCTGGGGTCAGGGAGGCTCAAGGAGAGAAAAACAGGGTATCTGCTTTCTAGATCTAAGGGATCTTGTGTTACTGGGGACTCTAATGTTTGGGCAAAATGAAGGAGACGAATGTCTGTTCTCTGGTTGCAGGGGTGCCCTGCTGACAGGAACTAGCAGTGTCCTTCTACGGGGCCCCCCAGGCTGTGGGAAGACCACAGTAGTTGCTGCTGCCTGTAGTCACCTTGGGCTCCACTTACTGAAGGTGAGGGTCTCTGGAGAGTAGAACCCCAGCTACTTCCCCTCCCCAGCTCATGTTCTCCCTCTCTGCTGCTTCCTCTCCCCTCCCTCCTCTGTCTACTCACAGGCCCTAGCACTTCAGCCCAGTGGGTCAGGCATATTCCCATGATGCTGAGCTATGGAGAGGTACTTTCAAGGAGGAGGGAGTTGCAAGATATTGGTGGACAGTCCAGGGAATGGGATAGGGTAAAAAAGAGGTAGGACTTGGCCAGGGTACCTTCCCTGTCCCTGCCCTCCAGAGAAAAAGATGGCCCACATCTTCCACCTCCTCCTCCCCTGATTCTCCTGCCCTTGTCATGCTTTCCCCTTGCTCACAGACCCATTGGGATCCCCTCCCCAGGTGCCCTGCTCCAGCCTCTGTGCAGAAAGTAGTGGGGCTGTGGAGACAAAACTGCAGGCCATCTTCTCCCGGGCCCGCCGTTGCCGGCCTGCAGTCCTGTTGCTCACAGCTGTGGACCTTCTGGGCCGGGACCGTGATGGGCTGGGTGAGGATGCCCGTGTGATGGCTGTGCTGCGTCACCTCCTCCTCAATGAGGACCCCCTCAACAGGTACTTATACAGAGCTGGGCCTCTCAAAGCTGGGGGGGCCGGCTGGGCGCGGTGGCTCACACTTATAATCCCAGCACATTGGGAGGCCGAGGCAGGTGGATCACCTGCCTTGATCAGGAGTTCAAGACCAGCCTGGCCAACATGGTGAAACCCTGTCTCTACTAAAAATACAAAAATTAGCTGGGTGTGGTGGCGGGTGCCTGTAATCCAGGCTACTTGGGAGGCTGAGGCAGGAGAATCACTTGAGCCCAGGAGGCGGAGGTTGCAGTGAGCCAAAATCATACCATTGCACTCCAGCCTGGGCGACAAGAGCAAGACTCAGTCTTAAAAAAAAAAAAAAAAGGGGGAGCGGGGGGGCCAGCCCTCCTACTTTTCAGCCTTTCAGTCCTCCCTTCTCTCACCCCTCAGTGGCTTCTCAGTCATCTCCCATCCATTTGGCTGCCCTCTAGACAGCCCTGAGCTCCGTGTCTTTAGAGGGATCCAGAGGGAGGAGTCTGTGGTCTAGCATTTCTTGGGGAACACTCGGTTAAAGAAAAAGCCTCTGCCCTCAATGTGATGGGGGAAACACAGTTCCCCCATCTAGGAACTGGGGTAGATGCTCATCTCCCTACCCCATCCTAGCACCCACCTCACTTCCCTGCCCTTCTGTGCCGACTTTGGGACAAGGCAGTCCACAGGAGCTGCCAGCCATGTTCTCACCCTCAGTGCCCACTCCTCTGTCTGCAGCTGCCCTCCCCTCATGGTTGTGGCCACCACAAGCCGGGCCCAGGACCTGCCTGCTGATGTGCAGACAGCATTTCCTCATGAGCTCGAGGTGCCTGCTCTGTCAGAGGGGCAGCGGCTCAGCATCCTGCGGGCCCTCACTGCCCACCTTCCCCTGGGCCAGGAGGTGAACTTGGCACAGCTAGCACGGCGGTGTGCAGTGAGTATCAAGGGAGAGTACTGGCCCTCCCTAGGAGGTCCCTGGCTTTTGTTACAAGAACTCAGTCCTGTTGCCTTGTGAGTGAGAGTAGAAAACCCAGCGCGGGCGCCGTGGCTCACGCCTGTAATCCTAGCACTTTGGGAGGCCGAGGTGGGCGGATCACCTGAGGTTGGGAGTTTGAGACCAGCCTGGCCAACATGGAGAAACCCCGTCTCTACTAAAAATACAAAGTTAGCCAGGTGTGGTGGCACATGCCTGTAATCCCAGCTACTTGGGAGGCTGAGGTGAGATAATCGCTTGAACCCGGGTGGAAGTTGCGGTGAGCCGAGATCGCGCCATTGCACTCCAGCCTGAGCAACAAGAGCAAAACTCCGTCTCAAAAAAAAAAAAAAAAAAAAAACAACAAACCTAAGGCATCAACAGAGGGCCTCTGCTCTAGCTGGGGGACGGTCCCTGAAGGTTCCTGCCTACTGTGCCCTGCTCATGTGTCCTTTCCTGTGGTTCCCTAGGGCTTTGTGGTAGGGGATCTCTATGCCCTTCTGACCCACAGCAGCCGGGCAGCCTGCACCAGGATCAAGAACTCAGGGTAAGAGGACGTGGGCACCGGAAAGGCGGAAAGAGGAAATGGATGTAGATGGGTGGGTGGTGAGGAAGGGAGAAGGGAATGGGACGCTGATGGTGAGGAGGCTTCCCTGTGTTCCTCTTTGCAGTTTGGCAGGTGGCTTGACTGAGGAGGATGAGGGGGAGCTGTGTGCTGCCGGCTTTCCTCTCCTGGCTGAGGACTTTGGGCAGGCACTGGAGCAACTGCAGACAGCTCACTCCCAGGCCGTTGGAGCCCCCAAGGTGGAGACCAAGTCCTTGGAGGTGGGACAGGAGCCCCTCCAAGAGCATATCCCAACCACGCACTTTCCATCTCCTAGATCCCCTCAGTGTCCTGGCATGATGTGGGTGGGCTGCAGGAGGTGAAGAAGGAGATCCTGGAGACCATTCAGCTCCCCCTGGAGCACCCTGAGCTACTGAGCCTGGGCCTGAGACGCTCAGGCCTTCTGCTCCATGGGCCCCCTGGCACCGGCAAGACCCTTCTGGCCAAGGCAGTAGCCACTGAGTGCAGCCTTACCTTCCTCAGGTGGCCAGGGGGCCTGGAAGGGATGGTGGGTGGATCAGGGGCTGCAGCAGGCTGGGGAGCAGGAGGGGCTGCCCAAGAGGTCAATTGTGTGTATGTGCATCTGACGGCTCTCACCTTCTCACATCCTCTCACTCAGCGTGAAGGGGCCAGAGCTCATTAACATGTATGTGGGCCAAAGTGAGGAGAATGTGCGGGAAGGTGAGTGAGCAGGGAGGGGCAGGGCGTCCCATGCTTCCCAAACCCCGATGGCCCCCAAGCCACCCCCTACTCCCAGGCTACTCATGATCATTCCTAATCCTCCTTTCTACAAGTCAGGTTCCTGCCCAGCTGGGTCTAGTACCTGGGATGCCAGTGCTGTATTGTCAGGCCCCAGTTTCCCTCCCTGCTCTCACCTAACTTCAACCCCCCACAAGCCGAGCTTTGCCCTCCTGTGGGCCCCTCTCTCTCTTCAGTGTTTGCCAGGGCCAGGGCTGCAGCTCCATGCATTATCTTCTTTGATGAACTGGACTCTTTGGCCCCAAGCCGGGGGCGAAGTGGAGATTCTGGAGGAGTGATGGACAGGTAGGGGTCTGAGTGGGAATGAAAGCTGAGGGGTCCAGGGTGGGAAGGATATGAGAAAGCTCACAGCAGTCTTCAGAGTCCAGAGATAGAAGTTCCTGCTGTTTCAGTTCTGAGATAATATAATGGAAGCTGAAAGGGGCCATGAAATTGGGCAGGGTCCACTGAGGAGAATGGGGGCCTACCTGGTGGGGCACATTGGGCACAGCTGAGTGGAGGGCCCTGTTGAGACTGCCTGTAAAGAGAGGTACCACAGGCAGGGGCAGAGTCTAAGGGGGACACCAAGGACTCTTGCCCTTGCTCCCTTCTCTCCAGGGTGGTGTCTCAGCTCCTTGCCGAGCTAGATGGGCTGCACAGCACTCAGGATGTGTTTGTGATTGGAGCCACCAACAGACCAGATCTCCTGGACCCTGCCCTTCTGCGGCCTGGCAGGTGGGCCCCTTGTACTGCTCATCTCCACCCTCATTTTGTGCCTCCTTCACCCCTCATGGCTGGGCTCCCTGAAACTTATACCTGCCTATCTCCCTAAAGATTTGACAAGCTGGTGTTTGTGGGGGCAAATGAGGACCGGGCCTCCCAGCTACGCGTTCTAAGTGCCATCACACGCAAGTATGCTCTGTTAGAGGAAGACTGCGAAGGGCTTGGGCCTTGGGATGCTTAGGGGATGCATGCAACATGCAGGATGAGCTGGTCAGCACTGGCTTTCGAGGGAGGAGGTGATGCCAACTCTGTTTCTTCCTGTATCCCACAACAGATTCAAGCTAGAGCCATCTGTGAGCCTGGTAAACGTGCTAGATTGCTGCCCTCCCCAGCTGACGGGCGCGGACCTCTACTCTCTCTGCTCTGATGCTATGACAGCTGCCCTCAAACGCAGGGTTCATGACCTGGAGGAAGGTGAGCCACTTGCCGGTCTGAGAGGTCAACCAAAAAGCTAGTGGGGAGCTGGGTGCACCTGAGTCCCAGCTACTTGAGAGGCTGAGGTGGGAGGATCGCTTGAGCCCAGGAGTTTGAGGCCAGCCTGGGCAACACAGAGAGACCCCAACTCTAAAAAAAATGTTTAAGGGAAAAAAAAAACTAGTGGGAGACAAACCTAGTCCTGGATTCCAGAGGGAAGATCATTGACATCTAGGAGACCCTGAGCAGGAAGCCACCTTCGCAGGGCTCTCCCCTGCCTGGGCATAGACCACAGCCTCCCCACCTTGTCATCTCCAGGGCTGGAGCCAGGTAGCTCAGCACTGATGCTCACCATGGAGGACTTGCTGCAGGCTGCCGCCCGGCTGCAACCCTCAGTCAGTGAGCAGGAGCTGCTCCGGTACAAGCGCATCCAGCGCAAGTTTGCTGCCTGCTAGGAGCCCCCCAGGGTCTGGGACCCCGCTCAGCATGGCTGCAGGTACCTTGATAGCCCACAGAGAGATCTGGGAAGGAAGGGCTCCTCCTCAGGCTGCTGCCAACCCACCTGGAGGCCACCTCCCTCCAGGAGATCCCAGGGTGCAAAGTGGCATTGAGACAGCAGCAACAGCTCAAGAGATATCTCCTGCCTACTTGCCCCTCCTTCCAGGCCGGCTCTAAGAGAAAGGCCCATCTACTCAGGAAGAGGGCCAGGGCCTTGGGTTCTGGGGATTGGGCCCTGAGAGGGCTAGTTCTGTGGCTGAAAATAAAGCATGTCCCGCCCCCTACTGGTGTTGTGGCATGAAAGGTTGGAGTGAGAAAGAGCAGGGTTGTGGGAGGAGTAAGCCCTGGGAGAGGGTGGGGGGGTGGGCAGCATGGGAGCCTGATCCTTCTGACATAAATAAACACAATGCATGCAGGAACTGAAAAAGACTATATTGTTTACCCTTCCGTCTGTGGAACCCACATCCCTGCACCCCAGCTGTAGTCTGCTCTAGAGGCTGGCCCTGGTGTGGGGCTGCTGGTCCCCATCTTCCAGACAGAGCCTAGCAGTGCCTGGGCAGAGGCTTGTGGGAGCTGAGGCCACACTCAGTCTGTCCTCTTGAGCACGTGGATGAAGTAGCAGGGAATGTAGGTTTGGCCTGGCTTGTAAGGCTTGAAGTCGCCCAGGACGCTGTGCTGGCACTTACCTCCGAAGGCTGCTTGGAGCAGCTCCGTGAAGGATGCCAGACAGTGTGGGTAGTAGGAGAGCCGGAACTTACTGTAACAGAGGCCCCAGCAACCATGAGGACTGGTGACCTCAGCTCCCCCAACTACCGCCTCACCCCCACTAAGCCAAGTGGTACCTCAAGCCAGGAGAGCCATCCTGGCCAGCCCCCGGCACCTGCACCGTATAGTCCAGGGTCACCATGTGGGCCTTGTTGTTCACTATCAGCACTGATGTTGTGACGTCCTTGGTCAAGTCACTCTGTAGGTGGTGGGGCAGCCGGCATTAGCCTCTGTAACCCACCTTGGGGCCACTGGACCCTCCCTCCACCCCACCCCCACCCCCACCCCCACCCCCACCCCAGAGGGCCCCACCTTATAGTAGATGTTCTTCCCTGGGGGTGCACAGCCTGTACTGAGGATGTGGTCGTAGTTGCGATGATCAATGACCAGTAGGCCCCCTGCCCGCACCATGCTCGCAATGTTTTTCAGCGCCAGCCGGTGCTCACTCTGGTCCCCTGAGCTCCAGGCACGGGCAGAAAGACTCCATCTGCTCAGGGCCCCCAGCACCAGTCTCCCTCCCATCTCTCCCCTCCCCAGGGGTGCCAGAGCCAAGGCAGAGAGTCTGCTTTGGCAGGAGAGCAGGTGCCAGATGTCTGTGGAAGGGGGCCTCAAGGCGGGGGCCATGCCCAAGGCCACACCCTCTCTTACCTTTGCAGTCTGGCAAGTGAGCGAAACTGTTTCCAAGGCAGATGACAGCATCAAAGCCACCCTCTGCTGACTGGGGCACATCTTTGTCCAGAGTCATCCAGTTGGCTTCTTCGATGACTAGGGGTCAGGAAGAGAAAGAGGAATCAGGGAGGCACGATGGTACCAGTAGCAGCCACCTCCACCAAGTGCAGTCCTGCCTGGGTTTCTTCTTAAGACACACAAGCTCCCCGTTCAGTTAGGGGGAGGAGAAAAGAGGGATCAAGGGAGAAGGAACCCTGGTTGGGAAGGAGGGCTCTGTGCTTATGGGTTTTTCTTTGAGGGGAGGGACAAGATGCCACAAACACAGTTAAAACCAGCTCTTCACACCCGGTGTCTCATTCTGGAGCTTAAGACTTGCTTTTCAGAGAAATGACAGTAATTTTTCTGTCTCCCCGAGGAAAACACAACACTCCACCCCCGCCCCCACTTAAAGGAGCCCCAGGCAGAATGAACAGTGTTCCTGGTGACTGGGCTGGGGGAGCCTGGCTAGACCTGCATACCCCACTTGTCGAAGGCGGGCTCGTGCCGCCGGTTCCAGCGCTCCTTAAGTGCATACTTCAGCATCTTGTCACTGGCATCCACACTCGTCACACTGAAGCCCTCTTCCACCAGCATAATGGAGTCCACCCTGAGTACGGCCAGCGAGGAGAGGCAGAGAGAGGCAGTTAGGGGAGCCTGGGAGGGCCAGGAGGAGACCCTGCACTGGACACTTTTGTCTCTACTTCTCAGAGTCCGTTCCTCTGCCTCCTCTCCCCAGGCCCTCTCCACTGACCTCACAAATCTGTTTCCTGTCACCACAAGGCAACTTTTTTTTAAAAGCACCTCTTCAGAGCCAGGCACTCTACAAATATGCATTAATTCTCATGGCAATCCTGAGAGGTAAATAGTGTCATTCCCATTTGAGAGACAGACAAGCTGAGGCTCCTTGAAGTTAAAATACGTGTGCACAAAAGGCAGTAGAACATGGTGGTTTAGAGCACAGGACAAAGCCGGGCGCGGTGGCTCATGCCTGTAATCCCAGCACTTTGGGAGGCCGAGGTGGGCAGATCACAAGGTCAGGAGATCGAGACCATCCTGGCTAACACGGCGAAACCCCGTCTCTACTAAAAATACAAAATATTAGCTGGGCGTGGTGGCAGGCGCCTGTAGTCCCAGCTACTCGGGAGGCTGAGGCAGGAGAATGGCATGAACTCAGGAGGCGGAGCTTGCAGTGAGCCGAGATGGAGCCACTGCACTCCAGCCTGGGCGACAGAGCACGACTTCATCTCAAAAAAAAAAAAAAAAAAAAAGAGAAAAATAGAGCACAGGACAGATCTTAACCAACCCGGGCCTGTTAGCTCCTTTTCACTGGATGATGTATGAGGGAATTTTACTTTGCTGAGGCCTTACTTCCCCAGTAGTAAATGAGAGAATATCACTGCTTAACTTCATGGGGCTTTGTGAGGGTTTGAAAAAGTGATGTATCAAAAGCTCCTGGCACTGGGCTTGGCAGGTGCAAATGTTGAGCAATGTTAACTGTTAACACTGCCCAAGGCCATCACAGGAGGAATATTTGCAATCTGTCCGTGGCTCTGGCTCCAAAGCCTCAGGGACGCTCACTTTTTCTGCCCACACCCTCACTCACACTCAGTCTCCCTTCTCCGGGGCCTCTCCCTGCGAACCGCTACCTGGACCCCTAGCCTCACGGGGCACTCGCAGTGCCTGTTCTGCCGGGCAGGTACCTGCTCCTGGCCCTGGTGTCCCACCCGTTCCAGGATTGGCAAAGGCCGCCCTGACGTGCCCGGCCCTGTGGTTCTGCGGCCGCGCAGTACAGGCTGAGACAGACCCCGATCTCATGCAACGCCCCCGGCCCCGGCCTGGGCTCACCCAGTGCCACAGGCTACGTCGAGCACCCGCTGGCAGCCGTGCTGGCGCAGCAGCCCAAGCAGCCATGCCTTGTACTCGGCGGTGCGGCTGCGGGTGTCTCCGATATACAGCTGCCACACGCGCGCCGCCTCCCCGTCCGCGTACTGGTCCGGGAGCCCTTCGGCCGCCACCCCCAGGGAGCGGGTCCGGTACACGCTGTCCACCATCCTGCGCCGCGCCTGGCTCCGCAGCCACCCGCTCCGCACTTAAAGCATAAGCACTGCTGGCAGCCGACAGCCCCACCTGGCCAATAGCAGGTGAGCGCGCGGACACGCCCCTGCCGGGCTTTGGGCCGGGCGCCCGAGTCTGTCCAGCTGCAGGGAGGGCGCTGCCTCGCAATCCTGGGCTAGGTCCTTTTAGCCAGCCTGCGGACCCAGCCCTCTGTGCAATCCCACGGCGGGAGAGGACCCTCGGAGCCCTCTGCCCACTTAACCCGGGTCTCGAGGAGAAGGCGAGAGGGGTCAGGAGAGGCGGGAGCAATGAGATTGCCACTCCATCCCCTGAGATCCGCAGAGCTGAGCGCCAGGCGGGCAGGACTGGACCGTTCCCAGCGAAGGAAGGCATCAGCATATCTAAACAAAGATTGTGCCACCGAAGTGTGTAGGTATAGTCAGCCGGTGCAGGGAAGACAGGGGGAGTCTCTGGAGGTAAAGCTGGTCTGTCCACCGAATCCAGGGGCGGAGCCCGGCTGGAATACGGTAACACGGTAACACGGTGAAACCTGGCTAACACGTCTCTACTAAAAATAAAGAAAGATTAGCTGGGACATGGTGACACGCGCCTGTAGTCCTAGCTACTCCGGAGGCTGAGCCAGGAGAATCGCTTGAACCCGGGAAGGCGGAAGTTGCAGTGAGCCGAGTGCACCACTGCACTCCAGCCTGGGCAACAGAGCAAGACTCCGTCTCAAAAAACAAAAAGCAAAAAACAAACAAAACCCTCTGCTTTCACAGGAAGCAGGAGAATAGGGTCTAGAGACAGGGAACATAAGGCCAATTCACACTTCAGTTATAACGGGAAATATCCTCTCCATAGGGCGTATGCCCGCCATTAATAACTTTGTAACTGTAACTTTACTTCATCCTCTTCATTTACATAGGGTGTACCCCAAGTAGAGGGTATTTAAACTCACAAAATGTAACAGGGCCTTTGAGCCCCTATGCTCATGCTCGCTCCCACACTGTGGAGTGTACTTTCATTTTCAATAAAATCCTTCATTCCTTTCTTGCTTTGTTTGTGCATTTTGTCCAATTGTTTGTTCAAGATGCCAAGAACCTGGACATCCTCTACCGTTAACATATTTTGGCGAGCCAGCCAGCAGAAAGAGGTAAGCCCAAAGTTTGGGATTCATTTTTCTCCCTTTCCTTTCTGCTCAATTACAGGGCCGCTCTCGCGCTTCTCTCTCTCTCTCTCTCTCTCTCTCTCTCTCTGCCTCTCTCCTCCTTCCTTTCCAACTTGGGACCCTTGGTGGGCAGCGCCTAAACATGGAAGCAACTGCAGGGTTTTTTTTTGTTTTTGTTTTTGTTTTGAGACACAGTCTCGCTCTGTCGCCAGGCTGGAGTGCCGTGGTGCAATCTCAGCTCACTGCAATCTCCGCCTCCCAGATTCAAGCAATTCTCCTGCCTCAGCCTCCTGAGTAGCTGGTATTACAGGCGCTCACCACCACGCCCGGCTAATTTTTGTATTTTTAGAAGAGGCAGGGTTTCACCATGTTGGTCAGGCTGGTCTCAAACTCCTGACCTCGTGATCCACTGGCGTCGGCCTCCCAAAGTGCTGGGATTATAGGTGTGAGCCACAGCGCCCGGTCTGTGCTACTCTTCTAAGCAGGGGGCCTGGTTAACGGGTGATGCTCTCCTTTGGTACTGTTTGGCCCCAGTGCTCCTTGGAGCCTGGGGAGGTTTAGCCTTTAAAAATCAAACTGTCCAGCACTTTAGGAAGCCAAGACAGGTGGATCACGTGGTCAGGAGTTCAAGATCAGCCTGGCCAAGATGCTAAAACCCTGTCTCTACTAAAAATACAAAAATTAGCCAGGCATGGTGGCACGTGCCTGTAATCCCAGCTACTTGGGAGGCTAAGCCAGGAGAATCGCTTGAACCCGGGTGGCAGAGGTTGCAGTGAGCCAAGATTGCGCCACTGCACTCCAGCCTGGGCGACAGAGCAAGACTCCGTCTCAAAACAAAAATCAATCAATCAATCAAACTACTTTGGCCGGGCACGGTGGCTCACACCTATAATCCCAACACTTTGGGAGGCTGAGGCAGGCAGATCAACTGAGGTTGAGAGTTCAAGACTAGCCTGACCAACATGGAGAAGCCCCGTCTCTACTAAAAATACAAAATTAGCCGGGCATGGTGGTGCATGCCTGTAATCCCAGCTACTTGGGAGGCTGAGGCAGGAGAATCGCTTGAATCTGGGAGGCGGAGGTTGCGATGAGCCAAGATTGCGCTATTGCACTCCAGCCTGGGCAACAAGAGAGAAACTCTGTCTCAAAAAATAAATAAATATAAATAAAAATAAAACTGCCATGGAGACTGCTTTACCCAAAATTTTGGTTCACAGCCTTCCCTGCATTATCCATTAGGGCAAAGTAAAACCTTCAAGCTTGTACTGCCATCTCATGGCTAACGTTCCAGGTCATCGTTTATGTGTGCATATACATGTCTAGATGTATTTACTTATATGTACACTTACTGCTATATGTTGTGTCTACCAAATTGACTTATAAGTAAAAGAGGGCTCCGCCAGGCGCAGTGGCTCACGCCTGTAATCCCAATACTTGGGGAGGCTGAGGTGGATCATGAGCTCAGGAATTCGAGACCAGCCTGACCAACATGGCGAAACCCTGTCTCTACTAAAAATACAAAAATTAGCCAGGCGTGGTGGTGGGCACCTGTAATCCCAACTACTTGGGAGACTGAGGCAGGAGAATTGCTTGAACTCAGGAGGTGGAGGTTGCAGTGAGCTGAGGTCGTGCCATTGCACTCCAGCCTGGGCAACAGAGCGAGACTCCTGTCTCAAAAAAAAAAAAAAAAAAAAAAGAGGGCTTAAGTAATTAAGTAAATACGTCTAAGCAATTTTCAAGTCCACTTAAGTATAACTTTACTAAACTAGCCAGCTTTAAAATTATTGGGGGAATAAAAATAAAAAGGCCTTCAGATTTGTCAGCATAGGTTTTGTCTAAATTTTATGTTTGTCTTTGCTAGATATTTTAAAATGTCAGTGTTAATTCAAGCTGAGAGCTTGGGGAGAGCCTGCCTCCATTGAGATAAATGCATATCTGATTGCTTCCTTTGGAGAGACTAATCAGAAACTCAAAAGAACGCAACCCTTTGTCTCCCACCTGTGATCTGAAAGCCCCCAAGCCTCCTCACCTCCAGTTGTCCCATCTTTCTGGACCAAAACAATGTTTGTTTTACATATGGTTTAGTTTTTGTTTTTTCAGATGGAGTCTCCCTCTGTCGCCCAGGCTGGAATGAGTGGTGCCATCTCGGCTCACTGCAACCTCCGCCTCCTGGGTTCAAGTTGCCAGAAATGCTTGTTCCCTGGAGGCTGGGTGCGGTGGCTCATGCCTGTAATCCCAGCACTTTGGGAGGTCGAGGTAGGCAGAACACCTGAGGTAGGGAGTTCAAGACCAGCCTGACCAACATGGAGAAACCCCGTCTCTACTAAAAATGCAAAAAATTAGCTGGGCGTGGTGGCGCCTGCCTGTAATCCTAGCAAATCAGGAGGCTGAGGCAGGAGAATCGCTTGAACCTGCGAGGGGGAGGTTGCGGTGAACCGAGATCACACCATTGCACTCCAGCCTGGGCAACAAGAATGAAACTCCGTTTCAAAAAAAAAATTGGCCGGGCACAGTGGCTCACGCCTGTAATCCCAACACTTTGGGAGGCCGAAGCGGGCAGATCACGAGGTCAGGAGATTGAGACCATTCTGGCTAACGCGGTGAAACCCCGTCTCTAATAAGAATACAAAAAAAAAAATTTATCTGGGTGTGGTGGCACGCGCCTGATATCCCAGCTACTCAGGAGGCTGAGGCAGGAGAATGGTGTGAACTCGGGAGGCAGAGCTTGCACTGAGCCGAGATCGCGCCACTGCACTCCAGCCTGGGTGACAGAGCGAGACTCCATCTCAAAAAAATAAATAAATAAATTTTTTAAAAAATTAAAAAAGACTTTTCGCCATCTTTTGTCTTTCTGTGGAGCTGTCGCCATGAAGGTCGAGCTGTGCAGTTTTAGCGGGTACAAGATCTACCCCGGACACGGGAGGCGCTACGCCAGGACCGACGGGAAGGTTTTCCAGTTTCTTAATGCGAAATGCGAGTTGGCGTTCCTTTCCAAGAGGAATCCTCGGCAGATAAACTGGACTGTCCTCTACAGAAGGAAGCACAAAAAGGGGCAGTCGGAAGAAATTCAAAAGAAAAGAACCCGCCGAGCAGTCAAATTCCAGAGGGCCATTACTGGTGCATCTCTTGCTGATATAACGGCCAAGAGGAATCAGAAACCTGAAGTTAGAAAGACTCGACGAGAACAAGCTATCAGGGCTGCTAAGGAAGCAAAAAAGGCTAAGCAAGCATCTAAAAAGACTGCAATGGCTGCTGCTAAGGCTGGAGTGCAATGGCACGATCTCGGCTCACCGCAACCTCTGCCTCCTGGGTTCAAGCGGTTCTCCTGCCTCAGCCTCCCAAGTGGCTGGGATTACAGGCATGTGCCACCATGCCTGGCTGGTTTTGTATTTTTAGTAGAGGTGTGGTTTCTTCATGGGCAGGCTGGTCTCAAACTCCCGACCTCAGGTGATCTGCCTGCCTCGGCCTCCCAAAGTGCTGGGATTGCAGGCGTGCACCACCACGCCCAGCCTGAGATTTATATATTTAAGATGTGATAAAATAGTAGTAATCAAAACTTACATGTGAAGAATAGGCTTCTACTTCTACAGAAAGGTCATTTTTACCTGCCAACCTGTGCCAAGTTGCAAGGATGCAACTGGACAAATCAGAGTCCTCTTTAGGGAAACATGATTTTACACAGAATACTAGGTGAGGGTATATAGTCAATGTCAACATTCTCCTCCATCACTATCCTATCCAAGGTGATAGAATTTTTTTTTTCAAGTGCATGTTACATTCAGACGTCCAAGTGTTACAGGTAAAATGAGTAAGTCCTTTTGAGAACCTGAAAATGTAAAAATCAATATAAGAAATACGTAGGCCGGGCGCGGTGGCTCACGCCTGTAATCCCAGCACTTTGGGAGGCCGAGGTGGGCGGATCACGAGGTCGGGAGATCGAGACCATCCTGGCTAACACGGTGAAACCCCGTCTTTACTGAGAATACAAAAAATTAGCCGGGCGTGGTGGCGGGCGCCTGTGGTCCCAGCTGCTTGGGAGGCTGAGGCAGGAGAATGGTGTGAACCCTGGGGGACGGAGCCTGCGGTGAGCCGAGATCGCGCCGCTGCACCCCAACCTGGGCGACAGCGAGACTCCGTCTCAAAAAAAAAATATGTAAAATACAGGCTTTTGCTCATAAAAGCAAAATGTTAAGATTTTGCACTGGGAAGAGTCATTTTTTGTAATAATGTTTTATTTAGGGAATTACTGGGAAAATAAAGTCATTATACCCAACTTGAATGTAAAGCTATGCTTGCTAATTTTTGGAGAATAAAATGTCTGGGCTAAATGTTGGCTTTTAATAAAGTGGAGCTGCCCATTGTCATTACCCTTGGGTCTTAGGTAACCTGGAACCCAGAAGAAGCTAGAAATAAACACTACCTGTTCTCACTACAACAAGTTTAGCTTTACTCAGGAAGACAATTTGACCACTGGGAAAGCATTTTATTAAAACGTTTGTTTCTATTGGCCCAAAGGATAATGCGTGCATCAGTAGGCTTCTCAGTGCTTACAGGTGGTGTTTTGGCAAAAACTGAGTGGAGGGATTTTTTTAACTCTTCTACAACCTAGATGTATTGTTTGCAGATTTGAATGTATTCACTTAATATATTAAATGTTTAATATTAAATATAAAAAAAATTAAAAAAGAAATGCTTGTTCCCCAGTGCCGTAAAGAAATAGCACTTGAACATAAATTCAATTTCCTCAGGAAGGCCATTTTTACTTTCTGCAGAAAGGGTACCCTCGTCAGCAGTTTTGCCATGAGAGTACACTGAACAAAGGAGACAGGGTCATTTATAACCTGACGCGTCCACCCTACTGCTGTGTCCGGTTTCCATTGGCTGGAATGGGACTTCACATTTTGTATTTGTCCCGATTGGCTAGCAACTTAGAACTTTTAAAAGAGGCAAAGGCAGAGGAGAACAAAGGAAGGGGAAGTAACTTGTGGAATGCTGAGAAAGGTAAAAACACCTTCAAATAAGGATGAGGAACAGGCTATGACCTAATGTTTGTTTGGACCAGTATAAGCATGCCAGGGCAAATATTTAGGCTACATTGTGGGAGCTAAGAACATAAAGGACATTGATTTCTTTATTATGACTTGCAGATATTTAAGAATGTCACCACAGATCTTTGAATAAATTTTGCTTCTAAGAGAAGTTACTATTTATCCCTAATTAGATGGGGAGGAAAGTCTTTGAAGAGGAACCTCTACTTTTTATAATAGCGATTCTCCTACCTCAGCCTCCCAAGTATACAGGTGCTCGCCACCACATCAGGCTAATTTTTATATTTTTAGTAGAGACGGGGTTTCACCATGTTGGACAAGCTGCTTTCTAACTCCTGATCTCAGGTGATCCGCCCGCCTCAGCCTCCCAAAGTGCTGGGATCACAGGCGTGAGCCACTGCGCCTGACCGAGGATGGCATCTTTGATGTAAATAAGCTTTTCCCAAATTCACAGATTAAGACTTCTACTGTCATAAAACTCTTATCTTTCAATATTTGTTCTTGCTTATGCCTCTATGAACAATAAAAGTGGAAAAGGCATCTGTTATGTGCACTAATGGGATGTACTTTTATTTGTGAAGGAGTTTGCAGCCAACCTTATATATGGATAACTTTATACTTTAATAGATAAAAAATGAAGGCCCAGTGCAGGTAAAAAACTTTAATGGGGCCAGGCACGGTGGCTTATGCCTGTAATCCCAGCACTTTGGGAGGCCGAGGCAGGTGGATCACCTGAAGTCAGGAGGTTGAGACCAGTCTAGCCAATGTGGTGAAACCCCATCTCTACTAAAAAAATATATATATATATATACATAAAAATTAGCTGGGCATGGTGGTGCACCTGTAATCCCAGCTACTCGGGAGGCTGAGGCATGAGAATCGCTTGAACCCGGGAGGCAGAGGTTGCAGTGAGCCAAGATGGTGCCATTGCACTCTAGCCTGGGCAACAAAAGCGAAACTTCGTCTCAAAAAAAAAAAAGTATCCCTCATGATGGGTTCTATAGCAAATTCTACTGTAAAGGCTACAGTTATACAATAGACTTTAAATTCTCTTGTGAAAGTTAAGATAGAATTGGCTAAACAGAGAAGTATCTGTGCAGCTGCTGGCACTTGTGGCCTACGGAGAAATACATCACATGAAGATTATAGAAATATAGTGGTAGGGGATTAACAAAGAGACTGCTTAGTCAAATGAGTAAACTTTTTTTTTTTTTTGAGACGGAGTTTTGCTCTTGTTGCCCAGGCTGGAGTGCAATGGCACGATCTCGGCTCACCGCAACCTCTGCCTCCCGGGTTCAAGCGATTCTCCTGCCTCAGCCTCCCGAGTAGCTGGGACTACAGGCATGCACCACCATGCCTGGCTAATTTTGTGTTTTTAGTAGAGACGGGGTTTCACCATGTTGGTCAGGCTGGTCTTGAACTCCCGACCTCAGGTGATCTGCCCATCTCGGCCTCCCAAAGTGCTGGGATTACAGACATGAGCCACCACGCCCGGCCATGAGTAAACTCTTTATCTAGTTCATTCTTTGATCTATGTGATTTTAGGTGGTTTGGTTTATGGGGAACCTGGGTAAGGAGCATACTCCAAACTCTTGGTATCATCCTCCCGATAGTCATAATAATAGTCTCCCTGGTGCGCTCTATTCTCTCAAAGGTTTTAAATGCTTGCGTGCAGCCATCTCTAGAATGTCAAATGGTCTCTCTTCAACTGGAATAACAGGAGCTAAAAAAATGTGCAACCATAAGGACACTATAAGCTATAAATGATGTGCTGAGATAGGAAACCCAAAATGATGGTAACTGAGAGTGGCGCTAAGTCCCTAAGGTTTGGTCACACTCTCACTTAAATGACAGCCTAACCAAAAAGGGTAATTTTTTAAACAAAATTATGGAAGGCCATTGTTTTGGACTAGGCTCATGCACTAGGCCTCAACAAACCAAACCAAAATGGAGTCGCTCATGCTAGGACTTTAAGGAAACACATAGATTCTAAAACAGACCAAGTTTTTTTTCTCCTGCAAATCTCTATGACAAACCTTTCTTTTTTTTTTTTTCTGAGACGGAGTCTCACTCCCTCGCCCCCAGACTGGAGTGCAGTGGCTCAATCTCAGCTTATTGCAACCTCCACCTCCCAGGTTCAAGCAACATTCCTGCCTCAGCCTCCTGAGTAGCTAGGATTACAGGCATGCACCACCCCGCCCGGCTAATTTTTTTGTATTTAGTAGAGACAGGGTTTCACTATGTTGGCCAGGCTGATCCTGAACTCCTGACCTCGTGATCTGCCTGCCTCGGCCTCCCAAAGTGCTGGGATTACAGACGTAAGCCACTGCGCCTGGTCAATATAACAAACATTTCTAACAGCATAGGTATCCACCCCCTGCAGTTCCCATTAAATGTTTTAACCAAATTCATTTCCTCTTGCCTAGAGACCATCAAGCTTCAGCTGATCATGCAACAAAGCTTCCAGCCAGTTCCAGGTGAAGACATCACCCCTGGCCATCAAAAAGCTACCCTGCCTCCACTAGACAGAGCAGGGTGAGAGTTCCATGATCCCTAATAGGTGGGGACCATCCCCCAAGCCAGCATGAAGCAGTTACAGAAAAAAGACCATCTGTCCCTCTGCCTCCCATAAAGATTTATGGGGATCACATCTCAGGGGGCAGATGAGGCAGGAAAATAGGGTCTGGAGGCAGGTAACATAAGGCCAATTCACACTTCATCTATAACAGGAAATATCCTCTCCTTAGGGCATACATCATTAATAACTTTGCAATTGTAACTTTACTTCATCTTCTTCATTTACATAGGGCATTCCCCAAGTAGAGGGTATTTAAACTCACAAACATTTTTAACAGGGCCTTTGAGCCCCTATGCTCATTCTCGCTCCCACACTGTGGAGTGTACTTTCATTGTCTTTTTTTTTTTTTTTTTTTTTGGGATGGAGTCTCGCTCTGTCGCCCAGGCTGGAGTGCAGTGGCGCAATCTTGGCTCACTGCAACCTCCACCTCCTGGGTTCACACCATTCTGCCTCAGTCTCCCAAGTAGCTGGGACTACAGGTGCCCACCACCACGCCTGGCTAATTTTTTTGTATTTTTAGTAGAGATGGGGTTTCACCGTGTTAGCCAGGATGGTCTCAATCTCCTGATCTTGTGATCGGCCCGCCTCAGCCTCCCAAAGTGCTGGGATTACAGGCGTGAGCCACCGCGCCCGGCTCATTTTCAATAAAACCCTTCATTCCTTCCTTGTTTGTGCATTTTGTCCAATTGTTCGTTCAAGATGCCAAGAACCTGGACACCCTCCACCATTAACACATGGACAAAGTCCAGGGCCGGGAATGGGGGTGCTTGGTGTCCTTGCTATTCTTTATTTTTTTTTGAGATGGAGTTTCGCTCTTGTTGCCCAGGCTGGAGTGCAATGGCACGATCTTGGCTCACTGCAAACTCCACCTCCTGGGTTCAGGCGATTCTCCTGCCTCAGCCTCCCAAGTAGCTGGGATTACAGGCATGCACCACCACACCCAGCTAATTTTTTTGTATCTGATCCTACAGATGCATCTTTGGCAACAGGTTTAGAAAGCCTGGATTGGGGCCGGGCATGGTGGCTTATGCCTGTAATCCCAGCATTTTGGGAGGCTGAGGCGGACGGATCACCTGAGGTCAGGAGTTTGAGACCAGCCTGGCCAACATGGTGAAACATCATCTCTACTAAAAAATACAAAAATTAGCTGGGCGTGGTAGCAGGCACCTGTAATCCTAGCTACTCAGAAGGCTAAGGCAGGGAGATTTGCTTGAACCTGGGAAGCAGAGGTTGCAGTGAGCTGAGATTGTGCCACCGCACTCCAGCCTAGGTGACAGAGTGAGACTTTGTCTAAAAAAAAAAAAAAAAAGCCTGAATTGGAGAATTATAAGTAAATCCACTCTTTATTTTACAGAATATTCTGGGGAAAATTTACTCCACTACCCTTAGATTTTTTTTTTTTTTAATCTCATGTTAATTATCTTGTCTGGGCATGGTGGCTCATACCTGTAATCCCAGCACTTTGGGAGGCCGAGGGGGGCAGATCACTTGAGGTCAAGAGTTCCAGACCACCCTGGCCAACATGGCAAAGCCCTATCTCTACTAAAAATACAAAAAAATTAGCCGGGCGTGGTGGCACGCGGCTGTAGTCCCAGCTACTTGGGAGGGTGTGGCACAAGAATCACTTGAACCGAGGCGGCAGAGGTTGCAGTGAGCTGAGATCAAGCCACTGCACTGCAGCCTGGGTGACAGAGTAAGATTCCGTCAAGTGATTCTCCTGCCTCAGCCTCCTAAGTAGCTGGGATTACAGGCATGCGCCAACACACCCAGCTAATTTTTTTGTATTTTCAGTAGAGATGGCGTTTCACCATGTTGGCCAGGCTGGTCTCGAACTCCTGACCTCGTGATCCGCCTGCCTCGCTTCCCAAAGTGCTAGGATTACAGGCTTGAGCCACCTTGCCCGGCCTTAAAAATGCATGCTTGGTCAGGAGCGGTGGCTGAGACCTGTAATCCCAGCACTTTTGGGGGCCGAGGTGGGCAGATCACTTGAGGTCAGGAGTTGGAGACCAGCCTGGCCAACATGGTGAAACCCTGTCTCTATTGAAAAGACAAAAATTAGCTGGGCGTGGTGGCAGGCGCCTGTAATCCCAACTACTTGGGAGGCTGAGGCAGGAGAATCGCTTGAACCCAGGAGGCAGAGGCTGCAGTGAGCCGAGATTGTGCCACTGTACTCCAGCCTGGATGACTGAGGGAGACTCTGCCTCAAATAAAAAAAAAAAAAGAAAAAGAAAAAGAAAAAGAAAAAAAGTCTGGAGAATGAAGAGTGATTGGAATAATAACCAAGATGATACGGGAATAATTTCTTTGTCACTGTCTACAAATAGATTGGCTATATATACAATATTTGAAATGTTAAGTGGCTTATGGCAGTTTATTATTTTTCCCTTTATTATTACTTTCTTTTCCATTTGCTTTGTGTGGGAAAGGAATGCTGAAGGAGGTAGTAGGGTCACTCCTTTTTAAAATTTAATTTTTTTTTTTTTAAAACAGGGTCTTGCTTTGTCGCCTAGGCTGGAACACAGTGGTGTGATCATAGCTCACTGCAGCCTCGAACTTGCAGGCTCAAGCGATCTTCCCACCTCAGCCTCTTGAGTAGTTGCCATTATGGGGGTGCGCCACCATGCCTGGCTAATTTTTTTTTTTTGGTATGTCTGTGTCACTCAAGCTTGTCTCCAACTCCTGGGCTCAAGTGATCCTCTTGCCTCAGCCTCCCAAAGTGCTGGGATTACAGGCATAAACCACCTCACCCGGCGTGTTTGAACTCTTCTTTACATATTATTCGTTGATATTTCATTAGGTAGAATATTGTATCTAATTATATCTATTATATCTTCTTTAATTATTGCCAAAATATACCAAATAATTGCAATCCTTCATCTACAAATTGTCCATGTCCTGCCCACTAAAATATATTAAAACTGCTTTTTATTTTACTTAATTCGTCTCTATAAATTTTATTTTATTTTTGTAGAGACAGTCTCACTTTGTTATCCAGGCTGGTCTCAAACTCCTGGGCTCAAGCAATCCACCTGCCTCGGTTTCCCAAAGTACTGGGATTACAGGCATGACCACCATGCCTGGCCATCTCTCTGTAAATTTTAGATGCCCTGGGCCATGGAAAAGATCACAGAATATAAATCAATTTACTGTTTGACTTCACTGAAAATAAGAATAGGTCCAGCCTGGCCAACATGGTGAAATCCTGTCTCTACTGAAAATACAAAAATTAGCCGGGTGTGGTGGCACACACCTGTAATCAGCTACTCAGGAAGCTGAGGCAGGAGAATCACTTGAACCTGGAAGGTGGAGGTTGCAGTGAGCCAAGATCGCGCCACTGCACTTCCCTGGGCAACAGAGTGAGACTCCATCTCAAAAAAAGAAAAAAGAAAAGAAAAGAAGAACAGGTGATATTTTAAATGTGGGACACATTATTTGGAATTGGCTGAAAAGACTAAATTCTTCATTCCTAAATGTGTGACATGTTTGCAAAAAGACTTCATCTTGGGAATGTGGCTGTAACTGGACAAACTCCAAGTCCTATTTGAGGACACATTAAAATCCTGCAATTGTGAATTATGTAGATACAATAACTGCGAATGGGAGACATCCTGGTTGTTTTGGTGTTTTTTATTTTTATTTGCTTTTTAGAGATGAGGGTCTCACTGTGTTGCTCAGGCTGGACTGGAACTCCTGGGCTCAAGTGATCCTCTCAAGTCACTTCCCAAGTAGCTGGGACTACAGGTGTGTACTGCACATGGCTTGTTTTGTTTTGATTCAGAACAGGCAGAAATTCATTTTTCCAGTGATGACTGCCAAATTCCAAACTCTAGTCCAAGCCATTGCATAAAAATTCTTCTCTGCTAATTGGATCTACCCCAGACTGAACATTGAAACACTTGAGGAGTGGTGCTAGCAGATCCACCCACCCACTTGGATCTCCTAGCAGAATTATCAAAGCAGATCCTTTTTTGGACTTTTAAGAAAGTCCTGTTAGTTGTCAAATAGGTCTCTATATCAGTGGGTCGTAACACTAATAATGGCAACATTACTATTAAGCGTAGTGTTATCAGTGAGTACTCCACTGATGTGTAAGAAGAGAGGTTCTCCCGAAAAGCCCTGAATTCACCACTACACACTCTATGCATGTAACAAAACGATACTTTTGCCCTATACATTTATACAAATAGAAAACTTAAAAAAAAAGAGAGGTTATTTTTACCATTTCACACTTTATTAAAAGCAGGGTTTTGGCCGGGCGCGGTGGCTCACGTCTGTAATCCCAGCACTTTGGGAGGCCAAGGCGGACGGATCACGAGGTCAGGAGATCGAGACCATCCTGGCTAACATGGTGAAACTCCGTCTCTACTAAAAATACAAAAAATTAGCTGGGCGTGGTGGCAGGTGCCTGTAGTCCCAGCTACTCAGGAGGCTGTGGCAGGAGAATGGCGTGAACCCAGGAGGCGGAGCTTGCAGTGAGCCAAGATCGCACCACTGCACTCCAGCCTGGGCGATGGAGCGAGACTCTGTCTCATAAAAAAAAAAAGCAGGGTTTTCTTTCTTTTTTTTTTGAGACAGGGTCTCAAAAAACAGGCTGGAGTGCAGTGGTGTGATCACAGATGCTCACTGCAGCCTCGACCTCCCAGGCTCAAGTGATCCTCCCACCTCAGCCTCCTGAGTAGCTGGGATCACACATAGCTATTTTTTTTTTTTTTAGTAGAGATGAGGTCTCACTATGCTGCCCAGGCTGGTCCCAAACTGCTGGGAATACAGGTGTGAGCTACTGTTCCTGGCTGTTAAAAGCAGTTTTAGCCAGGCACAGTGGCTCACGCCTGTAATCCCAGCACTTTGGGAGGCTGAGGCGGGTGGATCACGAAGTCAGGAGTTCGAGACCAGCCTGGCCAATATGGTGAAACCCCATCTCTACTAAAAAATACAAAAATTAGCCAGGCATGGTGGTGCGTGCCTGTAGGTCTCAGCTACTTGGGAGGCGGAGGTTGCAGAGAGCCTAGATCGTACTACTACACTCCAGCCTAAGTGACAGAGTGAGACTCCATCTCAAAAGAAAAAAAAAAAAAGGCGGTTTTAAGGAGTGCTAACCTCCAGTAAGATCTCTTCAGTACACACAGATCTGTTCACTGAGCTATTATTATTCAACATAAATATGATATGCTATTTCAGGCCCTGATAACAGGCTAAACATTGCTTATTGAAACAGGTGACGTAGCACACGCCATTACATCTAAAACACCAAGACTGGGTTGGTGAGTCCAGGTTACCCTTGAACAACTTGGGGGTTAGAGGCCCTGACTCCCCACACAGTTGAAAATCCATGTGTAACTTTTTGTTTTTTGTTTTTTTTTTTTTTTTGAGACAGGGTCTTGTTCTGTTAACCAGGCTAGGGTGCAATGGCATGATCTCAGCTCACGGAAACCTCCGCCTCCTGTGCTCAAGTGATCCTCCCATCTCAGCCTCTCAAGTAGCTGAGACCACAGGAATGCACCACCGTGCCTGGCTAATTTTTCTATTTTTTTGTAGAGATGGGGTTTCGCCATGTTGCCCAGGCTGGTCTCAAACTCCTGAGTTCAAGCGATCTGCCTGCCTCAGCCTTTCAAAATGCTGGGACTACAGGCGTGACCCACTGTGTCTGGCCCCCATGTATAACTTCTGACTCCCCAAAAACTCGATTACTAATAACTTACTATGGACCAGAACCCTTACCTATAACATAAAGTCGATAATACATATCTTTTTTTTGAGAGACAGACCAAGTCTCACTCTGTTGCCCAGGCTGAAGTGCAGTGGTGTGATCTCGCCTTACTGCAGCCTCTGCCTCTCGGGTTCAAGCGATTCTTCTGCCTCAGCCTCCTGAGTAGCTGGGATTACAGGCGTGCACCAGCACATAGGCTAATTTTTGTATTTTTAGTAGAGACGGGGTTTCACCATGTTGGCCAGGCTAGTCTTGAACTCCTGACCTCAGGTGATCTGTCCGCCTCGGCTTCCCAAAGTGCTGGGATTACAGGGGTGAGCTACCATGCCAGGCCAATAACACATAGCTTGTATGCGTATTATATAGTGTAATCTTACATTAAAGCTATAGAGGCCAGGCGCAGTGGCTCACGCCTGTAATCCCAGCACTTTGGGAAGCTGAGGTGGGCGGATCACGAGGTCAGGAGATCGAGACCATCCTGGCTAACATGGTGAAACCCTGTCTCTACTAAAAATACAAAAAATTAGCGGGCGTGGTGGCAGGCGCCTGTAGTCCCAGCTACTCGGGAGGCTGAGGCAGGAGAATGGTGTGAACCCAAGGAGGCGGAGCTTGCAGTAAGCCGAGAACGTGCCACTGCACTCCAGCCTGGGAGACAGAGCAAGACTCCGTCTCAAAAAAAAAAAAAAAAAAGCCAGATTGCCATTGACCCTCAAACACACAACATGGAGCTGAACTATGTGGGCCCACATATATGTGGATTTTCTCCTGTCTCTGCCACCCCGAGACTTCAAAATCAGCTTCTCCCAAGATGAGAAGGATGAAGACCTTAAGATGATCCACTTCCACTTAACGAACAGTAAATATATTTTTCTTATGACCTTCTTAGTAACATTTTTTCTGTAGCTTTTTTTTTTTTTGAGACGGAGTCTCGCTCTGTCGCCCAGGCTGGAGTCAGTAGTGCGATCTCGGCTCACCGCAAGGTCCGCCTCCCGGGTTCACGCCTTTCTCCTGCCTCAGCCTCCGGAGCAGCTGGGACTACAGGCGCCCGCCACCACGCCCGGCTAATTTTTTTTTTTTTTGTATTTTTAGTAGAGACGGAGTTTCACCGTGTTAGCCAGGATGATCTGGATCTCCCGACCTCGTGATCCACCCACCTCAGCCTCCCAAAGTGCTGGGATTACAGGCGTGAGCCACCATGCCCAGCCAATATGGCTTTTTAATGTCTTTTTTGGGCAATCTTTTCCACTTAGGGGCAGTTGGTGCTAATACATATTGCTATTACCAGAGCTGGCAGTAGGGTCCATCTCATTGAAACAAGTGACTTAGCATGGACCCATATATATCTGTCATAAAAAATAGGCTTTTCTTTCAAGATCAAAAAATAAGGGGAATTTTGTTCATATTTGGGAACTATAGTGATGCAGGGCTGCGGTCAACATCTGGACAGCATAAGTCTCCACACTAGAGGGGAGTGTGGGGCTCCCATTCACAGGACAAACCCCATGGGTTTGTAGATTTAAGATGATAATTTTCTGGCAGGCATTCAGTGAAGTGTCTTTTCCTAACAAATGTAATTAAAACAATTTTCTTTTTTTTTTTTTTTGGAGACGGAGTCTCATTCTGTCACCCAGGCTGGAGTGCAGTGGCAGGAGGTTCAAGCAATTCTCCTGCCTCAGCCTCCCAAGTAGCTGGGATTACAGGCGCATGCCACCACACCAGGCTAATTTTTGTATTTTAGTAGAGACGGGGTTTCACCAAGTTGGCCAGGCTGGTCTCAAACTCCTGACCTCAGGTGATCCACCCGCCTCAGCCTCCCAAAGAGATGGGATTACAGGTGTGAGACCCCACACCCGGCAAAACAATTTTCTGACAGATGGAAGTTAAAGGTGTGAAGAGCACCTTTTCCTAACTTGCATAAAGATCTATGGAAATGCCACCCAGCAGTCTCAAAGTAAGGAGAGGAGCCTGCCTCCTAGGACCTGCCCTTTCAAATGAATATGGAAGCCCTGATGTAGCACTCGTGAGATTTTACTGTCTGAGCATGTTTTGTTGTTGTTTGGTTTCAGACAGAGTCTTGCCTGTTGCCCAGGCTGGAGTGCAATGGCATGATCTCGGCTCACTGCAACCTCTGCCTCCTGGGTTCGAGTCATTCTTCTGCCTCAGCCTCCTGAATAGCTGGGATTACAGGCGTGAGCCACCACGCCTGGCTAATTTTTTGTATCTTTAGTAGAGACGGGGTTTCACCATATTGGCCAGGCTGGTCTCAAACTCCTGATCTCGTGATCCACCCACCTCGGGCTCCCAAAGTGCTGGGATTACAGGCGTGAGCCACCGTGCCTGGTCATCTGTGGTTCTTTTAATCATTGAACTGGAACAAACTGGCCTTGTGGTCTGTCCATCAGCCCTCGTGGTTCTAGTTGATGGAAGTCTTCAACAGAGATGGAGCCATTCTGCTGTTTGTGTTTCTGAGGACAAGACATTGACCCACTGTAAATTCACTGAAGTCCTGCCCCATCTTAGGACAACACCCTGGGTTTATCTTGGTGAAGTGAGTTCTAGCTGCCTCCTCTTAAGGACCGTGAGAGATGTTTGCTAAGCATGCAGACTCCCAGGTCTCAACCCAGCAAGTCTGAGGCAAACCCAGACATCTGTATGTTTAACAAGTATTCTAGGTGACTCTCATGTCCAGGTGAGTTAAGTTTAGAATCTTGTTCTAATGAGGCTTCTGACAGGAAGACGGAAATCAGGTTAACTTGAGTGCAGGCAGTACCCTTACCTGATTATACTTGTGCCCTATAAATTTATATAAATAGAAAACTTTTAAAAACAGAGGTTCTTTTTATAATTTCACACTTTATTACGAGCAGGTTTTTTGTCTCATTTTGTTTTTTGAGACAGGGTCTCAGTCTGTTACTCAGGCTGGAGTGCAGTGATGTGATCAGCCTAAGTCTCCACACTTAAGTGGAGTGCAAATGGGAGACATCCTGGTTGTTTTGGTGTTTTTTTTGTTTTTATTCGCTTTTTAGAGATGAGGGTCTCACTGTGTTGCTCAGGCTGGACTGGAACTCCTGGGCTCAAGTGATCCTCTCAAGCCACCTCCCAAGTAGCTGGGACTACAGGCATGCACTGCACATGGCTTGTGTTTTGATTCAGAACAGGTAGAAATTCATCTATATGAATTTCTGTATATCAGGTAGATTAATTTCTGCCTGTTCTGAATCAAAACAAAAACAAGCCATGGATGGGAAGGGGTATAGGAAAGTGGGAGGCAACGCCCAAGTTCGGAAAGGCTTGTGTGGTGGGGAGAAGAAAAGAAAAACCTGGGCTGGGCGCTAAGCCACACACCTGTAATTCCAAAACTTTGGGAGGCCGAGGTGGGGGGATTGCTGGAGCCCAGAAGTGTGAGACCAGCCTGGGCAACACAGCAAAACCCCGTCTCTACCAAAAAAAAAAAAAAAGGGAAAGAAAAAAACCCGGAAAGCCAGGTTTCCTGCATTCTGCCTTTCTAGGCAGGGCCAGAGTAAGCTGCTGCTGGGTGGGCTGCGTGAAAGCTAGTGAGTATGCAACAAGCCTGGCCCTTGGGAAGCAGTAACCACAGGTCAAAGAGCAAAGCAGTGACAACACTGCCTGCCCTCAAGACTGGGCCAGGGCCTGGGATTGGGCCACTGGGCCAACACCTCAGTAAGGAGTTTTTTTTATTTTTTTTTGAGATGGAGTCTCCCTCTGTCGCCCAGGCTGACCTCAGGTGAACCGCCCATCTCAGCCTCCCAAAGTGCCGGGATTACAGCCGTGAGCCACCACACCTGGCTTGGGGGTTAGATCTTTACCTTGTCCTACTTTAAAAATCAATGAGGCCAGGCATGGTGGCTCACACGTGTAATCCCAGCACTTTGGGAGGCCGAGATGGGAGGATTGCTTGAGTCCAGGAGTTTGAGACCAGCCTGGCCAACATGTGGAGACCCTGTTGCTACAAATTTTTTTTTTTTTTTGGTTGCGGGGGATGGAGTCTCACTCTGTCACCCAGGCTGGAGTGCAGTGGTGCAATCTCGGCTCACTGCAACCTCCGCCTCTTGGTTTCAAGCAATTGTCCTGCCTCAGCCTCCCAAATAAGAGGCTGAAACCACCCCAGGCCCAAAAAATAAATTAAAAATTAAAAAAATTATTGGCCGGGTACAGTGGCTCATACCTATAATCCTAGCACTCTGAGAGGCCGAGGTGGGTGAATCATCTGAGGTGAGGAGTTCGAGACCAGCCTGGCCATCATGGTGAAACCCCGTCTCTATTAAAAATACAAAAATTAGCCAGACGTGGTTGTGTGTGGCTGTAATCCCAGCTACTCGGGAGGCTGAAGCAGGATAATCACTTGAACCCAGGAGGAAGAGGTTGCAGTGAGACAAGATTGTGCCAGTGCACTCCAGCCTGGGTGACAGAGTGAGACTCTTGCAAACAAATAAAAAAGTATTTAAATAATTTTTTCTTTTTTTAGACACATGGTCTCACTATGTTGCCTAGGCTAGTCTCGAACTCCTGGGTTCAAGCGATCCTCCAGCCTTGGTCTCCCAAAGTGCTAGGATTACAGGTGTGAGCCTCCACACCTGGTATACAAAAAATAAGATGTTTAAATTAGCCAGGTACAGTGGTGCATACCTATGGTCCCAACTATTCAGGAGGATCACTTGAGCCTGAGAGGTTGAGGCCTGCAGTGAGTCATGATCACGCCACTGCACTCCAGCCTGGGTGACAAAGGGAGATCCTGTTCCAAAAAAGAAAGGTAGGGGAAAGGGTTAGGCATGGTAGTTCCTGCCTGTAATCCCAGCACTTTGGGAGGCCAAGGCAGGTGGATCACTTGAGGTCAGGAGTTCGAGAACAGCCTGGCCAACATGGGGAAACCCCGTCTCTACTGAAAATACAAAAATTAGCTGGGTGTGGTGGCGGTTGCCTGTAATCCCAGCTACTTGGGAGGCTGAAGCAGAGAATCACTTGAACCCAGGAGGCGGAGGTTGCAGTGAGCTGAGATTGTGACACTGCACTCCAGCCTGGGCAACAGAGTGAGACTCTGTCTCAAAAAAAAAAAAAAAAAGACTCAAAACAAAACAAAAAACAAAAAAAAAATCAATGAAGCTGTGGGGACAGAAGTAAGCCAGGCCTTGAAGTGCTGTTAGTGATAGAATGGGGGAATCAGAGGGTGGCCACCAAATCCTAGACAGTTCAGGGGGCAGGAAACACATCCCTGCCCTGGGTACCAGCCCCTCCACCTCACCCCCAGCCATTTTCTATGCTCAGAACAAAGTCCAGGACAAGACCTGCATCTAGACTGTAATCTCACTGCTCACCAGCTCCTTTAACAGGGGGAACATCAGTCCTGGAGATGCAGAGGTGGAGGCTGGACCAAGACAGTATCATTTTCCCAGGACCTGGCGTCATCCTCAACAGCTTAAGGAGAGACAGATTCCATTCTGTTCCACTCTCTATGGCCTTGGCTGCCCTAACCTGGTAGAGGGGGAGAGGCTGGGACCAGGCTATGAGGGGGCCCCTCACTCCCAGTTCAGCCCCCAGAGCCGCTGCAATGGACGCAGGGAGGCTTCAGCAGTGTATCCCTCCTACCCACTGGGCCTAGCCTGGAAGTGTGAGGTAGAGTTGCAGTGTGGGTGCTCACGGGAGATCTGGTGCGGGCACAGCTCCCCCAGGACTTGCTGCCATTCTTTCCTTCCAATAAGCCACAGCTGCTTCCTATTCGCCTTTTAGGAATCTTGGTGGTGGTTAGGCCAGGCGCAGTGGCTCCCACCTGTAATCCCAACACTTTGGGAAGCCGAGGCAGATGGATCATGAGGTCAGGAGTTCAAAACTATCCTGGCCAAGATGGTGAAACCCCGTCTCTACTACAAATACAAAAAAATTAGCTGGGCGTGGTGGCAGGTGCCTGTAATCCCAGCTACTCGGGAGGCTAAGGCAGAGAATTGCTTGAACCCGGGAGGCAGACGATGCAGTGAGCCAAGATCACACCACTGCACTCCAGCCTGGGCAACAGAGTGAGATTCCGCCTCAAAAAAACAAAACAAAACAAAACAAAACAAAAAGAATCTTGGTGGTGGTGACAGGTTAAGGCCAAGAAACTAAACCAGTTCGATACAACTCACACTGTCAGTGCCAGGGGTTGGGGGAAGAGGCCCTGGCAGCTGTGGAGAGTGGAAGTACCATGGATTTGTAATCTGAACGCCAGTGTCTGCGTCCCAGCTATACCACTCCTTAACAGCAGGACCTTGACTCCAAGGTCACCTGACTCCAAGCATATCACTTGACTCTAGCCTGTTTTCTCCTCTACACAATGAGGTTAACAGCACACCTCACAAGAGTGTGGTAATAGTAAAAGTTAAAGCATACAATTTGAATACATACAATTGTCATCACTACTGTACCAATTGCCCCGATCCCTGCCTTCAGGACAAACTGGGAGGTGCCTGAGCTTCCCCACCCCTTCTCCCTAGAGGCCAGCCTCTCTGCTCCTCCCTTGGCCCTGAGGAACATGGTGTGACCAGATGGTGTTGGGAACCGGGTGTCCTCCCAACTGCACTCCAGGTACAACAGCTAGGAACCTCAGAGTGATCAAGTGTGGTCATCAGAAAACAAGGTTCAGGACCAACAGTCAAGGCCAGGTGGAAGTAGGAACAGGGGCGGGAGCTGGCCAGGTAAACACTGCATTTTACACAACAAATGGGAGGCCTTGGGAAGAGGAGCAGCAGGAGAGAGGGAGGGAGGGAACGGCAGCCAGGTGTCCAGGACACGAGGGAGCAGCGTAAGGTCAGTGCACTGCCCTGGGCCTCATCCTATGCCCATGCCTCCCCTCACCCCAAGACAACCCTGGGCCTTCCCAGCACTTGCTGCTCCCGAGAGTGGGTGGGTTTTAGCCTTCCCCTCCTCAGCCCCACGGGCTGGAAGGCGAGGGGCAGGAAAGAACAAGAGGCTCCAGGGCACCTCTGAGGGCTGCAGAGGACTCAGAAATCAGAACCAGAACATTTTTACTCTTTGGGCTCTGGGAAGGGCCAGGCAGAGTGCAAGGTGTCCACAGGAGGGGTAAGCAGAGAGGAGCTACAGGGGGCTGCAGTCCTAGTACCCTGTTGGGGAGGACTGAGGGATGGTGAGTTTGGTCTCCGGAGGGGGCTCCAGTCCTGGTGCCCAGTTCTGACACCTGCCCCTCCTGAGTTCACACTGGAGTCCTTGCAGTCCTGAAACCACAAGGCCTGCCTGAACCCTGGGTCAGGAGAGAAACACTTGGGGAGGGGAAAGGACGGCGTGGGCTACCCATGACGGCTCTGAGTTCTTCCTGGGGCTTGTGTCTTTCCTTGGCAGAAGAGGGCACAGCCAAGGCAAGGAGGGGCTGAAGGCTGCGGGGCCATCCCGGCCTGCCAGAGCCATGCCCCTGACTCCTCAGCTTCAAAATCAGGGGTCTCAGGACAGAGGATGCTGGGTGGGCTCAGAGCTCATCAGGGGGGCTGTGTGTGAGAGGGGATGCCTTCTGGATGCCCTCATCCTCCTCGGGGCTGGGGTCTCCCTCAAGGCCACCCAGCTCCTTCCTTTGTTTGCTGCTGCTACTCCTGCCGCCTGCTGCCTTGGCCCTGCTGCTCTTCTTCTTGGACTTCTTCCCTCCCAGGGCAGCTGTGTCTCCCTTCTTGCCGGACCACTGCTCTGCCAGGCAACCTAGGGTGTGGAGGAGAGAGACCCTCAACAGAAGTGCCTCAGGGCTGGGGTGCTGGGCAAGGAGCACTGAGCAGGGAGCCGTGGGAGTAGCAACTGGGACTGTGCTTGACATCAGCCTCCCTGCCTCCTGCCTCTCGCTGTGGCCACCAGGCCCCTCTGGGGGCATCTGACTTGTCTGCCCATCATTCTGCACCTGGTTTCAGTGACTCTTACTTCACCATGTCTTGCCAATCAAGCCTTTCAAGGGCAGAGATCCTACAATGCCCTCTGGTGCCCTCTGTTTCTCCTCCTACCCACCTCCCCCAAGGGAGAGCAAACAAATCATCCAGAGCCAGCCTGCCCTTGCTTCCCCAAACTCACTGGTGTCTTTTCCCTTCAGCACGTGGTTGGCGCAGAGGAATTCAGTCAGGTCTTCCTCCTGGTGGTTCCTGTACCAGTCCTCGATCACCTCCTCAAACTCTTCCACCAGCACATCACACTGTTAATCATAATACCTCATATTGGCAAAGCCCCAGCACCTGACTCGCTCCTAGAGGAGCTCAGCTAAGCCTCGCAACCCACTGCAAGGTAGGCAGTGGCAGCGGTTCACCTAAGGAAACTGAGGCCAGAGAGGTGAAATGACCTGACCAAAGCCACCCCGGCCTGGGTGGACTTCCTCAGAGCAGACCCAATCCCCACCAGCCCCTCACTGGGCACAGCAACCCTTCCAAGGGCTGAAGGGCCTGTACCTGCTTCTTGAGGTCAGCCACCTCTGCAGAAGTCTCGTTCCACAGCTCATAGGGGATGTCCATCACCACCTTGACCCCTTTGTGTACCAGGTTGTGTAATGTCTCAAAGGTCTCTGACATGCCCTGGAAGAAGCGACCAGATATGGCAGGCGGAGCTCCCTTCTCTCCCTCCCACCCTCGTCTCCCAGTGGTGGCTAAGAACCCAGCTATAAGACCAATGCTCAACGCCCTCTAAGGATCCTCATCCTTTTTTTTTTGAGAAGGAGTCTCACTCTGTCGCCCAGGTTGGAGCGTCTCAGCTCACTGCAACCTCTGCCTCCCAGGTTCAAGCGATTTTCCTGCTTCAGCCTCCCAAGCAGCTGGGACTACAAAGGCGTGCCACCATACCCGGCTAATTTTTGTAGAGTTGGGGTTTTGTCATGTTGGTCAGGCTGGTCTCGAACTCCTAGCATCAAGTTTTCCACTCACCTCAGCCTCCCAAAGTGCTGAGATTACAGGCGTGAGCCACCGCACCTGGCCTCATCCTTGACCTGACCTTCCTCTTCCCTCTTTTAGGCCTGCTTCCCACAACCCCTGCACATATACCCCCTGATCTGCCTCTGCACACCTCATCGCTTCAAAAAGACCTGCGGCTGCCCTCAGGCCCTTTGGCTTTATGCTTCTTTTCCAGGAAATAGGTTTGTCTTAGCTCTTTCCCCTCACTATGGCTGGAAACACTCCCATATCATCCAGACCTGCTGTTCCGTTCTTCCTGGGTTGTGTCTTTCCTCAGTGGGAAAAAGGCATAGCTGAGGCAGGTAGACCCTTTATTCTGTAAAAACTATCTCTGCTAGCTGCCTAGGTCTTATCCCCAGAGAAAACATACTATCCATTTCCTCTATTTTCCCAGAGATAACTCATACAAATACCAATATCTAAATATATCCTCCCCCCGCCTTTTTACACAAGCAGTGGTATAGCATACACACTATTTTGCACTTGCCCTTTTTACTTATACCTTGAAGGGCTGGGTGCAGTGGCTCATGCCTGTAATCCCAGCACTTTGAGAGGCCAAGGTGGGCTGATCACCTGAGGTCAGGAGTTCGAGACCCCCTGGCCAGCATGGTGAAACCCCGTTTCTACTAAAAAACACAAAAATTAGTCGGGCGTGGTGGTCGGTGCCTGTAATCCCAGCTACTCAGGAGGCTGAGGTGGGAGAATAGCTTCAATCTGGAAGGTGGAGGTTGCAATGAACTGAGATCGCACCACTGCGCTCCAGCTTGGGCAACAGAGTGTGAGACTCTGTCTCCAAAACAAACAAACACACAAAAACCTTGAAAATCAATTGAATTCAGTTCCTAAAGAGCCTCCCCATGCTTCGTTTCCAGCCGCATACTAGTCCACCAAACGGCTGGATCAACGTATTTAATCCCCTATTGGTAGAGTTAGATTGTTTCTCATTTTTTTCCTGCTATGAAAAATAATTCTTAAACACTTTTTATTAAAGCAAACACAGATTTATTACTGAGTGCAAAATTCATACAAATTTCTGCTGCTTGAGACTATTCCCTTAGGTATCCCAGGAGTTTATGAATGGTATCCTTTGCTAGAAGGAAACTTAGGTAGAAAAATGTGGGTGGCAACTATCTTACCCTGTGCCAGGCACTGAAGATGTAGAGAGTAAGAACTATGGGCCTTGTTGTAAGCAGCTCATTCTCCAGAGAGAAAAGCACTCGTACACATACTGAGTACATGGGCCATCACAAGGGCATCCCAGCGGGGTTGTGGGAGGTGCTGTGTGGACCCAGAGATGGGACTGGGCAGTCACTCCCACCGAGGTGTCCTCTGACACCTCGCCTAAACCCCCACCTTTCTGCACATCGTGGATCTTGCTGAGTTCTCCCCGTTCTAGTGTCTTTAGGTTCCCACGGGGGCAGCAACTGTGGAGCATTTCTGCCTGTGTCTGAGATTGAAGCAGGACCCTCATGAACAGGCCCAGACCCTCATGCATGTGCCTGAAAAATGAGGCCACTCAAGAGGGGAGGAGCACAAACGGCAATCAAAGAATGGGAAGAGGCAATGAAGGAAGATCCCAGGTGGTCATCTTCAAATCACACTCACACCAGCAGACACACTAAGATACATGCAGGCCTGACCCCAGAGCGGATGAAGGACAATCCCGAATCCAACCTTGGCAAATCGATTGCTGCCGGTCCTCTCCTTGTGCAGGCTATAATCCAGGAGCCTCTTGCAAATGGTCTCAGTGACTTCGATTAACCGCAAGTCCCTGCCAAGACAGGAGGATGAGGAACTGAGTTCCCCTCCTAGCCGCAGTGGGTTAGTGGTCTGTCCCTCCAGCCCTGTGCCCCAACACCTGCACATCTCACCAATGGGAAGTGACTCAGAGCTGGAAGGAAGATAGGTCATCTGGTCTGGGGGATCTGAAATGCTGGAACACAGACCAGAGAGACAAAATTTTAACAGCTCTAAGGGAAGGAATTTTTTATAAAGCTAAATGATTCAGTATTTAGATTTTTTGATAAAGCAAAATTATTAAATTTTGATAGTAAAATATCATTCTCTTTGAAAGGATGATCACAGCTGACAGAATTGGGTTTTTAAAAACTATATTTGTACCTAGCAAAATAAAAAGCTGGTAATCCTGTTACTAATGTTTTAAAAAATTGCACTGTGGCCGGGTGTGGTGGCTCACACCTGTAATCCCAGCACTTTGGGAGGCCGAGGCAGGCGGATCATCTCAGGTCAGGAGTTCGAGACCAGCCTAACCAACATGGTGAAACTCCATCTCTACTAAAAAAATACAGAAAATTAGCTGGGCGTGATGGCACATGCCTGTAATCCCAGCTACTTGGGAGGCTGAGGCAGGAAAATCTCTTGAACCCGGGAGGCAGAGGTTGCAGTGAGCAAAGATCATGCCATTGCACTCCAGCCTGGGCAACAAGAGTGAAACTCCGTCGCAAAAAAAAACTTGCATTGCTCTGTGAAATCCAAGCGTCTGAGAATCAATGATATAGTCCAACAGTCTTGCTTTTAGAGATGAGAAATCTGCTGAAGCATAAAGAAGTTAAGAGATTTATGCACGTCACCCAATTAGCTGGGGACAGAATCAGTGGGCAAACTCAGGTCTTGGTTACAAATGATGCCCTTGTAGGGGGTTTGCCTAGCTAGGAGAAGGGAACTCCAAACCCCTGAAGCCTCCAGCAGCAACGCAGGCCAGGCCAGTGAGTCCCCATTCACTTACGACTTGGTGTATTTGACTCCAGAGGCCTTCTGGTCCAGGATGCCATAGCCCGTGCCAATCACCTCCTTGGTCTTGCCGGTTTCCTCAAAGGCTGACTTCAGCTCCACAGCAACATATTTACACACTGGGGGAGGGAGGTAGCACAGCCCACTGAGTGCACATGAGTCTAATGGGAGGCCAGCTCCCAGCAAAACAGATCCAGGTGGGCATCCTTTCCTAGACTGGAGGACCAAAATCAGCACTCAAGGCAGGGAAGGAGTTAGAACCTGTGGAGGCTAAAGCAACTCCATCTTGGATGCTAATGTGCCATGTTGACTTCTGATTAACCCCAGTTTCAGGAATGCCTCTAGGATTTCTATTTTATCTACTGTTTCTTGTGTAAGAGCATGTACTTACTGTAAATCCTGCCCTTAAGCAATTGTTCTTCGTATTCCTTTTTTTTTTTTGAGATGGAGTTTCGCTCTTGTTGCCCAGGCTAGAGTACAATGATGAGATCTCAGCTCCTGGGTTCAAGCGATTCTCCTGCCTCAGCCTCCCAAGTAGCTGGGATTACAGGCATGCACCACCATGCACGGCTAATTCTGTATTTTTAGTAGAGACAGGTTTCATCTTGTTGGGTAGGCTGGTCTTGAACTCCTGACCTCAAGCGATCCGCCCACCTCGGCCTCACAAAGTGCTGGGATTACAGGCGTGAGCCACCACGCCAGGGTCTATCATTTTACTTTCTAAAATTGCATACATACAGAAAAGCTGAAAGAACACAATGAATACCTTCCACTTGTATTCAACAGTTGTTAATAGTTTGCCACATTCTCTCTTCAATATATAATTATAATATCTCAACAATATATACATTTCTTTTGCTACACCATCTTGAAAGTAAGTGGCAAACATGACCTTTTGAGATAAATATATCATCATGTATCTCCTGAGAAAAAAGACCTCCTCCTACATAACCATAGAACAATTATGATACTTGGAAAATTAACAATTCCAACATCACCCAGTAGTCCATATTCAAATTTCCTTAATTGTCCCCAAAACATCTTTTATGGTTGTTAGATTACTTGATTTCATATGTGTTCCAACATCAGCTCTATTTCTACCAAGTTAATTTGCTCCATGCCCTCCAGAGAGCTCTTGTTCCTACTGTCTCCGCACATTTATTTCCTCATTTCCTCTTACCCTTCCTCAAATAGGTATTAGGCAACTCCTACGTGTCAGCCTGGGGATACAGAGATGAAAACAAGGTCCCCTCCCTTCCAGATACTCAGTCTAATGCAGCAGATAAAGGTGTAGACAAATAACTACCACTGTATAGAGTGCTACAGTGCTACCACCGAGGGTGTGAAGTGCCTGAGGCCCTAGGAAAATACTTAATGCCTTCTAAGGGCTTCTCTGCCCATCCTGCCCACCTCGCATTATAAGCCTCTCCCCCAGGAAGCCATTCTGCACTAATGCCAATTGCTCTAGATTTCACTCTGGGCCTCTGCAGGATCCATGCTCTCCCTAAGGACCCTCAGTCATTTGATGTGTCTCTCCACATAGACCACAAGGGTCCCCAAAATGTGCATTATGTATTAGATTTTTTCGTATTTCCTTAGCCTGGGACTTGATATATGCTGGACGCTCGATAAATCTTGTTGATAGAGACCGTCTTCTGATGCCTCTGAATGGAATACCAGTCTGAAGGCTAAATGCCATCAGCAGTTTTAACACTGACAGCACAGTCTGCTAGAATACCAATTTACCACAAAAATAAATACATCCCCTGGAGGCCTGCTTGGTGAAATTAATCAATGGCTTGGAGAATTTGAAACACATACAAATTCCAAGTAATAAGCTGGTGATCTTCAAGTCTGCAATGAACTGGGGATGTCTCACCTCCCCAGCTCTCCATCCAGGACCATCTGGGCTCCCTCCCCTCTTCTGTCCTGTACTCTGTGCAGGCACATCATTTTTCTAGCACCACTTGCCCCTCCTCCCACGCCCTCCCCAGGAGTGGGGAAAGGGGAGGTTTGGAACATCCTTTCTCTCTCATACCCATCAACCACAGCCTTGCTTTCCAGCTCTTCCAAACATTACCTCTTCAAGACCTCCTCTGCGGATCCCACCCAGAACCAGACTCACAGGAGATTCACGGCACAGACACCAGACCCTCACTGACATCCACCCACTCTTTTTTTCCGGGCAGGTTCTCCTTCCTCTGTGCCGAGGCCTGTTCCACTCAGGCTACTGAGCCAGGAGGCAGGCTTGGTGGGCTAGACACAGTCAGCATTTAATAACAAAGGTGTAATAATAATACAAACAAATATACTATTAAGATGAACCTAACGGTTGGAGTTTGCCAAGCCATCCTGTGACTGCAAATCCCTTTTCAATTAATCTTCATCAGTTACCAAATGAGGGTAGACTAGAATGATCTCTAGATATAGAGATATAGAGATCCTGGGCATCTCTATGCTTCCGTGAGTCTGTGAATGTTGCCTAAGGAGAATAAATGTGAGCTCCTTAGGCTATGAGAATAATAAGAGGGAGAGTATGGGCTCTTTGATATCAGAATAAGACAGAATACAGGCTGGGCACGGAGGCTCATGCCTGTAATCCCAGCAATTTGGAAGGCTGAGGTGGGAGGATCACCTGAGGTCAGGAGTTCAAGACCAACCTGGCCAACATGGTGAAACCCAGTCTCTACAAAAATACAAAAATTACCCGGGCATGATGGCAGGTGCCTGTAATCCCAGCTATTCAGGAGGTTGAGGCAGGAGAATCACTTGAACCCTGGAGGCAGAGGTTGCAGTGAGCCGAGGTTGTGCCATTGCACTCCAGCCTGGGCAACAGAGCAAGACTCCGTCTCAAAAAAAAATAATAATAATAATAATAAGACAGAAAAGAAAGAGAAGAGGAAGCGAAACGCTGAAAGGCTATCAGTTAGCTGGGCTGGGTGCAGTGGCTCACGCCTGTAATCCCAGCACTTTGGGAGGCTAAGGTGGGTGGATCACCCGAGTTCAGGAGTTCAAGACCAGCCTGGCCAACATGGTGAAAACCCGTCTCTACTAAAAATAGCCGGGAGTGGTGGCACACACCTGTAGTCCCACCTACTCGGGAGGCTGAGGTAGAAGAATCCTTGAACCTGGGGGACGGAGGTTGCAGCGAGTCAAGGTCGCACCACTGCACTCCAGACTGGGCAGAGCAAGACTCCGTCTCAAAAAAAAAAAAAAGGCCAGGCACGGTGGCTCATGCCTGTAATCCCAATACTTTGTAAGGCCGAGGAGGGTGGGTCACTGGAGGTTGCGGTGAGCCAAGATCGCGCCACTGCATTCCAGCCTGGGCAATAAGAGCGAAACTCCATCTCAAAAAAAAAAAAAAAAGCTATCAGGACTAGAGGAAGAGCGAAAAGTGAAAGGGCGGCCAGGAGCAGAGGCTCACGCCTATAAGCCCAGCACTGTGGGAGCCCAAGGCAGGTGGATCACTTGAGGTCAGGAGTTCAAGACCAGCCTGACCAATATGATGAAATCCCATCTCTACTAAAAACACAAAAATTAGCTGGGCATGGTGGCATGCGCCTGTAATCCCAGCTACTCAGGAGGCTGAGACAGGAAAATCGTTTGAACCTAGGAGGCAGAGGTTGCAATAAGCCGAGATCTCGCCACTGCACTCCAGCCTGGGCAACAGAGCCAGACAGTCTCATAAAAAAAAAAAAGGAAAAAAAGAAAAGAATGTACGGGGGAAGGCACAGGCTTGAACTCATACTGGGTGCCCTACCAGTGAAGTCGGCTTATCTCTAAAGCATCCTTTTAATCTCTCTAATGGAAGGATTATGTGTCCGAAACTTACCCCAAACCCACTTTCCAGTGTTTAGGGAACATCTGGCCTGATGTAGGCTTTCAATTCAGATGAGAGATTCACAGCCAACTTTCTGGGGGCCCTGGGGTTACGGGGCTAGGAAGGCAGGCATGACTGTAAGGTCTGAGGAGAAAACTAAGGGACGGAGTTGAGGAAAAAGAAATAGGTCCTTTATAGTCCTGGCTCGCTGGTAGCTCCCTCTCTCTCTCTCTCTGTAGTTCCTCAACGCCTATGTCTTTGGGACTCACCTTTTCTCCAAAGTCCTAAAATCTTCTTTCAAGTTCCCCATAGGCTCTATTGTTCCCCCAAAGGGCTCCTCAGATCCAGATCCTCCTCCTCACACACACCCACAGTCTCCCATTTAATCATCTGTATTCTCAAAACATTTATTGAGTGCCTACCAGACACTGTGTGAATACGTATCTAAGACAAAAATTCCTGCCTTCGAGGAGTTGTTAGTGGGTGCAACAGACAACTACACAGATTGGGTTGCAGTGAGGGCAAAAGGGGAAAGTCTTAGGTTTTTTTCCCCCAAGATGAGTCATCTGGAGCTTTTCAGTTCCTCAAACTCGTTCTTAGCTTCTCAGCCGGCAGGCCTCTGCCTCTGTAGTTTCCTGAGTGGGCCCCTCTCTTTCCACTTCTCTTCATCCGGCTAACTCCTAATGCCTCTTCGTGCTTCCTGTATGAAGCCCTCTTTGACTCCCCTCTGCACACAGCCTTCGCCCACCCCCTCCCCCACTCCAGGCTAGACCAGATGCTCCTCGTCCGGCCCCCAAAAGGAAGCTCTGTACCTCCCCTATCATGGCATCTACTACTCTGAATTATCATTGCTTGTTTCTACCAATGTGTGAACTCCAGGGGTACCGGGACCAGATCTCTCGTCCGCCGCAGCGTCCCGGCGCAAGCCTGTTCAAGGAAGGAAGACACCCTGCAGAGCTCGGAACCTTGCAACCCCCGACGCTGCTCCGCAAGCACCACCGCTGGAGCCAGCCCCTCCGGCAGGATACGCCCCACGGGCCCCGCCTCCTCACCTTCGCATTTGCTGGGCAGGCGAACCCAGTCGTTCTCCTCAGCTCCGGCCTGGCTCGGGCCCAGCTCCGGGGCCGGCAGCAGCAGCAGCAGCAGCAGCAGCAAGGGAAGAAGCAGAAGACAGCGGGACGCGGGCTCAGGCATTGAATCCATGGCCCGGCCGGGCCCGGACCCTAAAGGACCGGGCGGTTCCTCCTCCCGCGGCGCGCGCGGAGCAGTTTCCCCTCGCCGCTTCCGGGACTGCACACGTGCCTCCGAGCAACCACGACAACAGCTAGCCTCCCGCCCGCCCTCCTCTCGCAGCCGCAGCCCGCCTTCAAAGCGGACCAAGGCCCGCGGACGGCGCAGCCAATAGGCTTTCTGGGGTTTGCTCTCTAGCTAATGGGAAGACTATCTTTTTACGCCCTTGGCCAGTAAGAGAGCAGATGGTGGCCTCAGCGACCTATGGCAAAGTCCTTTCCCACCCCCTAACGGAGGCTCTGGGAGAGAGAGGATGCAGGACCAAGACCCGAGAAGAAGCCTGCGTCTGGGCCTGGGTGGGACGGATTCAGGCGCGCAGGTGCTGGAAGATGTGGGGAAGGCCGTCTTCGCGGCTTTCTCCGCCTCCTCGAACGTCACTTCCCTCCTGGGGTCCTAATGCCGCAAGTCCTTACTGAACATCTGTTTTTAAATTTTATTATTGGTATTGTGGTTGTTATAGCCGGGCACTCTTGTAGGCGCTTAAGGTGCAAGCAGGACGACTCAAACTGTCCCCAGCCTTCACACTTTTTTAGTAGCCAGTAGATTTGTCCTAGTGAGAACTAGAACAAATGACTTCCTCTCTGAGCCTGTTTCTATTTGTATGACGACAAAGTGATCCTCCTAGCTGCTGTGGGAGCTTGCCTGTTGTTGGGAAGCTCAAATAGGTTAATAGAATTAAAGCTTATCGAGCAGATTGTAAAAAGTTCAGGCATTAATTTTCTTTTTGTATGTAATCCCAGCCCCTTTTACTGCCCTATTATTTATTTCTTGATTCTGAGCTCTCAGAAGGCAGAAATTTAGCCGATTAACGATTGTCTCTCCCTTCCGCTTCCCCAGCAACAACAGGGTGCCTGGCACAAGGAGATACTCAGTAAAACTCTCATCTGCTGTGTCATTAAGGGGAACACTTAATGGCTCACGCCTGTAATCCCAGCACTTTGGGAGGCCGAGGCGGAAGGATCACCTGAGCCCAGGAGTTGGAGACCAGCCTGGGCAACAGATTGAGACCCTGTCTCAACAAAGAAGAAGAAGAAGAAAAAGGCCAGGCGCCGTGGCTAATGTCTGTAATCCCAGCACTTTGGGAGGCCAAGAAGGGAGAACTGCTTGAGGCCAGGAGTTCGAGACCAGCCTGGTCAACATAGCGAGACACCCCCCCCATCTCAAAAATAAATAAATCAAAATAAAAAATAAAGAGGAGGCCGGGCTTGGTGGCTCACGCCTATAATTCCAGCACTTTGGAAGGCCGAGGTAGGTGGATCACGAGGTCAGGAGTTCAAGACCAGCCTGGCCAAGATGCTGAAACCCCATCTCTACTAAAGATACAAAAAGTTAGCCGGGCGTGGTGGCACACGCCTGTAATCCCAGCTACTCGGGAGGTGGAGGCAGGAGAATTGCTTGAACCTGGGAGATGGAGGTTGCAGTGAGCCGAGATCACGCCATTGCACTCCAGCCTGGGCGACAGGGCAAGACTCCATCTCAAAAATAATAAATGCCGGGCGCGATGGTTCATGCCTGTATTTCCAGCACTTTGGGAGGCCAAGGCGGGCAGATCACAAGGTCAGGAATTCGAGACCAGCCTGGCCAATATGGTGAAACCCTGTCTCTACTAAAAATACAAAAAAAAATAGCCGTGGTGGTGGGTGCCTGTAGTCCCAGCTACTTGGGAGGCTGAGGCGGGAGAATTGCTTGAACCCTGGAGGTGGAGGTTGCAGTGAGCCGAGATCGCGCCACTGCACTCCAGCCTGGCGACAGAGCGAGACTCCGTCTCAAAAAATAAAAATAAACAAATAAAAATAAAGAGGAGCACTCTTGGTCTTCTTTAGGCTGCCCCTGAACTCAGTGTCCTACAGACGCACACAGACCAAAGTTGCTTCTCTGGGAAGTTGTCTGCAAATTGGCCATAAAACCCTGTTCCCTGATACCTTCTTGTTTCCTTCCTAGAGGTTGGATATTTATGCTATTTTATGAAGACTTCAGAGCACTGAGGCCCAGGCCTTGCCACTTTCTGACTTTAGTTTCTTGTCCAAAACTGTGTTGGTAACAAAGCACTTTGGATAGGCAGGGGCTGTGGCATGTGGAATTCCACAGTGTACAAGATCAGGACACCCTCCTAAGGTCCTCCATGTTTTCTAGGCTTGATAAGACTTAGGTTGGCTCAAGCTGGGCACAGTGGCTCACACTTATAATTCCAGCACTTCGGGAGGCCAAGGCAGGCGGATCACTTGAGGTCAGAAGTTCAAGACCAGCCTGGCCAATGTGGTGAAACCCTGTCTCTACCAAAAAATACAAAAATGAGCCAGGCATGGTGGCGTGTGCCTGTAGTCCCAGCTACTTGAGAGGCTGAGGTGGGAGAATTGCTGGAACCTGGGAGACAGAGATTGCAGAGAGTTGAGATCGCACCACTGCACTCCACCCTGGGGGACAGAGTGAGACCCTATCTCAAAAAATAAAATAATAAAATAAAATATAAAATAAAATAAAATAAAATACTTGGGTAGGCTCAGAGCTTGGCCATGGCCCTTGATTCACCTCGGCTCAGAAGCCCTCCTGGGAAATAAGATTAAGCCAGCCTGACAGTGGAGATTGAGAAGCCTGGGCTCAGCATCTGGCCGGACAGCTAGGAAGGGATAGTGGCCAGAGAAAGTCTGAGGCTATAGTTGGGCCCCTGCCCACACCCTCCCTCAGTCTGTGTGTCAGAGAAGGAACATGCCTTGTGGGGATGGTGGACAGATTCATCCGTAGAAGCTATGGGACCCTCCCACCCCAGCCACCAGCACCCAAGAATCCCCAAAACAAGTGGGAGAATCTCCTTTCAGGCTGGTGAGAGATGAGCAGTGGAGGAGGCAGTGAGAGTTTTTATGGAACAGTAGCTGAGAGAGCACAGAGGCTCAGGGGAGCTGAGGGTGTCCTTGAAACCATGTGTTGGGGTGCTGGGGCATAGTTCCCCATCCCCTCCCTGGGGGAAGGAAGACTAAAGTTGATCCAGCAGACTATCCTATGGGGCCCAAGGGACAGGTGGATTTACATGACAGCACCCAGAGTCTCTTGGAGTGATTACTAGCAGAGAACCCTTGGGAAAGTCTGGATTTCCTGCCAGCGCTGGGCAAGCAGGGGACGCACACGTTATGCTCTACTGTGGAAGCCTCATACTTGATCAATACAAGAATCTTCTTTATGTAACAACCAGACCAAAAAAGCCAAACCTCTTTAGTACCTGGCTCAGGGTTGATACTTAAAGAATATTTGTCAAATGAATAATGACTCTTAATTGATTAATAAACTGTAAGTTTGGAATTAATATCTCATACTCTTGTTATTGAAAACGATCCTGTTCCCCAGAAACCCTGGCCCTGTTCACCTCTGTACGAGAGTTCACATCAGACCCACCACCCACCTTCCTGGGTTCCTGGGCTCTCTGCCCTGACCTCTCACAGAGGTTGGGCCAGGGTGAGGAGAAGAGGGGGCCTCCCCGCTTGCTGTTGGGGGAGGAGACAGCCGCCTTCCCAGCCACCAGTCCCACTCTGCAGTTCCCAAGTTCTGTCTCAGGAAGCCCTCTTCCTCAAGGGAGCTTTCCTGGATTTTTCCTACTTCTAACTCTGCCAAATTCCTTCCTCCCAGGATAGACATGAATTCAAATATTTTTCATTTGCTGTGTCATTTAAGTTCTTTTTTAATGTTCTCAGTCATCTGCTCCCTAAATGCCCCTGTAACTGGGTGGATCACCATTCTCAAGGGGCCCCCTTTTGGATGGCAGAGACACAGCCTCACACAGTGTGACGCAGGGGAGGTAGAGCCCTGCCCTCAGGCAGCTCCAGCCTGCAGAGGAGGAGGCAGGTCACCTGCAAAAAATGCTCCAAGACTGGAGGAAGGAGCCCTGAGGGCAGATCTTGAGCACCAGGCCTGTGCTGGGCAAGTGGGGTAACTGCTGAGGTAAGACCCTTCCCCCCATACTGGGCTCCCGGGCTTCCGACCCGGAGGGGTGTCACCCCAGCGGCGGTCCCGAGGCTGGGGTCTGGGTGAGCTGGTGGCCTCTCGTCCCCCAGTCTCCGTGGCCGGGTGCAGTCGATGGGAGCCGAGGGCTCGCAGGCGGGTGGTGGTTGCGGGGGAAGGCAGCGGGCCCGCGGGGTCGCACAGGCAGCTGCAGGTCAGGAGCAGGTCAAACAGCAGCAGCTTGAAGAGCAGCAGCCGCAGGACCCCCAGCCACAGCGCCCCACCCGGTGTCCCTGCGAGGAGGAACCGCTCAGGAGCCCGCAGGAGCCCGCAGCCCCCTACCCCAGGAGAGAACGGCGGAGAGGGCCTTGTCCTCTGCCCTTGCCCGTCCCCTTCACCCCCTCCTCCAGGGAAAGTCCTTCCCGGTGTCTAGCCTCCGTTCTTACTGGTAATAATACATACCTTCCTGGCCTTCATTTTATTTTATTCCCCAACAATCATGGGGGTAGGGGTGGGGGCCACGCAGGAATTAATTAGCATCTGATGCAGAGAGTAACTAGCTCAAAATTCTTTTTTTTTTTTTTAGATGGAGTCTCACTCTGTCACCCAGGCTGGAGGGCAGTGGCACGATCTCATCTCACTGCAACCTCCACCTCCCGGGTTCAAGTGATTCTTCTACCTCAGCCTCCTGAGTAGCTGGGACTACAGGCGTGTGCCATCACGCTCGGCTAATTTTTGTATTTTTAGTAGAGACGGGGTTTCACCATGTTGGCCAGGCTGGTCTCGAACTCCTGACCTCGTGATCCACCCACCTCGGCCTCCCAAAGTGCTGGGATTACAGGTGTGAGCCACCGCACCCGGCCTCAAAATTCTCTATTTGGTCGGGAAGCAGAGTTGGACCACAGCCCAACTTCATGACTGTCCGTCCAGGCTCTTTCCATCACCCCAGACAGCCTCCCATTTACACGGCCTCTAATGCTGAGACCCCCCTGCCTGGGCTGCCCAAGGAGGACTCCAAAGACCCCTCTGTTAGCTGTCACCTGTGCTTCTCAACTAATGTCCAGGAATTAGGCTGGGGTCAAAGGATTCACCCCCATCTTATGCTAGGTAGACTGAGGCCCATGCTAGCCAGTGCCCCAACCTAGCATGACAGCCTCTACATGGGACACCTACTGACCTCCAGTGTAAGACCCATTAGGCCAGAGCTGAAGGCCCCACCCCCCGGGCCCAAGGTCCTGGTCCCAGCCTCTTATTCCCCACCCCTTGCCCGGAGTACTCACCCCTGAGAGGCTCCTGGGGGCAGGTCCTGGCTGTAGAAGCCTCTCCTGTTGTCCAGGGAGAAGCGAATGAGTCTTTGGGGATGGGCCATGCACTCTGGAGGGCATCCCCAGTGCTATGCCCAGGCCCTGGCACAGGGTGGGTGTCGAGGCATTTGGGGTAAATGGACAAGTGAGCCAGCAGCAGAAACCCTGAGCCCATTTGCTGCAAGTCCTCTGAAGACCCAAACATCCCTCACTTTGCAGTGTCCCCTGTTCTGTGCCCTGGGGAGGCTGGGGAGCCCGGAACTCTCAGATAAGGAACTGACTGTCTTCGCAGCATTCTTTGGAAGTCAGGGCACTTAGTTAACAAACATTCCCATTTGAAAGATGACAAAATTGAGATAATCCCTAGAGAGGAAGTAAGTCATCTGGTCAGTGATAATAATAGCTGACTGTTTCAAAATACAATGGAGGGGGAAACAAAAATAGCTGGCTTTAGACATGTTGCTTAACCTCCCTGTGCCTGTAAAATTGAGGGAATTATATGACCTGTCTCATAAATGTGAAGTCTGTAGAACACTGCCTGGAACAGAGTAAACACTCAATAACTGGTAGTGATTTGTTAATTAGTTTGGTCCTTATAGGGTGTCATGTACACAGGGTGATTATCTATGTGTGTATAATGAATCCTAGGTGGAAGGAGGCATTTTTATCCTTGGAAGCCATGCTGCAAAGCCTGGATTTCAAACAGATATTGCAGTGGCAAATCCCAAAATTCATGGCCCTGAGGCCACTCTCCCCTGAGCCCAGGTGTCACCTCACCCAGAGGCTCTGCGCTTGGACACCCTTCATGCCTTTGTGGCCTGGAGCCTGCCCTCCCTCCAACCATATCCTGGTGTGTGGAAGGGGACAGGGAGCATCCGCAAGGGCCCAGGCTCCATCCCCACCTGACAGATGCATGGGCTGTGTACTCCTGCTGTGACCCTCAGCCCCAGGCCCAGTGTGGCAGACCAAAGGCTCCCAGGATGCCAGCTCCTCAGAAGGCAGGGAGAGATGGGCCAAGTTGGTCCAGGTGCCATCCGTTGCTGGGGAAGGGCCATAGGTGAAGGCATCCAGTGCACTGCCATTGCCGGCTGAGAACCAGATGGGGCTGTCAAGGCCAGGGGGTGCAACATCAAGGACCAGGCAGACCACCACCATCTGCTGCTTTCCATCCACCAGCAGCATGATTGGTGGGGCCAGAGAAGGAAAGGGTGTGCCGCCCACACCTGCAAGAGAGCATGTACCTGTGGGTGCTAGACCAGCTTTTGGCCTCCCAGGCCAGCATTGTGTTGTAGGCTAGGGTTCTACATTTCTGTCTTTCCATCCATCCATCCTTCCACCATCCATCTACATGTCCTTCTAGCCACTCATCCATTCCTCCTTGCATTTTCCCATCTAGCCACCCTTCCTTCCCTCCATCTGCCCATCCTTTCATTCACTCACCTGTTTATCCATCCTTTCTTCTATCAGCCATCTATCCTCCATGTATTCTTTCTTTCTTTTTTTTTTTTTTGAGATGGAATTTTGCTCTGTTGCCCAGGCTAGAGTGCAGTGGCGCGATCTCAGCTCACTGCAAGTTCCACCTCCTGGGTTCATGCCATTCTCCTGCCTCAGCCTCCTGAGTAGCTGGGACTACAGGTGCCCGCCACAGCGCCCGGCTAATTTTTATTTTTATTTTTAGTAGAGACGTGTTAGCCAGGATGGTCTCGATCTCCTGACCTCGTGATCCACCCGCCTCGTCCTCCCAAAGTGCTGGGATTACAGGTGTGAGCCACCATGCCCGGCCACCTCCATCTATTCTTTCTACCTTTCATCTATGTGTCTATCTATCCATCTACCCACCTCTCCTTCCATCCACTTGTCTATGATATCCGAGCCCCTTTCTGTTCCAGGAACTAGAGATACAACATTGGGTAAGTCATTGTCCCTGCTCTCAAGGAACTCAGTTCCATGGGAAAGACAGTAGATGTGTAAAAAAAATACTTGTAATACCCTGTTGTGGCAGCCTCTGGTGAGGAAGGGAAGGAAACAGGACCTGGAATGAGATTAGAAGGGGCTTCAAATATATCTGTAACTTTTTGTTTCTTTTTTTAAAAGTCTGATTTAAATATGGCAAAATGTTAAACGTTTGTTAATCTAGGTGGAGTGTGCTTGGGTATTTTTTCTTTTATTCTCAGCCTTTTTCTGTAGCCTGTAGTTTTGTTTGTTTGTTTTTTTGCTTGCTTTTTGAGACGGAGTCTTGCTACGTCTCCCAGACTGGAGTGCAGTGGCACCATGTCGGCTCACTGCAACCTCTGCCTTCTGGGTTCAAGCCATTCTTCTGCCTCAGCCTCCCAAGTTCCCACGCCACCAAGCCAGTTCATTTTTATTTTTATGTTTTTACTAGAGACTGGGTTTCTCCATGTTGGTCAGGCTGGTCTCTGACTCCTGACCTCAGGTGATCTGCCCGCCCTGGCCTCCCAAAGTGCTAGGATTACAGGCGTGAGGCACCACACCCAGCCTTTTTTTTTTTTTTTTTTGAAAAAAAAAGCTTTGTTGGCCGGGCACGGTGGCTCATGCCTGTAATCCCAGCACTTCGGGAGGCCAAGGTGGGCAGATCACGAGGTCAGGAGATCGAGACTATCCTGGCCAACATGGTGAAACCCCATCTCTACTAAAAATACAAAAATTAGGTGGGCTTAGTGGTGTGTGCCTGTAATCCCAGCTACTTGGGAGGCTGCGGCAGGAGAATCACTTGAACCAGGGAAGCGGAAGTTGCAGTGAGCCTAGATCACGCCACTGCACTCCAGCCTGGCGACAGAGCAAGACTCTCTCTCAAAAAAAAAAAAAAAAAAAAAAAAGAAGCTTTGTTGGCTGGGTGCGGTGGCTCACGCATGTAATCCTAGCACTTTGGGAGGCTGAGGCAGGGCGATCACCTGAGGTCAGGAGTTTGAGACCAGCCTGGCCAACATGGTGGAACCCCATCTCTACTAAAAATACAAAAATTAGTCGGGCGTGGTGGTGCATACCCGTAGTCCCAGCTACTCAGGAGGCTTGAAGCAGGAGAATCGCTTAAACCCAGAGGCGGAGGTTGCAGTGAGCCAAGATCATGCCACTACACTCCAGCCTGGGCAACAGCACAAGATTCTGTCTCAAAACAACAACAACAACAAAAAAGGCTGGGTGTGGTGGTTCATGCTTGTAATCCCAGCACTTTGGGGGGCCAAGGCAGGCAGATCACCTGAGGTCAGGAGTTCGAGAACACCCTGGCCAACATGGCGAAACCCCATCTCTACTAAAAATACAAAAAAATTAGCTGCGTGTGGTGGCACGTGCCTGTAGTCCCAGCTACTCTGGAGACTGAGGCACAAGAATCGCTTGAACCCGGGCAAAGGTTGCAGTGAGCTGAGATCGCGTCACTGCACTCCAGCCTGGGTGACAGAGTGAAAAAAAAAAAAAAAAGCTTTGTTTAGATATAGTCCACATACCAGACAATTCACCCATTTGAAGTATAGGTGTATTATTTAATAATCTTAAGAACTAAGTCATGGCTGGGCGCTGTGGCTCAAGCCTGTAATCCCAGCACTTTGGGAGGCCAAGGTGGGTGGATCACGAGGTCAGGAGATAGAGACCATCCTGGCTAACACGGTGAAACCCCGTCTCTACTAAAAATACAAAATAATTAGCCGGGCGTGGTGGCAGCCGCCTGTAGTCCCATTTACTCGGGAGGCTGAGGCAGGAGAATGGCGTGAACCCGGGAGGCGGAGCTCGCAGTGAGCCAAGATCGCGCCACTGCACTCCAGCCTGGGCGACAGAGCAAGACTCCGTCTCAAAAAAAATAAAAATAAAAGAAAGAACTAAGTCATATGGGTACTACAAACATTTTTCCTATATTTTCCAAAATAATCCCTATTTCCCACAATCTTTTATTATTTTTTATTATTTTATTTTTTTGAGACGGAGTCTCTCTCTGTCGCCCAGGCTCAAGTGCAGTGGCGCGATCTCGGCTCACTGCAAGCTCCGCCTCCCGGGTTCACGCCATTCTCCTGCCTCAGCCTCACGAGTAGCTGGGACTACAGGCGCCCGCCAACACGCCTGGCTAATTGTTTATATTTTTAGTAGAGAAGGGGTTTCACTGTGTTAGCCAGGATGGTCTCCATCTCCTTGCCTCGTGATCCGCCTGCCTCGACCTCCCAAAGTGCTGGGATTACAGGCGTGAGCCACCTCACCCGGCCTATTATTATTATTTTTTGAGACAGGGTCTAGCTCTGTCATCCAGGCTGGACTGCAATGGTGTGATCACAGTTCACTGGAGCCTTGACCTCCTGGCCTGCCAAGTAGCTGTGACCACAGGCACGTGTCACAACACCCGGCTACATTTTTAAAATACCTGTAGAGACATGGGTCTCCCTATGTTGCCTGGGGTGGTCTCAAACTCCTAGGCTCAAGCTATTCTTCCACCTCAGCCTCCCAAAGTGCTGGGATTACAGACGTGAGCCACCGCACCTGGCCCAGAATGTTATTTTTGAACATTGTAATTTTTTTTCTTTTTTTTTTGAGACAGAGTCTCTCTCTCTTGCCCAGGCCGGAGTGCAATGGCATGATCATGGCTTACTGAGGCTTTGACCACCCGGGTTCAGGCAGTCCTCCCACCTCAGCCTTCCCAGTAGCAGGGACTACAGGCACGTGCCACCATACCTGGCTAATTTATTTTTTATTTTTTGTAGAAATAGGGTTTCACTATGTTGTCCTAGCTGGTCTTGAACTTCAGCGCTCAAGAGATCCTCATGCCTGGGCCTCCCAAAGTGCTGGGATTATAGGCATGAGCCACTTTGTCCAGCCTGCAGTTTTTTGTGAATTAGGTATAGCCAAACGAAAGAAATGTCCCAGAGTGCAGGGAAGGAGGCCAGAGAATCTTGTGAGGATGTAGGGGTAAAGGGTACTTAGGAAAGATTTCTTACAAGCCAAATAATTAGCCTAGGCCAGGCGTGGTGGCTCACGCTTTTATTCCCAGCACTTTGGGAGGCTGAGGTGGGCAGATCACAAGGTCAGGAGATCGAGACCATCCTGGCTAACATGGTGAAACCCCGTCTCTACTAAAATACAAAAAATTAGCCGGGCGTGGTGGCACGCGCCTGTAATCCCAGCTACTCTGGAGGCTGAGGCAGGAGAATTGCACTCCAGCCTGGCGACAGAGCGGGACTCTGTCTCAAAAAATTAAAAAAAAAAAAAATAGGTGGACGGATCATGAGGTCAGGAGATCGAGACCATCCTGGCTAACATGGTGAAACCCTGTCTCTACTAAAAATACAAAAAATTAGCCAGGCATGGTGGCAGGCACCTGTAGTCCCAGCTACTCGGGAGGCTGAGGCAGGAGAATGGCGTGAACCCGGGAGGCGGAGCTTACAGTGAGCCAAGATTGCACCACTGCACTCCAGCCTGGGCGACAGTGCGAGACTCTGTCTCAAAAAAAAAAAAAAAAAAATTATCCTACTAACACATAAATGGTAAGTTGTCCATTCAGGATTTGAACTCTCAGATCTCTGTGACTCCAAATCCCCTAAACCATCTCACTTTGAAGGATGACTAAGATTTTGCCATGTGACACAGTGGACCGTCTAGGACATAGCTTCAGACAGAGCTAAGCGTGACTCCTGACTCATTCACTTAATTTTCTGAGTCTTTATTTTATTTCATTATTATTATTATTATTATTTTTGAGATGGAGTCTCACTCTGTTGCCCAGGCTGGAGTGCAGTGGCAGGATCTCTGTTCACTGCAACCTCCACCCACCGGGGTTCAAGCGATTCTCCTGCCTCAGCCTCCTGAGTAGCTGGGATTACAGGCACCTACCACCACGCGTGGCTAATTTTTGTATTTTTAGTAGAGATGGGGTTTCACCATCTTGGCCAGGCTGGTCTTGAACTCCTGACCTCGTGATCCACCTGCCTCAGCCTCCCAAAGTGCAAAGTGCTAGGATTACAGGCATGAGCCCCATGCCTGGCTTTTTTTTTTTTTGAGACTGATTCTGGTTCTGTCGCCTAGCCTGGAGTGCAGTGGTGGGATCTTGGCTCAGTGCAACCTCCTCCTCCCGGGTTCAAGCAATTCTCCTGCCTCAGCATCCTAAGTAGCTGGATTACAGGCACCTGCCACCATGTCCAGCTAATTTTTGTATTTTTTAGTAGAGATGGGGTTTCGTCATGTTGGCCAGGCTGGTCTCAAACTCCTGACTTCAAGTGATCTGCCCGCCTTGGCCTTCCAAAGTGCTGGAATTACAGGCGTAAGCCACCGCGCCCAGCCAATTTTCTGACTCTTTTTGTTTGTTTTGTTTTGTTTTCATTATGTATGTATTTATTTATTTATTTAGGTTGAAGGAACAATATTTTTTGTGAGTCCCAATGGTCTCATCAATATAATGGTGTTAGGCCGGGCTCAGTGGCTTATGCCTGTAATCCCAGCACTTTGGGAGGCTGAGTCAGGTGAATCACTTGAAGTCAGGAGTTCGGGACCAGCCTGGCCAACGTGGTGAACCCCTGTTTCCACTAAAAATACAAAAATTAGCCGGGCATGATGGTGGGCGGCTGTAATCCCAGCTACTTGGGAAGCTGAGGCAGGAGAACCGCTTGAACCTGGGAGGCAGAGGATGCAGTGAGTTGAGATTGTGCCATTGCACTCCAATCTGGGCAACAGAGCAAACTCTGTCTAATAATAATAATAATAATAATAATAATAATAATAATAATAATATAACGGGCTGGGTGAGGTGGCTCACGTCTGTAATCCCAGCACTTTGGGAGGCTGAGGCGGGCGGATCATGAGGTCAGGAGTTCAAGACCAGCCTGGCCAACACAGTGAAACTCCGTCTGTACTAAAAATACAAAAAATTAGCTGGGCGTGGTGGCAGGTGCCTGTAATCCCAGCTACTTGGGAGGCTGAGGCAGGAGAATCAAGTGAACCCGGGAGGTGGAGGTTGTAGTGAGCCAAGATCACACCATTGTACTCCAGCCCGGGCGACAGTGCGAGACTCTGTCTCAAAAATAAATAATAATAATAATAATAATAATAATAATAATAATAATAATATAATGCTGTTAATAATACCAGCCCAGCAAAATTGTTGTGAAGAGTAAAGGCCATAAGTGTAAAATGCCCTGGCAGATAAGTATTAGTGCAATTGTTGATATTAATATTAATAAGGCATTGCAAACAAAGGTAGTAGAGAAGGCTGGGCACGAGCTCCAGGACTCAACCTCCAGAGCCTTTTCAGTTATATAGATAGAGACATTCCCCAAGTTGAGTTCAGCTTCCACTTCTTCCATGAAGCATCCCAGGATTGTCCCTGCTTACCCTGGTTACTTCCTTCCCGAGCTCAGGCCTCCTGCCATGGGCTCCCTGTGTTCCACATAGGTGTGGTTTATCTCCCTAATGAAGGAGTGCCTGTGAGATACTTGGGGCCAGCTCTAGATCAAGGAGACCCCCCTGACTCAAAAGTCATGGACCTTCCCCCACCACGTACATGCACACATGCACATGCTTCTAGATGAAGCTGGAATTTTCCCCTCAAAACATGAGTCCTTTGGCTCCAGCCTTGATCATGGGAGGGCTGGGGGTAAATACCCTGGGAAGAGGCCTTGGGTCCTATCCTGAGCCCACTGATAAGCGTGAGCTGTGAGTGAACTTGAGACACCCTGAGTCCTATTGAACTAGGGCAGGCATCCTGAGGGCAAGAAGGACAGGACAGGACCTCACACTGTTACCCATATGACATCATTGCATATCACATCACACACACTGGCTACCCTAACCCCACCTTCTATGGATGTCCATCCAGTTTGTTCTCATTTCTCTATACCTCTAAGAGGGGCAGCCTCCCTATCAACACTGTGGGCTCCAGGGCAGGAGGACATAGGAGCCCCAGAGCAAGGTGGCTGGGAGGAAGAGTACAATGGGAAGAGTATAGTGGGGACCCTCTATATAGGGTCCCCTCCCCAGAGGTCCCCTCCCCAGAGGGACCCTCCCCAGAGGTCCCTAAATATCTCTTGTCCTGCCTCCCTGCAGCCCATCAGTACCCAGGGAGGTCCAGAGTGAGGGGATGGGCTTCGGCAGACTGAGGAGGGACAGAGAGGAAGGCAAAGAGGGGGCTCACCTGTGGGTAGGGCTGGACACCCAAGGGCCAGGAGAAGTAGCAGCCATGTACCGGCCATGGCCCACTCGGAAGGAGGCAGGACCCAGCTGCAGACCTGAGTTGCGGCTGGGGGAGGAGGCACCCACAAGACTGCCTTCTAGGCCACAGGCCCAGCTGCACCTCAGCTGCTCTACCACGAGCCGTTTCCCCTGGTGACGGGCCCCTACTCCTGCCCTGGCCCCCAAACCCAATCTTGTCTCACGGGCCAGGGAGCACAGGGTGCCTCTCCCACACCAGGAGCCGGACACCTGCACTCCCTCTGAAGAGACAGCACTTCAGTCTGCAAAGTCCCGCTTCAGGGCAGCTACCATCCACAGGACACGGAGCACCAGGTGGCTTGACAGGGGCTTGACATACAGCCCTTCACTTGATCCACTCAACCACTGAGTTACATTTCACAGGTGAGGCAACTGAGGCTCACAGAGAGTGAGGGACCCGCCCAGGGCCACACAGCTGACAGGTACCAGAGCCAGGGCTTGAACTGTTTTTAGATGGCTGGCTTTATTATAGGCAAAAAGATACCCAGGGCCAGGCGCAGTGGCTCACGCCTGTAATCCCAGCACTTTGGGAGGCTGAGACGAGCGGATCACAAGGTCAGGAGATCAAGACCATCCTGGCTAACACGGTGAAACCCCGTCTCTACTAAAAATACAAAAAAATTAGCTGGGTGTGGTGACGGGCACCTGTAGTCCCAGCTATTCAGGAGGCTGAGGCAGGAGAATGGTGTGAACCCGGGAGGTGGAGCTTGCAGTGAGCCAAGATTGTGCCACTGCACTCCAACCTGGGCGACAGAGCGAGACGCCATCTCAAAAAAAAAAAATAAAAAAAGATGCCCAGTAAACTTTTTGCCATGTTGTTACAGCCCTCCTTTTATTTATTTAATTTTTTTTTTTAGAGATGGGGTTCTTTCTTTGTTGCCCAGGCTAGAATGCGGCAGTACAATCATAGCTCACTGCAGTCTTGAACTCCTGGGCTCAAGTGATCCTCCTTCGTCAGCCTCCTGAGTAGCTAAGACCACAGGCATGCGCTACCACACCCAGCTAATTTATTTTTATTTTGATTTTTTGTAGAGATGGAGTCTTGCTTTGTTGCCTATGTTGGTTTCGTACTCCTGGGCTCAAGCGATCCTCCTGCTCTGGCTTCCCGAAGTGCTGGGAGTACTGGTGTGAGCCACATGCCTGGCATTTATTATACCATTTTAACTTTTTTTTTTTTTTTAAGAGACAGGCTTTTACTCTGTCACCCAGGCTGGAGTGCAGTGATGCGATCACAGCTCACTACACTCTTGAAATCCTGGGCTCAAGCAATCCTCCCACCTCAGCCTTTTGGATTTTTTGGAGACAGTCTGGCTTTATCACTCAGGCTGGAGTGCAGTGGCATGATCTCACCTCAATGCAACATCTGCCTCCCAGTCCCAAGCGATCCTCCTGCCTCACCTTCCCAAGCAGCTGGGACCACAGGCACATGCCACCACACCCAGCTAAATTTTTGTGTTTTTTGCAGAGACTGGGTTTCATCATATTGCCAGTCTGGTCTCGAACTCTTGAGCTCAAGTGATCCACCCTTCAAAGTTCTGGCATTACAGGCATGAGCCACTGTGCCTGGCGTCCTTTTGTTTTTAATCAGACATTCTGTTACAGCAGCCATTCCTTTATTGTTAGACATTTGGGTTTCCAGTTTGGGACAATGGCCATCTTTGTTCATAAAAGCTTTTCCAAATTTGCTTTTTTTTTTTTTTTTGGAGATGGAATCTCTCTCCGTCACCAAGCTGTAGTGCAGTGGTGTGATCTCGGCTCACTGAGACTTCTGCCTCCCGGGTTCAAGCGATTCTCCTGCCTCAGCCTCCAGAGTAGCTGGGACTACAGGCGTGCGCTACCATGCCCAGCTGATTTTTGTATTTTTAGTAGAGATGGGGTTTCACCATGTTGGCCAGGATGGTCTCGATCTCTTGACCTCTCAATCCGCCCACCTTGGCCTCCTAAAGTGCTGGGATTACAAGGGTGAGCCACCGCGCCCGGCTACTTTTTTTGTTTTTGAGACAGGGTCTTGCTCTGTCACCCAGACTGGAGTGCAGTGGTACAGTCAAGGCTCACTGCAACCTCCACCTCCCTGGCTCAAGCGATCCTCCTGCCTCACCCCCAAATTAACCTCTCCAGTAGCTAAGACCACAGGCGTGCGCCACCACCTGGCTAATTTTTTGTATTTTTGTAGAGATGGGATTTTACCATGTTGCCCAGGTTGGTCTAGAACTCCTGAGCTCAAATGATCTGCCTGCCTTGACCTCCCAATGTGCTGGGATCAGACTTGAGCCACCACACCCAGTCCCCCAAATTTACATTTATTTCCTTAAAATTATTGTCTAAAGGCCTCTGTAATTTTTTTGTGGTTTGTTGTTCAACTATTAAAAAATTATTTTTTTCTAGCTGGGCGCGGTGGTTCACGCCTGTAATCCCAGCACTTTGGGAGGCCGAGGGGCGGGGGGTGGATCACGAGGTCAGGGGTTCAAGATCAGCCTGACTAACATGGTGAAACCCCGTCTGTACTAAAAAATACAAAAATTAGCCAGGCATGGTGGTGCGTGCCTGTAATCCCAGCTACTCAGGAGGCTGAGGCAGGAGAATCACTTGAACCCGTGAGGCAGAGGTTGCAGTGAGCCGAGATGGTGCCATTGCACTCCAGCCGGGGTGAAAGAGCGAGACTCTGGCTCAAAAAGAAAAAAAAAAAAGAGACAAGATCCTGTTATTTTACCTGGACTGGAGTGCAGTGTCTATTCACAGATGTGATTGTCAAACTCATGGCCTCAGACTACAGAGTAGCTGGGACTACAGGGGCATGCTTCCATACCTGGCCATCCTAACCATTTGTAAGCATACATTTCAGTGGCCATTCATACTGCTGTGCAACCATCACCATCATCCATCTCTAGAATTTATCTTGCAAAAATGAAACTCTGTACCGTGGCAACCACCATTCCCATTCTACTCTTTCTTTCTTTCTTTTTTTTTTTTTTTTTGAGATGGAGTCTCACTCTGTCGCCCAGGCTGGAGTGCAGTGGTGTGATCTCGGCTCACTGCAACCTCCACCTCCCAGGTTCAAGTGATTCTTGTGCCTCAGCCTCCCAAGTAGCAGGGATTATAGGCAACTGCCACCATGCCCGGCTAATTTTTGTATTTTTAGTAGAGACAGGGTTTCACCATGTTGGCCAGGCTGGTCTCAAACTCTGACCTCAAGTGATCTGCCCACCTCGGTCTCCCAAAGTGCTGGGATTACAGGCGTGAGCCACCGTGCCTGGCCACCAACATTCTACTTTCTATAAATGAATTTGACTACCTCATTCAAGTAGAATCATACAGTATTTGTTTTTTGTGACCGGTTCATTTCATTTAGCACATGTCAAGTTTCATCCATGTTGAACCACGTGTCAGAATTTTCTTCCTTTTTAAAGCTGAATAATATCTCATTGTATGTATAGAGCACATTCTGCTTATCCATTAATCTGTGGGTGGACACTGGGCTGCTTCCACATTTTAGCTATCACGAACATGACTTAATGATAGCTAAAGTGGTATTGACCTCAAAGGAAGAGGCTGAAGCACCAAATATCATTTAAAGAGTTTACTTGATGATGCCTGTAATCCCAGCACTTTGGGAGGCCGAGGAGGGAGGACTGCTTGAGGCCAGGAGTTCATAATGATATCCATTATGAACACAGATATCTCTTTGAGACTTTCCTTCTTTCTTTCTTTTTTTTTTTTTTTTTTTTTTGAGACGGAGTTTCGCTCTTGTTGCCCAGGCTAGAGTGCAATGGCACGATCTTGGCTCACCACAACCTCCGCCTCCCGGGTTCAAGAGATTCTCCTGCCTCAGCCTCCCAAGTAGCTGGGATTACAGTCACCGCCACCATGCCCAGCTAATTTCGTATTTTTAGTAGAGATGGGGTTTCTCCATGTTGGTCAGGCTGGTCTTGAACCCCCGACCTCAGGTGATCCGCCCGCCTCGGCCTCCCAAAGTGCTGGGATTACAGGCGTGAGGCACCGCGCCTGGCCTTGAAACTTCTTTAGTCTGGTGCCAGCCTCACTCGATTTCCGTCTGGATGGCTATTTTAATAATCCTGTGGATGGCGCTCTCCTGACGGTCCTGAGGGAACACTCTGCCTCCAGGGCTGCGCTCCCGGCCCTTGCTTTCCCAGGGCTGCCTGGAGGCCGCGGTCCCCGCGCGTTCCCAGGCACAGCCCGCGCCCAGGTGCGCGCCGTCGCGGTGGGTTCCCCCCCGGGAGGGGGAGGGAGCGGGGCAGGTGTCCCTAACGACTCTCCCACCCTCCAGCCCAGGGAGGAGCTGGCTCGGGCTCGGTTACCACATTACAGATGGGGAAAGAGCTCTCCTGCCTCTTTCAGATTGCAGGATCTTCCCAAGAACCGGAAGGAGGAAGACCCCCTCCACCCCCGCCCCCGAGCCAGCCGCCTCTATCTGCAGTAGCTGACCCTTCCGCCTGTCCGCTCCGGCTCCCGCGGGGCTCAGGCGTCCCTGGCCACCGCAGCCTGGAAGCGTTCCTTGCCTGCTCCTCACATTGGTCTCCTCTTGCTGAGATCCCCGAGTCTCCCTCGGACCCCATAGTCTTGCTGGCCCTGAAGACGCCTTGCCCTGGGCGGACGGCCTTTTAACTGGACTTGGGCGAACCTATCATTCGCTGGCCAGGACTCGTTCCCAGATATCTAATTTAATCCTCACAACCATCCCACCAGGTGTTACCGGCTAAGGAAACGGGCCCAGAAAAACTAAGTTGAAACGGCGAAGATACCCTAGCAGGCCAGTGGTGGAGCCAGCTGGAGGCGGCAGTTCAGCAGAGGGATGTGTTTACAGGGCTGTCTCTTCCAAAGCTCATTCACAAGGCTGCCGGGGCAGAGAAATGAAATAGGGGCGCCCATCTGCGTGCCTGGGGCATGGCAGGTGCTCACGCTAATTGATACCTCCCCTCCATTTTTTCTTATGTACCGGTGGAAAACCGAGGGCCCATGGAAAGCTGAGACGAGCCACGTAGGATGTGAAAAATAAAATTAAGAAAAAGTAGGCCGGGCGTGGTGGCTTACGCCTGTAATCCCAGCACTTTGGGAGGCCAAGGCGGGCGGATCACCTGAGGTTAGGAGTTCGAGACCAGCCTGGCCAACATGGAGAAACCCCGTCTCTACTAAAAATACAAAATTAGCCGAGTGTGGTGGCACGCGCCAGTAGTCCCAGCTACTTGGGAGGCTGAGGCAGGAGAATCGCTTGAACCCAGGAGGTGGAGGTTGCAGTGAGCCGAGATCACGCATTGCACTCCAGCCTGGGCAACAAGAGCGAAACTCTGTCTCAAAAAAAAAAAAAAAAAAAAAAAAAGTCCCCTTCAGGAATGCTGACAGGGGCACACCTATTTAATTTATCAAATGAAAAGCTACAGTGTTATTTATAACAAAAAAAATCACCTAAATGTTCAATGATAAGGAAATAGCTAAATAAAATATGGTGGATATGCACGATGAAATAGTATACAAGCCTAAAATGTTCATTCATTCTTTCATTCAGAACCATTTATTGGTCTCTGCCTTTTTTTTTTTTTTTTTTTTTTTTTTGAGACAGAGTCTCGGTCTGTCACCCAGGCTGGAGTGCAGTGGCACAATCTCGGCTCACTGCAACCTCCACCTCCCGGGTTCAAGCGATTCTCCTGCCTCAGGCTCCTGAGTAGCTGGGATTACAGGCGCCCACCACCACACCCGGCTAATTTTTGTATTTTTAGTAGAGACAGGGTTTCACCATGTTGGTCAGGCTGGTCTCGAACTCCTGACCACGTGATCCGCCCACCTCGACCTCCCAAAGTGCTGGGATTACAGGTGTTAGGCACCAGGCCCGACCTATTGGTCTCTGCTTTATGCCAGGAATTGGGGCTGGGGATAATCAGACAAAAAGAGATGCTCTCAGCAGTCAAGAGGGAAGAGACAGGTAGGGGACCTGGAGTGTTAACAGATACTGTGCCTAAGCAACACACTACACGCACGCACACACACACACACACACACACGCCCACACACCCAAGCATAAGTGCAGAGTTAGAGGGCGGGGTCCTGGGGGAGGGGCTCTTTCTTGTAGAGTGGGTGGGAATCAGAACAAGTGCTTTAGAAGTTTATACTTGGGGGCCGGGCGCGGTGGCTTACGTCTGTAATCCTAGCACTTTGGGAGGTGGGCTGATCACAAGGTCAGGAGATCGAGACCATCCTGGCTAAAACGGTGAAACGCCATTTCTACTAAAAATATAAAAAATTAGCCGGGCGTGGTGGCACACACCTACCCAGCTACTCAGGAGGCTGAGGCAGGAGAATCGCTTGACCCCACGAGGCGGAGGTTGCAGTAAGCCGAGCTCACACCACTGCACTCCAGCCTGGGCGACAGAACGAGACTCTGTCCCCCCCCAAAAAATTTATACTTGAGGCTTGACGCAGTGGCTAATGCCTGTAATCCCAGCACTTTGGACTTTGGGAGGTTAAGGTGGGAGGTGAGGCGGGTGCGGTGGCTCACACCTGTAATCCCAGCACTTTGGGAGGCCGAGGCGGGCGGATCACAAGGTCAGGAGATCGGGACCATGGTGAAACCCTGTCTCTACTAAAAATCCAAAAAAAATTAGCTGGGCACGGTGGCGGGCGCCTGTAGTCCCAGCTACTCAGGAGGCTGAGGCAGGAGAATGGCGTGAACCCGGGAGGCGAAGCTTGCAGTGAGCCGAGATCGCGCCACTGCACTCCAGCCTGGGCGACAGAGAGAGACTCCGTCTCAAAAAAAAAAAAAAAAAGGTGGGAGGTGAAGGATTGGTTGAACTCAAGACTTCCAGACCAGCTTGGGCAACATAGCAAGACCTCTCTCTACAAAAAAATTCTTCTAGTGGTTATAGACGTTAGATGTAATAGTGAGGAGGCCTCTGCCACCCCTCCCTCTTGGTGGTATATATGACTGTGGTTTTGATTTAAAAAATATACTGCATCGGCCGGTCATGGTGGCTCACACCTGTAATCCCAGCACTTTGGGAGGCCGAGGTGGGCAGATCACAAAGTCAGGAGTTCGAGACCAGCCTGGCCAATATGGTGAAACCCTGTCTCTACTAAAAATACAAAAAAAATATATAAATAATTAGCTGGGCGTGGTGGCGGGGTGCCTGTAGTCCCAGCTACTCGGGAGGCTGAGGCAGGAGAATCGCTTGAATCCGGGAGGCGGAGGTCACATTGAGCTGAGATAGCGCCACTGCACTCCAGCCTGGGCGACAGAGCAAGACTCCATCTCAAAAACAAAAAACAAAACACCCTGCATCCTGTAGGGTAGCACCCTACCCTGCCAGAGGTAGTGTCCCAGCTGTGCTCTAATAGAGGCCAATCTACCATTCTATCCAGCCAGCTGCTTCTGGTCCATGGGGTACATGGTAAGGCCAGTGAATTCATTGAGTGTGAGCTCATTTGTACATTTCCTTGGCTGTAACATGTATTGCCCTGGTTGGAGGCTATATTATGTTGAATGCCATGCTGATGGATATGGCATTCAGTAAGTCCATGAGTGGTGGTGCTGATGGAAGCACTGTAGGTAGAGACAGCAAATTCATACATGAAATATGTGCCTATCCTCATGAAGATAAAATACAGCCCCTTCGTGATGGGAGGACCCAGTCAAACCAATCTACAATGAGGTGAGAATGATGCCCAATCAGGGACTCAGCACTAGGCTGTGAGGAGGTCGACGCTCAGCACTGGCCACAGCCAGATCAGCCTCAGAGAGGAGAAGACTCTGTTACTGAGCCCAGACATAGCTTCCATCCCTGTCACCATGGCCACTTTATATCTTTGCACAAGCCCTGGGGGCAGCTGGGAAAGCAGCTGACCATCGTCCACAGGACTGTCATCTTGTCCACCTGGTGATGATTTAGTCCCTTTGCCTTGTTGTGGGCTATTATATCCACCTTGCCTTTGTTAAGTAAGCATCACCATTTGGCCTTTGTACCACCAAGATGCTATTATTCTCATTGAGATCAGGGAATCCAGTTCCACTGATCCATCCAGCACACCCCACTAGCTCTCTAGTCAAGACAGGACAGTCATCAGAGCAAGTCAAGGATGCTGGTGGCCCTCACGAACGCATTTCTTAATGCTTTCATAAAGGGAGTGTTTTCCAGACCCTCCTAAAATATGTGGCAGCAGTGGCTAAGAAGGTGCGCATCATAGATCCAGTCCAGCATTCCCGTCTCCCGGGGACTTCTGATTCCTTCTTCTACAGAATGCCAGGGAAGTTCTGGCATTTCATGCTTATTAACTGTAGGCTACTACTTAATCCAGACTTTAATTAGCCAATCTAGCCAACTATTAATTCTCCTCCCAGGTGCTCAGGCCAACACAGTAAATCCCAAATCCTGGATAAGGATCCACGGCAACGAGTTTGGACAAACCAAGGCTTCCATCCCCCCACCTTGGTCTAGCTCCCTCAGCACACACTCCCACACATGCTCCTGCAGCTTCTGCCAAGACAAGCTGGCCAGGCCTGTAACTCAGCCCGGCGTCCCCCTCTCAGCGTGACCTTGTGCTTCTCCATGGGCTGTGCTGGGACCTAACTCATGAAGGGCCTGGGGCCCAAGAGGGATGGGGGCAGGGAGGGTTCTGAGGCTGATGTTTTGGGAGGAGGGAGCAGTATTAGAGGAGCTTATCTCTACAGACATGAGAATTTCAAGGGAATTTGGGGTTTCAAAGTTCTCAGTCTTATTCATGTCTGCCTAAATGTCTCCATCTCATCTCAGGCTCCCAGACCTTTCCCAGCAATGCCCTTACTTTAGCATAAGAGACTTGGAGGGCTAAGCATTTACTTAGCACTGAATCTCGGCAACCTTTACAATGACATCCCGGTCCTGTCCTTAGTCACATGTGCCTGTGCCTGGAGGAGATGAGGGGCTCCTTCAAGTTGCCATCAAGGGATTCTTTTTTTGTTTTGTTTTTGAGAGGGATTCTCGCTTTGTCACCCAGGCTGGAGTGCAGTGGCGCCATCTCGGCTCACCTCAAACTCTGCCTACCAGGTTCAAGTGATTCTCCTGCCTCAGCCTCCCGAGTAGCTAGGATTAGAGGTGCCCGCCACCACGCCTGGATAATTTTGTGTTTTTAGTAGAGACAGAGTTTCACCATGCTGGCCAGGATGGTCTCGAACTCCTGACATCAGATGATCCACCTGCCTCAGCCTCCCAAAGTGCTGGGATTACAGGCGTGAGCCACCATGCCACCTAATTTCTGTATTTTTAGTTGAGATGGGGTTTTACCATGTTGGCCAGCCTGGTCTCGAACTCCTGACTTCATGTTATCCGCTTGCCTTGGCCTCCCAAAGTGCTAGGATTACAGGCATGAGTCACCACACCTGGCCGTGTCTGTCTATCTATCTATTTATCTCTATCTATCTATCATCTTTCTAGCTATATCTGTTGAGACAGGGTCTCACTCCCATTGCTCAGTCTGGAGTGCAGTGGCACGATCTCGGCACACTGCAGCCTTGACCTTCCAGGCTAAATTGATCCTCCCACCTCAGCCTCTCACGTAGCTGAGACTACAGGTGTGCACCACCTTGCCTAGCTAATTTTTTGTATTTTTAGTAGAGATGGGGTTTTGCTATGTTGCCCAGGCTGGTCTCAAACTCCTGGTTGCAAGTGATCTGCCTGCCTTGACCTTCCAAAGTTCTGGGATTATAGGCATGAGCCACTGCGCCTGGCCGAGAAATATCTTAAATAACCGATGAAAGATGTCTGACGAATTATAAATGAGCTTAGGGATGTTTGGAACCTATCTCTAGACCTAGAGGTTGATACCTGGCCTTGCTACCCCCTGCTGAAATAACCTCTTGGCCTCTGGTGCCCTGGCTGACTCAAGGAGAGGCTCTAGATTTACCTGGATGGGAAATACCATTGCCTCTGTCTGTTTATTCAATTTTCCTTATTTTCTCTCCCTGCCTTCTGCATGCATATCTGTGGCAGTGCATGAGCTTAGATGGCTGCCCACAGGGCAGGGGCCTCTGAGCCCCATCAAGGGGAGGCAGCCTGGTTTAATGGAAGAGCATTGGGTCAGGAGTCAGGAGGCCTCGGTTCCAAACCCAGCTGTTACTTCCTTTCATGGACTTGGTTAGCTATCTAAGAGGGTTTGGACTCAGTGATGTTTGAGGTCCTTCTTGTCAATCCCTAATTCCTAACTTGTCCTGATCATTTTATGGGGTTGTGCTGTGGACAAAATGAAAGAATGTGAGAGAAGATTTAAGAATGACACTGAGATGATCCCCCACTTCCCAACCACATGCACATCACTCTCCCTAATTCCGAGGACATTTGACTTTTACTGTGGCTGGGAGAACACCCAAGTCCGTTTTGACATCATAGGCATGCTTTCATCTTGCACTTGGCTGGCAGGAAAGGAGGCAATGGTATAGCAAGAAACCAGAGCCTCCCAGCAAGGATCTTGGGAGTAGAACCAGGGCCAAGGACATCTGGGAAAGAAAGTGAACCTGGTGAGTTAGGAAGAAATCCTTAGGGGAAGAACTGAAGGAGTCTGCCCGGGGAATTGACCCAGGCCACAGACGTGATAAGTTCTTCCATCGCGTAGTATTCTGTTAACTACCAACTGGCGTACTGCGGTTCAATTCTGGCACTCACCATCCAGAGCTAGTGCAGACCCCGCAAGTTAAAATGCACAATCCCCAAGAAAACTGCCTTTACTTCAGAGGTCAGCTGCAAGGTCAGGGGGATTCTCAGGTCACCCACACTTCTGACTGACTGGCTACAAATTTGGGGGTTTCTCATGATCCCCCTCAGATTCAATAAGTCACTACAACAACTCACAGAACTCAGGAAAGTGCTATTCTTATGATTACAGTTTTATTATGGAGGATAGAAATCAGCACAACCAGCCAGGGAGACATGCAGGGCAAGTGTGAGAGGGTTCTGAATGCAGAGATACCATGCCCTCTCCCTGCGGAATCAGGCAGGTTATGTCGCCCTCTGCCCTCTGACACTCCATATGTTCATCAACCAGGGCACTCCAGAGTTCTGTATCCAGAAGTTTTTTTGTTGTTGCTTGTATTTTTTTTTTTTTTTGAGACAGAGTCTCTATCTGTCACCCAGGCTGGAGTGGCACGATCTTGGCTCACTGCAACCTCCACCTCCCAGGTTCAAGCGATTATCCTGCCTCAGCCTCCCAAGTAGCTGGGATTACAGGTGTGTGCCACCGCAACCAGCTAATTTTTGTATTTTTAATAGAGACGGGGTTTCACATTGGCCAGGATGGTCTTGATCTCTTGACCTCATGATCCGCCTGCTTCGGCCTCCCGAAGTGTTGAGATGACAGGCGTGAGCCACCATGCCCAGCCTGTTTGTTTGTTTTTGAGACAGGGTCTGGCTGTGTTGTCCAGGCTGGAGCACAGTGGCATGATACGGCTCACTGTAGCTTTTATCTCTCAGGCTCAAGTGATCCTCCCACCTCAGCCTCCCATGTAGCTGGGACTGCGGGTGCATGTCACCACACCCGGCTAATTTTATTCTTTTTTGTAGAAACGGGATTTTGCTCTCTGGTTCAGGTTGGAGACTCAAGCTCCTGGGCTCAAGCAATCCTCCTGCCTTGGCCTCCCCAAAGTGCTGGCAGTACAGGCCTGAGGTACCACTCCCAGCCTGCATTCAGAGTTTTTTCTTTCTTTTTTTTTTTTTTATCAGAGTTCCATTACATAGGCATAGTTGATTAAATCACTGGCTGGAGATTCAGTTCCATTTCCCCTCCCTGAACCTCAAGTGGATTGAATCCCCAATCTCTAATCACAGAGTTGGTCTTTCTGATATGGTCAGCTCCTATCCTGAAACTGCTTATGGCCCACCATGAGTCACCGAATTAGCATAAACTATCTGGGCCATAAATATCACTCTTAGTACTTGAGAAATTCTAAGGATTGAGTCTCCCTCCCAAGCACCAGGGACAAAGGCCAAATTCTATTTTTTTTTTTTTTTTTTTTTTTTTTGAGATGGAGTCTCACTCTATCGCCCAGGCTGGAGTGCAGTGGTGCAATCTCCACTCACTGCAAGCTCCACTCCCAGGTTCACGCCATTCTCCTGCCTCAGCCTGTCGAGTAGCTGGGACTACAGGCGCCCGCCACCACGCCTGGCTAATTTTTTTGTATTTTTAGTAGAGACAGGGTTTCACCGTGTTAGCTAGGATGGTCTCGATCTCCTGATCTCAGGTGATCCACCCGCCTCGGCCTCCCAAAGTGCTGGGATTACAGGCGTGAGCCACCGTGCCCGGCCAATTTTTGTATTTTTAGTGGAAATGGAGTTTCTCCATGTTGGTCAGCCTGGTCTCGAACTCCTGATCTCAGGTGATCTGCCCGCCTCAGCCTCCCAAAGTGCTAGGATTACAGGCGTGAGCCACCATACCCAGCCTACGCCAAACTTGTAGGGAAAAGAGAGAGAGATCAGACTGTTACTGGGTCTACATAGAAAAGGAAGACATAAGAAAGTCCATTTTGATCTGTACCCTGAACAATTGTTTTGCCTGGAGATGCTGTTAATCTGTAACTTTAGCCCCAACCTTGTGCTCACAGAAATATGTGTTGTATGGAATCAAGGTTTAAGGGATCTAGGGCTGTGCAGGATGTGCCTTGTTAACAAAACGTTTACAGGCAGTATGCTTGATAAAAGTCATCGCCATTCTCCATTCTCGATTAACCAGGGGCACAATGCACTGCAGAAAGCCACAGGGACCCCTGCCCAGGAAAGCCAGTATTGTCCAAGGTTTCTCCCCACTGAGACAGCCTGAGGTATGGCCTCGTGGGACGGGAAAGACCTGACCATCCCCCAGCCCAACACCCGTGAAGGGTCTGTGCTGAGGAGGATTAGTAAAAGAGGAAGGCCTCTTGCAGTTGAAATAAGAGGAAGGCCTCTGTCTCCTGCATGCCCCTGGGAACGGAATGTCTCAGTATAAAACCCGATTGTACATTCGTTCTATTCTGAGATAGGAGAAAACCGCCCTGTGGCTGGAGGTGAGATATGCTGGTGGCAATACTGCTCTGTTATTCTTTACTACACTGAGATGTTTGGGTGGAGAGAAGCATGAGTCTGGCCTATGTGCACATCCAGGCATAGTACCTTCCCTTGAACTTATTTGTGACACAGATTCCTTTGCTCACATGTTTTCTTGCCAACCTTCTCCCCGCTATCACCCTGTTCTGCCACATTCCCCTTGCTGAGATAGTGAAAATAATAATCAGTAAATACTGAGGGAACTCAGAGACGGGGGCCGGTGCAGGTCCTCTGTATGCTGAGCGCCAGTCTCCTGGGCCCCACTGTTCTTTCTCTATACTTTGTCTCTGTGTCTTATTTCTTTTTTTAGTCTCTCGTCCCACCTGACGAGAGATACCCACAGGTGTGGAGGGGCAGGCCACCCCTTCATCTGCCGCCAATGTGGGTGCCTTTCTCTAAGGTGAAGGTACATTAAGAACGTGAGCATTGAGGACAGTCGACGAGAGATTCCCGAGTACGTCCACCGTCAGCCTTGCGGTAAGCTTGTGTGCTCGGAGGAACCCAGGGTAACAATGGGACAAACTGAAAGTAAATATGCCTCTTATCTCAGCTTCATTAAAATTCTTTTAAGAAGAGGGGGAGTTAGGGCTTCTACAGAAAATCTAATTACGCTATTTCAAACAATAGAACAATTTTGCCCCTGGTTTCCAGAACAGAGAACTTTAGATCTAAAAGATTGGGAAAAAAATTGGCAAAGAATTAAAACAAGCAAATAGGGAAGGTAAAATCATCCTACTTACAGTATGGAATGATTGGGCCATTATTAAAGCAACTTTAGAACCGTTTCAAACAGAAGAAGATAGCATTTCTGCTGCCCCTGAAAGCTGTGTAATAGATTGTGAAGAAGAGGCAGAGACAGAGTTTAGGAAAGGAATGGAAAGTTCACATTGTAAATATGTAGCAGAGTCTGTAATGGCTTGGTCAACGCAAAATGTTGACTACAATCAATTAAAGGAGGTAATATATCATGAATAATCAAAATTGGGGGAAGGAGGTCCAGAATTATTGGGGCCATCAGAGCCTAAACCACGATGGCCATCAACTCCTCCCGTGGTTCAGATACCTGTAACATTACAACCTCAAAGGGAGGTTAGACAAGTACAAACCCCAAGAGAATATCAAGTAGAAAAGGATAGAGTCTCTATCCCGGCAATGCCAATTCAGATGCAGTATCCACAATATAAGCTGGTAGAAAATAAGACCCAACCACCAGTAATTTATCAGTACTGGCCGCCAGCCGACCTTCAGTATCGGCCACCTCCAGAGGTTAAATACAGACCTCAAGTGGTGTGTCCTGTGCCAAATAGCACGGCACCATACCAGCAACCCACGGCAGTGGTGTTTAATCCTACCGCACCACCTAGTGGACAAGGTAGTACACTGCATGAAATTATTGATAAAGCCAGTAAACAGGGAGATCTTGAGGCATGGGAGTTCCCGGTAATTTTACAACCGATACCGGCCGGGAAAGGGACTCTAGCAGGAGCGTCTGTCCAAACTGAAGCTAGATATGAATCTTTCACCATGAAAATGTTAAAAGATATGAAGGAAGGAGTTAATATGGACCCAACTCCCCTTATGTGAGAACATTATTAGATTCCATTGTTCATGGAAATAGACTTATTCCTTATGACTGGGAAATTTTGGCTAAATCTTCCCTTTCACCCTCTCAGTTTCTACAGTTTAAACCGTGGTGGATCGATGGAGTACAAGAACAGGTACGAAAAAATCAGGTTACTAACCCCACTGTTAATATAGATGCAGACCAATTGCTAGGAACAGGTCCAAATTGGAGCACCATTAACCAACAATCAGTAATGCAGAACACCTGTTGAACACCTAAGGGCTATTGAACACCTAAGGGCTATTTGCCTCAGGGCCTGGGAAAAAATTCAGGACCTGGGAACCACCTGCCCTTCTTTTAATTCAATTAGACAAGTCTCTAAAGAGCCATATCCAGACTTTGTGGCAAGGTTGCAAGATGCTGCTCAAAAATCTGTTACAGATGATAACGCCCGAAAAGATATTGTAGAATTAATGGCCTATCAAAATGCAAATCCAGAATGTCAATCGGCCATAAAGCCATTAAAAAGAAAAGTTCCAGCAGGAGTTGATGTAATTACAGAATAAGTGAAGGCTTATGATGGGATTGGAGGAGCTATGTATAAAGGCAATGCTAATGGCTGAAGCAATAGCGGGAGTCGCTTTAGGAGGACAAGTTAGAACATTTGGGAAAAAATGTTATAATTGTGGTCAAATCGGTCATCCGAAAAGGAGTTGCCCAGTCTTAAGTAAACAGAATATAATAAATCAAGCTGGCCGGGCACGGTGGCTCACACCCGTAATCCCAGCACTTTGGGAGGCCGAGGCTGGTAGATCACAAGGTCAGGAGGTCGAGACTATCCTGGCTAACATGGTGAAACCCCATCTCTACTAAAAATACAAAAAATTAGCCAGGCGTGGTGGCGGGTGCCTATAGTCCCAGCTACTCGGGAGGCTGAGGCAGGAGAATGGCATGAACCCAGGAGGCAGAGCTTGCAGTGAGCCGAGATCGCACCACTGCACTCCAGCCTGGGCAACAGAGCCAGACTCCGTCTCAAAAAAAAGAAAAATATAAATATAAATAAATCAAGCTATAACGGCAAAAAATAAAGAGCCACCTGGCCTGTGTCCAAAATGTGGAAAAGGAAAACATTGGGCTAATCAATGTCATTCTAAATTTGATAAAGATGGGCAACCATTGTTGGGGAAATGGGAAGAGGGGCCAGCCTCAGGCCCCGCAACAAATTGGGGCATTCCGATTCAGCCGTTTGTTCCTCAGGGTTTTCAGGGACAAAAACTCCCGCAGGAAATACCACCACTTCAGGGAGTCAGCCAATTACAACAATACAACAGCTGTCCCCTGCCACAGCAGGCAGCGCAGCAGTAGATTTGTGTTCTACTCAAATGGTTTCTTTACTCCCTGGAGAGCCCCCGCAAAAGATTCCTACAGGGGTATATGGCCCGCTGCCAGAAGGGACGGTAGGCCTTATTTTAGGGAGATCAAGTCTAAATTTGAAGGGAGTCCAAATTCATACTGGTGTAATTGATTCAGATTATAAAGGGGAAATTCAGTTAGTGATCAGCTCCACTGTTCCCTGGAGTGCCAATCCAGGTGATAGAATTGCACAATTACTGCTTTTGCCTTGTATTAAAATTGGGAAAAACAAAACGGAAAGAACAGGAGGGTTTGGAAGTACCAACCCTGCCGGAAAAGCCGCTTATTGGGCTAGTCAGGTCTCAGAGGATAGACCCGTGTGTGCAGTCACTATTCAGGGAAAGCAGTTTGAAGGATTAGTGGATACTGGGTGATGGTGCTATCATTGCCTTAAATCAATGGCCCCAAAATTGGCCTAAACAAAAGCCTGTTACAGGACTTGTCGGCGTAGGCACTGCCTCAGAAGTGTATCAAAGTGCCATGAGTTTACATTGTCTAGGACCTGATGATCAAGAAAGTACAGTTCAGCCTATGATCACTTCTATTCCAATTAATTTATGGGGCCGAGACTTGTTACAACAATGGCATGCAGCGATTACTATCCCAGCCCCCAATACAGCCCCACGAGTCAAAAAATCATAACTAAAATGGGATATCTCCCTGAAAAGGGACTAGGAAAGAATGAAGACAGCATTAAAGTCCCAATTGAGGCTGAAAAAACTCAAAAAAGAAAAGGAATAGGGTATCCTTTTTAAGAGCGGCCACTGTAGAGCCTCCAAAACCCATTCCATTAACTTGGAAAACAAAAAAACCTGTATGGGTGAATCAGTGGCTGCTACCAAAACAAAAGCTGGAGGCTTTACACTTATTAGCAAAGGAACAATTAGAAAAGGGACATATTGAGCCTTCATTTTCGCCTTGGAATTCTCCTGTGTTTGTAATTCAGAAAAAATCCGGCAGATGGCGCGTGCTGACCGACTTAAGAGCCGTTAATGCTGTAATTCAACCCATGGGGGCTCTCCAACCTGGGTTGCTCTCTCCGGTCATGATCCCCAAAGATCGGCCTTTAGTTATAATTGATCTGAAGGATTGCTTTTTTACCGTTCCTCTGGCAAAACAGGATTTTGAAAAATTTGCTTTTACTATACCAGCCATAAATAATAAAGAACCAGCCACCAGGTTTCAGTGGAAAGTGTTGCCTCAGGGAATGCTTAATGGTCCAACTATTTGCCAGACTTTTGTAGCTCAAGCTCTTCAACCAATTAGAGACAGTTTTCAGACTCTTATATCATTCATTATGTTGATGATATTTTGTGTGCTACAGAAAGGAGAGACAAATTAATTGACTGTTACACATTTCTGCAGACAGAGGTTGCAAACGCAGGACTGACGACAGCATCTGATAAGATTCAAACCTCTACTCCTTTCCATTACTTGGAAATGCAGGTGGAGGAAACGAAAATTAAACCATAAAAAATAGAAATAAGAAAAGACACATTAAAAACATTAAATGACTTTCAAAAATTGCTAGGAGATATTAATTGGATTCAGCCAACTCTAGGCATCTCTACTTATGCCATGTCAAATTTGTTCTCTATCTTAAGAGGGGATCCAGAATTGAATAGTAAAAGAACATTAACTCCAGAAGCAACTAAAGAAATTGAATTAGTTGAAGAAAAAATTCGGTCAGCACAAGTAAATAGAATAGATCACTTAGCCCCACTCCAACTTTTGATTTTTGCTACTGCACATTCTCCAACAGGCATTATTGCTCAAAATACAGATCTTGTGGAGTGGTTCTTCCTTCCTCATAGTACAATTAAGACTTTTACATTGTACTTGGATCAAATGGCTACATTAATTGGTCAGGCAAGATTACGAATAATAAAATTGTGTGAAAGTGACTCAGATAAAATCATTGTTCCTTTAAACAAGGAACAGGTTAGACAAGCCTTTATCAATTCTGGTGCATGGCAGATTGGTCTTGCTGATTTTGTGGGAATTATTGACAATCATTACCCAAAAACAAAAATCTTCCAGTTTTTAAAATTGACTACTTGGATTTTACCTAAAATTACTAGACATAAACCTTTAGAAAATGCTCTGACAGTGTTTACTGATGGTTCCAGCAATGGAAAAGCGGCTTACACCAGGCCAAAAGAACGACTCATTGAAACTCAATATCACTGGGCTCAAAGAGCAGAGTTGGTTGCTGTCATTACAGTGTTACAAGATTTTAATCAGCCTATTAACATTGTATCAGATTCTGCATATGTAGTACAGGCTACAAAGGATGTTGAGACAGCCCTAATCAAATATAGTATAGATGATCAGTTAAACCAGCTGTTTAATATGTTACAACAAACTGTAAGAAAAAGAAATTTCCCATTTTATGTTACTCATATTCGAGCACATACTAATTTACCAGAGCCTTTAACTAAAGCAAATGAACAAGTTGACTTGCTAGTATCATCTGCATTCCTGGAAGCACAAGAACTTCATGCCTTGACTCATGTAAATGCAACAGGACTAAAAAATAAATTTGACATCACATGGAAACAGGCAAAAAATATTGTACAACATTACACCCAGTGTCAGATTCCACACCTGCCCACTCAGGAGGCAGGAGTTAATCCCAGAGGTCTGTGTCCTAATGCGTTATGGCAAATGGATGTCACACATGTACCTTCAGTTGGAAAATTGTCATTTCTCCATGTGACAGTTGATGCTTATTCACATTTTGTAAGGGCAAACTGCCAGACAGGAGAAAATACTTCCCATGTTAAAAGACATTTATTATCTTGTTTTGCTGTCATGGGAGTTCCAGAAAAAATTAAAACGGATAATGGGCCAGGATACTGTAGTAAAACATTTCAAAAATTCTTAAATCAGTGGAAAATTACACATACAACAGGAATCCCTTATAATTCCCAAGGACAGGCCATAATTGAAAAAACTGATAGAACACTCAAAGCTCAATTGGTTAAACAAAAAAAGGAAAAAAGACAGTAAGGAGTATAACACTCCCCAGATGCAACTTAATCTAGCACTCTATACTTTAAATTTTTTAAACATTTATAGAAATCAAACCACTACTTCTGCAGAACAACATTTTACTGGTAAAAAGAATAGCCCACATGAAGGAAAACTGATTTGGTGGAAAGACAAGAAAAATAAGACATGGGAAATAGGGAAGGTGATAACATGGGAGAGAGGCTTTGCTTGTGTTTCACAAGGAGAAAATCAGCTTCCTGGTTGGATACCCACTAGAAATTTAAAGTTCTACAATGAACCCCTTGGAGATGCGAAGAAAAGCGCCTCTGCGGAGACAAAAAACCCTCAATTGAGCATCATCGACTCGCCAGGTAAATAAAATGGTGATATCAGAAGAACAGATGAAGTTGCCATCCACCAAGGAAGCGGAGCCACCGACTTGGGCCCAATTAAAGAAGCTGACACAGTTAGCTAAAAAAAGCCTAAAGAACACAAGGGTAATGTGAACTCCAGAGAATATACTGCTTACAGCTTTGATTATTATATCAACGGTAGTAAGTCTCCCCATGTCTGCAGGAGCAGCTGCAACTAATTATACTTACTGTGCCTATGTGCCTTTCCCACCCTTAATTTGGGCAGTCACATGGATGGATAATCCTGTTGAAGTATATGTTAATAATAGGGCATGGGTACCAGGCCCCACAGACGATTGTTGCCCTGCCCAACCTAAAGAAGAAGGAATGATGATAAATGTTTCCACTGGGTATCATTATCCTCCTATTTGCCTAGGGAAGGCACCAGGATGTTTAATGCCTACAACCCAAAACTGGTTGGTAGAAGTACCTACCGTCAGTGCCACCAGTAAATTTACTTATCACATGGTAAGTGGAATGTCACTCGGGCCACAGATAAATAATTTAGAGGACGCTTCTTATCAAAGATCATTAAAATCTGGGCCTAAGGGGAAGCCTTGCCCCAAGGAAATTCCCAAAGAATCAAAAAGCCCAGAAGCCTTAGTTTGGGAAGAATGTGTGGCTAATACTGCGGTGGTATTACAAAACAATGAATTTGGAACTACTATAATATTATATAATAGTTATATATTATATTATATTATATACAATTATATTATATATAATTGTATGGGCCAGACTCACTCATGTTTACAGGCCCCATCCATCTGGCCCATTAATCCGGCCTATGATAGTGATTTAATTGAAAGGCTGGACCAGGTTTATAGAAGGCTAGAATCACCCTATCCCTGGAAATGGGGTGAAAAGGGAATTTCATCACCTCGACCAAAGTTAGTTAGTCCTGTTACTGGTCCTAAACATCCAAAATTATGGAAGCTTACTGTGGCCTCGCACTACATTAGAATTTGGTCTGGAAATCAAGCTACAGAAACAAGAAATCGTAAGCCATATTATACTATCAACCTAAATTCCAATCTGACAATTCCTTTACAAAGTTGTGTAAAACCCCCTTATATGCTAGTTATAGAAAACATAGTTATTAAACCAGATTCCCAAACTATAACCTGTGAAAACTGTAGATTGTTTACTTGCATTGATTTGACTTTTAATTGGCAGCGCCATATTCTGCTAGTGAGGGCAAGAGAAGGTGTGCGGATCCCTGTGTCCATGGACCGACAGTGGGAGGCTTCGCCATCTTCCATATTTTAACGGAAGTATTAAAAGGAATTCTAACTAGATCCAAAAGATTTTTACTTTGATTGCAGTGATTATGGGCCTTATTGCAGTCACAGCTACTGCTGCAGCTGCTGGAATTGCTTTACACTCCTCTGTTCAAACTGCAGAATATGTAAATGATTGGCGAAAGAATTCCTCAAAATTGTGGAATTCTCAGACCCAAATAAATCAAAAATTGGCAAACGAAATTAATGATCTTAGACAAACTGTCATTTGGCTGGGAAATAGGCTCATGAGCTTGGAATATCTTTTTCAGTTACAGTGTGACTGGAATATGTCAGATTTTTGTATTACACCCCAAGCCTATAATGAGTCTGAGCATCACTGGGACATGGTTAGATGCCATCTACAGGGAAGAGAAGATAATCTTACTTTAGATATTTCAAAATTAAAATAACAAAATTTTGAGGCATCGAAAGCCCATTTAAATTTGGGAACTGAGGCAATCGTGAAAGCTACTGATGGCCTCACAAATCTTAACACTGTCACTTGGTTAAAAACCATCAGAAGTTCCACTATTGTAAATTTCATATTAATCCTTGTATGCCTGTTCTGTCTGTTGTTAGTCCACAGGTGTATCCACCAGCTCCGAAGAGACAGCGACCAGCAAGAACGGGCCATAACGACGATGGCAGTTTTGTCAAAAAGGGGGATATGTAGGGAAAAGAGAGATCCGACTGTTACTGTGTCTACATAGAAAAGGAAGACATAAGAAACTCCATTTTGATCTGTACCCTGAACAATTGTTTTGCCTTGAGATGCTGTTAATATGTAACTTTAGCCCCAACCTTGTGCTCACGGAAATATGTGTTGTATGGAATCAAGGTTTAAGGGATCTAGGGCTGTGCAGGATGTGCCTTGTTAACAAAATGTTTACAGGCAGTATGCTTGGTAAAAGTCATCGCCATTCTCCATTCTCGATTAACCAGGGGCACAATGCACTGCAGAAAGCCACAGGGACCTCTGCCCAGGAAAGCCAGGTATTGTCCAAGGTTTCTCCCCACTGAGACAGCCTGAGGTATGGCCTCGTGGGACGGGAAAGACCTGACCATCCCCCAGCCCGACACCCGTGAAGGGTCTGTGCTGAGGAGGATTAGTAAAAGAGGAAGGCCTCTTGCGGTTGAGATAAGAGGAAGGCCTCTGTCTCCTGCATGCCCCTGAGAACGGAATGTCTCAGTATAATACCCGATTGTACATTCGTTCTATTCTGAGATAGGAGAAAACCGCCCTGTGGCTGGAGGCGAGATATGCTGGTGGCAATACTGCTGTGTTATTCTTTACTACACTGAGATGTTTGGGTGGAGAGAAGCATATATCTGGCCTATGTGCACATCCAGGCATAGTACCTTCCCTTGAACTTATTTGTGACACAGATTCCTTTGCTCACATGTTTTCTTGCTGACCTTCTCCCCGCTATCACCCTGTTCTCCTGCTGCATTCCCCTTGCTGAGACAGTGAAAATAATAATCAGTAAATGCTGAGGGAACTCAGAGACTGGGGCCAGTGCAGGTCCTCCGTACGCTGAGCGCTGGTCTCCTGGGCCCAGTGTTCTTTCTCTATACTTTGTCTCTGTGTCTTATTTCTTTTTTTAGTCCCTCGTCCCACCTGACGAGAAATACCCGCAGGTGTGGAGGGGCAGGCCACCCCTTCAAAATTCTTTATTATACAACATTCAATATGGTCAGTTTCCTCCAGACTGGCTTCTCAAGCTCTTACCAAGTGCCCCCTACCCCAATTTTTTTTTTTTTAACAGAGTCTCTGTTGCTCAGGCTAGAGTGCAGTGGAACAATCTTGGCTCACTGCAGCCTCAACCTCCTGAGCTCAAGTGATACTCCAGCCTCAGCCTTCCAAGTAGCTGGAACTACTGGTGTGTGCCACCACATCCAGCCAATTTTTGTTTTTGGAGGGGGTCTCACTATGTTGCCCAGGTTAGTCTTGAACTCCTGGGTTCAAGTGATCCTCCTGCCTTGACCACTCCCAAAGTGCTGGGATTATAGGCGTGAGCCACTGCACCGGGCCTACCCCAACTTTTTATTTTGACAAGTTTCAAACCCTCACGTGGATTCACTAATTCTTAGCAATTTTGCCACATTTGCTTTCTTTCTGTCATCATGACACTTCACCTCTACATACTTCAGAATGTATTTGCTATGAACAAGGTAATTCCCACACATAACCACAATTATCACACTTGATAAATTTAACATTGATATATCGTTGTCATCTAATATATGGATCATATTCAAATTTCCCCAAGGGTAAAATGTCCTTTAGAGCTGATCTCCCCTACACAATCTTGCATCTAATCCAGGATCACTCATTGAATTTATTTATTTATTTATATTTTATTTTATTTTTGGAGACAGAGTTTCACTCTGTCTCCCAGTCGGAAGTTGCTGGCAATCACAGCTCAGTGCAACCTCCACCTACCCGGGTTCAAGCGATTCTTCGACCACTGCCTCCAGAATAGCTGGGACTACAGGTGTCCACCACCATGTTCAGCAATTTTTTTTTTTTGTATTTTTTAGTAGAGATGGGGTTTTGCTATATTGCCCAGGCTGGTCTTGAATTCCTGAGTTCAAGCAATCCACCGACCTCAGCCTCCCAAAGTGCTGGGATTAAAGGCATGAGCCACTGTGTCTGGCCTGTATTTATTTTTTATGTCTCCTTTAATCTGGGGTAGTTCTTAGCTTTTTCTTAATGTTTTATAACAACGACATCTGTAAAGTGTCCAGACCAATCATTTTGCAGAATCTCTCTCACTTTGATCTCTATTTCCTCAAGACTAGGTGGTGAGTGAACATTTTTTGGGCATTTTGGGGAGGACTACTACAGAAATGTACTCCCCGTGTGTGTGTCCTTCCCAGTGCATCACATCAGAAGGCACACAAGGCCAGTTTGTCCTATTAAGCTTTTTTTTTTTTTTTTTTTTTGAGACTGAGTCTCACTCTGTTGCCCAGGCTGGAGTGCAGTGGTGTGATCTCATCTCACTGCAACCTCCCTGCCTCCTAGGTTCAAGCAATTCTTCTGCCTCAGCCTCCCAAGTAGGTGGGATTACAGGTGCGCACCACTATGCCTGGCTAATTTTTTTGTATTTTTAGTAGAGATGGGGTTTCGCCATGTTGGCCAGGCTGGTCTCAAACTCCTGATCTCAGGTGACCTGCCCACCTCAGCCTCCCAAAGTGCTGGGATTACAGGTGTGAGCCACCACGCCTGGCCATTAAGCTTTGATTCTTTGATTAAGGTGATGTTCACCAGATCAGTCTAGCTTTTGATACTTTTTTTTTTTTTTTTTGAGACAGAGTTTTGCTGTGTCACCGAGGGTAGAGTGCAGTGCTGCAATCTCAGCTCACTGCAACTTCTGCCTCCCAGGTTCAAGCGATTCTCCTGCCTCAGCCTCCTGAGTAGCTGGGATTACAGGTGCATGCCACCACACCCAGCTAATTTTTGTATTTTTAGTAGAGACGGGGGTTGCCCCATGTTGGTCAGGCTGGTCTCAAACTCCTGACCTTGAGATCCACCTGCCTCCACCTCCCAAAGTGCTGGGATTACAAGTGTGAGCCACCGTGCCCGGCCACTTTTGATAATTTAAAAACCTGACTTTCCGAGCAGTCAGAGCAGCTGTAGCACATCTGACCTGCTTTCACCTTCGATCTTCTCTGGGACCACCAAGAATTGAAGGATGGCAGGAAGTGTGAAGAAAGTGGTGAGGCTCTGGCTGGGTGCGGTGGCTCACACCTGTAATCCCCGCACTTTGGAAAGCTGAGGCGGGTGCATCACTTAAGGTCAGGAGTTCGAGACTAGCCTAGCCAACATGGTGAAACCCTGTTTCTACTAAAAATACAAAAATTAGCTGGGCTTGGTGGCATACACCAGCTACTAGGGAGGCTGAGGCACTAGGGACCCTGTGGATCGCTTGAACCAGGAGGCGGAGGTTGCAGTGCGCTGAGATCGCATCGCTGCACTCCGGCCTGGGCAACAGAGTGAGACTCCGTCTAAAACAACACAAAACAATAATAACAACTAAGAGAGTAGCGTGGCTTGGTGGCGGTGTCACTCCTGAGGCCTCTGGGAACAACTCTACAGTTATGCTTTGTCCCGTGCTGCGGAGCCTAGTATGGGGATTATCCCCCGCCATGCGTTGTATCTGAATCCTTGTACGCGCGCCCGGGGGTGTGCATGAAAATGGGCATGTGCGCGGTGCTTATGTATGTATGGGTCTTTTTGCCCGCAGCGGCGCGTCCGCAGGCTTGTTCTGTCCTGTGCTAGCCTTCAAGTTTTGGCACGTCCGTCCGTTTTTCTTCTTTGGCGCGTCCGTTGGGCACTCTGGGTTTGGCTAAATCGTGGACGCTTCTAAAGCGTTTCTGCAGGGAGCTGGTCAGAGTTGTCAAGTGCTCCCCCAGTTCTGGGCCGGCTTGGTACGGTCTACAGCCTCCCTTTCCTTTCCCCACCTCCCCCATGGTGGTTGCACCCATTCGGCCCGGAAGTGCTCGCTTCTCTGCATTACACGCCGGTCAGGATTCGCGACCCGACATGGAGCGTCCCCGCAGTCCCCAATGCTCGGCCCCGGCCTCTGCCTCAGCTTCGGTTACCCTGGCGCAGCTCCTGCAGCTGGTCCAGCAGGGCCAGGAACTCCCGGGCCTGGAGAAACGCCACATCGCGGCGATCCACGGCGAACCCACAGCGTCCCGGCTGCCGCGGAGGCCCAAGCCCTGGGAGGCCGCGGCTTTGGCTGAGTCCCTTCCCCCTCCGACCCTCAGGATAGGAACGGCCCCGGCGGAGCCTGGCTTGGTTGAGGCAGCGACTGCGCCTTCTTCATGGCATACAGTGGGCCCCTGAGGTTCCAGGTCCTTTGCGGCGGCGATCTGGAGGGCGTGGCTACAGGACCCGGGATGCCATTCAGTTACTCATCTTTTATGCTTTCGTCCTGACCTGTCTCAACTAGACTTGCTCCTGCAACCACCATGGGGGTTTTGCATTTACATTTGTGGACCATGTTACAGTTAAGAAAAATCCTGTTTCAGTCCTTATATGTAATAAAATGTTTTATGATGTAACTTGGCCCCAGAATGATTTTGAAGATACATTAAAGGAAAGCCCAAAGCATTTAAAAAAGCCAACCAAGAAAGACTAAAATCTTGGCTCTTGGAATCAGCTGGATCAGGCAAGGGGCTAGAGAATTAGAGCATTAGAAAGGCTCCCACAGCCACCCTGAAATCAGTCCTTTTATGTTAAGCAGGCCACCTGGCTCAGTGCCTACATACTCAACACTAGATTTTACTTTCTCTACAAAAGCTAGAATGTACCTGGTACGTGCTGACATGACCCTAACCCACAGACGATGTAACAGGTCTACCTTTTCTCAGAAAGGATTGTCTCACAACTTGTTCAACGAATTAGTTATGTCATGGTACATACATATAAGTGCGCAATTTTTGTAACATCTTTTATTTGTATACAATTATAAATTACAAACTTGTTTTATTAGGTTTTTTAAAATTTATTTTTCGTCAACTTAGTCCCTTTTATTTACCAGCAGTTTGCTCTGACAGAATAAATTACAAACTATTGTTTTGTTTAATCCCTTTAACCATCATGTCAGGCACACAGGTTGGAGAATATTAGCTCCCATTTTATGGACAGAGTGGAAACACTGTACCCATATTTAGTGTAAGACAGAGCTGGGATATAAGCCTTGGGCTTCCATAGTCACAACTGCTTTTTTGCATAACTTTGTAATACATCATTTTAAAGTAATCTGATTTCACAATGTTTTACAGTATAGGAGTAACATCTATAGCATCTCTTCTTGGCAGGTTACCTCTGGAGAGAACCAATCTAATTACCTCATACGCTGGCACTTTTTTTTTTTTTTTTTTTGAGACAGAGTTTTGCTTTTGTTGCCCAAGGTGGAGTGCAATGGTGTGATCTCGGCTCACTGCAACCTCTGCCTCCCTGGGTTCAAGCAATTCTCTTGCCTCAGCCTCCCAAGTAGCTGGGATTACAGGCATGCACCACCACATCCGGCTAATTTTGTATTTTCAGTAGGGACAGAATTTCTCCATGTTGGTCAGGCTGGTCTCGAACTCCTGACCTCAAGTGATCTGCCTGCCTCAGCCTCCTGAAGTGTTGAGATTACAGGTGTGAGCCACCGTGCCCAGCCTAAGCTGGCATGTTTTAAGGCAGTTACATCTCTAACTTGATTTACCAGCTATGCTTGAGGGTCCAAGGAGCCAAAATTGCAGCCAAACTGATCTTAAAGGACCAGGGAATAGAATGGTCAAGCATGTTTCCAAGTTTAACCTAGGCCTGGCACATCCTTGCCAATTGCTCAGATGGCAAGTGAGGGGCAACTAAGTGAAGAGAATAGCAGGAAGACCCACTTGGGGTGGACACTGATGAAAAACACAAGCAGTATCAGACTCACTGTTTTCAGGATTAAAATCCCCAGATGCCCTGTTATTGGTCTATGTCACTACCAGTAGGACAAAAGGCAATGCTTCTGAAGACTAGAATATGCAAGGAAAAAATTAAGGTGCCTGCCTGCCTGGGGCCTAACGAGCCAAACAGTGCTAATTTCATCCATGCCAAACAAAATTGTTCATTCCTTGCTGATTTGGGTTTTAAGGAACCATGCTGATCATCAGAGAAACCAGGCAATTCTATTCTGAAGCCCAGGGGAAGAAATGGTGGGGATTTCTGAGTTACAGATGGTGCAGGGGTTAACACTATCTGCCACTATGAAGGGAAAAATCTATCTTGGTAAACTTTGGTCTTCCATAGGACATGGAACCAGAGTAGCAAGATCAGGGCCTGCGTGACCGATCCTGATTGAGCAGGACTTCCTCACATAAGGTACACAAGAGCTGGGCGCAGTTGCTCATGCCTGTAATCCCAGCACTTTGGGAGGCCCAGGCTTGTGGATCACTTGAGGTCAGGAGTTTGAGACTAGCCTGGCCTACATGGTGAAACTCTGTCTCCATCTCTACTAAAAATACAAGAATTAGCTGGGTGTGGTGGTACATGCATGTAATCCCAGCTGATCAAGGGGCTGAGGCAGAATCACTTGAACCCAGGAGGTGGAGGCTGCAATGAGCTGAGATCATGCCACTGCGCTCCAGCCTGGGCAACAGGGTGAGACTGTCTCAAAGAGAAAAACAAAACCCATAAGATGCACAGGTATCTGAGAAGGGTCTAAACACCCTAGAACTGCAAGCAAAATTTTGAGTGTATACATGTTTTCCTGGCGAAGGGGTCCTCATTCTCAAATCCTGAGCTTTTAGGAAAAAGTACTAAGCCAGTTTCAGGTTACGATACAAAAGCCACCAGATACACTTAGAGCCAGTCAAGTTTGAGAATTCTCAAAGCCATCACTGAAAAGTTGGAACACATACTCACAGCAGAGACAAGTGAACATTTATTTTTATGCCTTTCTTCCTATGTGTATTTCAAGTCTTTTTCAAAACAAGGCCCCAGGACTCTCCAGATTCAATTATGTCCTTGGGCTTGGTCGACTGCTGCAGGAGTCTCAGGGAGCCTTCTACAAATGCTAGAGTGACTCATTTACCAACATTAAACCCTAGGATACATGCAACAAAGCAGGACTCCTTCCTCCATGGAATGTGCCGATTTCAGATGACACAGCACCCAATGCAGAAAACACTGGAATTTTTCCTTGGAACTCGACTGTGATGAGAGGTGCTTGACATGAACATATGCTACTGTCTTTTCTTTTTTTTTGAGACAGAGTTTCGCTTGTTGCCCAGGCTGGAGTGCAATGGCGTGATCTCAGCTCACTGCAACTTCCACCTCCCAGGTTCAAGCGATTCTCCTGCCTCAGCCTCCTGAGTAGCTGGGATTACAGGCACGTGCCACCATGCCCGGCTAATTTTTGTATTTTTAGTAGAGATGGCATTTCTCCATGTTGGTCAGGCTGGTCTCGAACTCCCAACCTCAGGTGATCTGCCCACCTCAGCCTCCCTAAGTGTTGGGATTACAGGCATGAGCCACCACGACCGGCCAGCTACTGTCTTTTCTTTGACCCTTTCCAGTTTCTGAAGATAAAGCAGGAAATAATCTTCTCTGAAGATACTTGATAAAAATTTCCAAAACAAAACACATGCTTCCACTTCACTGATAAAAAATTTACCGCAGTTTGGCACCTAAGAGTATGACAACAGCAATAAAAAGTAATTTCAAAGAGTTAAGATTTCTTCAGCAAAATAGATGATTCACATCTTCAAGTCCTTTTTGAAATCAGTTATTAATATTATTCTTTCCTCATTTCCATCTGAATGACTGCAGCAATAGTTTTTTTTTTTTTTTTTCCGAGATGGAGTCTCGCTCTGTCGCCCAGCTGGAGTGCACTGGTGCAATCTTGGCTCACTGCAATCTCTGCCTCCTGGGTTCAAGCGATTTTCCTGCCTTAGCCTCTCGAGTAGCTGGGACTACAGGCACGCGCCACCACACCCAGCTCATTTTTGTATTTTTAGTAGAGACAGGGTTTCACCATGTTGGCCAGGATGGTCTCAATCTCCTGACCTCATGGTCTGCCCGCCTTGGCCTCCCAAAGTGCTGGGATTACAGGCGTGAGCCACCGCGCCCGGCCAGCAATACAGTTTTTAGTTACTCGACATCTTTAAGCCTATAACTCTTAGGCTATGCATAGCCCCATGTCCTAATCAGGCATTCACTGATCCCAGCAGGTCTCCATCTATTTGTACCAGCCTCCTCTATTCCTCCCAATCTCAAGGTTACTCTTAAATACTAGTAAATGCAAAAAGAACTTGTAAAGTGGCAAGGCATGGCCTATCAAAAGTCAGCCCAAGGGCAGTTTTCAGCCCTGCCTCACCTGGGTCTAGTTCAGCTGACGGATGAGCTGATTGATGCGTTCACCCCGATAGCCAGGTGTGCCCATCTCCTTGAGGAAGCCCACTCTATTTTTGGTAGCATGACGGGCCACTGAGAGGTGGAAAGGGCACAAGAACCATGAGATCTCCTGGAAATGCTTCCCTGGGAAGGCAATTTCATGAATGAGGTCTTCCAAGCAAATGACGCCAAACTTCCCTAAGAAACACAAAAGCACAGATTCCTTTATTTAACATGTATCCAGCATATACTAAGCTGGCCACTCTGGCAGACTCTTGGGGCCCCAAGAAGAATACAACCTGAATCTCACATCAAAGCTTCAAAGACCCTGGCTTTCTGCCCCAGCTGATCCCTAAGCTGTAGCACTCACCCAGGTGCTCCTCAATCACTGTATTGTCTGTCAGAGGGATGGTCTTATTCTTGACCTTGGCTTGTCCACGTTTCAAAATGAGTTCTCGGACAGACTTCAGATTTGGAAATCTATGTAGGAAAATAAAGCACGGTTTTCACCAGCACCTGGCACACTACATACCAGTCCTGCAGCCTGGCTGAGAGGTTGGAGAGGTTCTCCCACACACTCACTTCTCCCAACGAGCAAGTGTTCTGCAATCACATTCCAGCTGAAATGCTTGGAAATACTCCTGATAAAGAACTGAAGTGACCCCACTTACATAATTAGAAATTTAAATTTATGGATGTAAATGTTCACCAGGGAAAATATTGCCAACAAAAACAAAACAGAAACCATGTCCTAGCTTACCTTAGGGGCTACGACTCTGGCCTTAGGTGACCCTCTACTCAAGATGGTGCAAGAGTTGGAAATAAAATCCAAGTTTTTGTTGGGTTTCAATGTTTGAGGAATACTACTCTTTTTTTTTTTTTGAGACGGAGTCTTGCTCAGTCTCCCAGGCTGGAGTGCAGTGGCACGATCTCGACTCACTGCAAGCTCCGCCTCCCAGGTTCATGCCATTCTCCTGCCTCAGCCTCCCAAGTAGCTGGGACTACAGGTGCCAGGCTAATTTTTTTTGTATTTTTAGTAGAGACGGGGTTTCACCATGTTAGCCAGGATGGTCTCGATCTCCCGACCTCGTGATCCACCGTGTCTGGCCTTTTTTTTTTTTTTTGAGACAGAGTGGATTGCAGTGGCACAATCTCAGCTCACTGCAACCTCTGCCTCATGGATTCAAGCGATTCTCCTGCCTCAGCCTCCCAAGTAGCTGGGAATACAGGCACACATCACCATGCCTGGCTAATTTTTTTTGTATTTTAGTAGAGACAGGGGTTTCACCATGTTGGCCAGGATGGTCTCAATCTCCTGACCCTGTGATCCACTCCTGACCGTGTGATCCACCCGCCTCGGCCTCCCAAAGTGTTGGGATTACAGGCATGAGCCAGTGTGTCCGGCCAGGAATACTACTCTTACACATGCACTGCCTTTAGCTCTGCTTTAAGACTTTCAAGAACCAAGCTTTCCTTGACCCAGCCTTAGCCTATGACTGAACCAGCCCTACTATGGTATTGTTCAGACCCCTCCCTACCCTGTGTCCCATGGTTATTACAGCTACCCACTGATTTCAGGTTGACTGTGGTCACAGCAAAATGTCCCTTCTACAGCAACATGAGCCCTGGAAAGCAATACCCGGTGCACCCTGACACACTCAAATAGAAATCTAATGTGAATTCACATGGAAAACCTTACTTACCCCCAGGTCACATAAGGTTCCACTATACGCAGCATTTTTAGATTCTGGGGGGTGACTTTTACAAAGACACCACTAAAAATTTTCTTTAGGCGAAGTCTTGCAATGGTTCTCTGCACCAGTAAACTCACGCCGTCAATCCTGAAATGAACAGCAACAGAAGTCAGACAGACTCCCTCCAGTTTATGTCAGTCCAGCAAGCACAACATGCGAGGTCACTACACTGGGTAATCTGGAATAAGACACAGAGACTATGCCTTAAAGAGCTCAGTTTAGTGGGAGGCGGTTATGAAAACAGATCCTTTTCATAATGTGGAGCAGTGCCTGGAATGCTATGGAAATTGAACTTGTGTGTGTTTCAGGGGTAGGCGGAGTGGTGGTATGTAGGTCTACACATGTCCAGCTAAGGAAGCTGGATGTGCTTCTATGGGCAGTAAAAGCTACTGAAGATTTTAAGCAGAAGAGACCAGACCAGATTTCTTTCTGACAATCACCAAGGGCAGTGTATGGGACAGATCACAGTATGACACTAGAGGCAAGGAAATCCAGGAGGAAGGTTAATACAATAGTTCAGGAAAAATATGAGCAGTGGTAGAGGGCTACAAAGGACAGAGCTCATAAACATGCAAAATCCACAGGTTTCTGGTTTGGGTGATTGGGTAGGGGAAACAGCAAGAAGTAGAGTTGTACATGGGGTGGGCAGGGGGTTGGGAAAGTTCCACTAAATGAGGAAAAATGTCTCCCCTTCACTGAATATGCTTCATCCACTCAGCCTTGTTTCAGTTCCTAGAATGATGCCTTGCTTTCCCTACCTCAGGACTTCAGCACGTATGCCTGAAAAATCTCCCAACACTGGTGAACGCCTTTCACATCTTTCAGGTCTCAGGTTGAAGTTCCTGCTTTAGAGAGGGTGTCCTCAACCCCTCTCCCTAGTGAGCACTTTACCCTCATAGCACTTATTTTCAAGCCTATCTGTCTAAGGTCTTCCAAATATTGCAGACTAAATTGTGCTCAACCCTGACATCCTAGCACAATTTGCCTGAGTGGCTTGGGGCATATTATCTCCCTAGAAAGGGGTCTAAAGCTTAAGCAACACTTTGCCCCAGCCTCATGCAATTAGAAAGACACCAGTTCCTTACCTTTCGATGCGTACAACAAAGGCCAAGGAATGTTTATCTGGCAATTCCAAGGCATGAGGTTTCACTTCTAGTCGTCTGAGACGCACCTTGTCACGTTTCTGCCGCCAGGAATCATGTAGGAATGATTCCAGTCGCTTAAACCTGAGCCCTTTTCCTTTCTTCTGCTACAGAGAAGACAGACCATCATCATCATCTTGTGCCTCCATACATTTTTACTTTTAGAACAGTAATTCATAAGTGACAACTGATATAGCTTATTTCCCCGTGTTCCACAATGCGAAGCAAAGCAACATTCTCTATTTTCATATAAAGGAAAAATGAGAAACCAAAGTAAAGGTGGAGTTGAGGAAACTTGGGAATTATTGGGAAAAATAACGAACAAAAAATTAGTTTACATATTAATCAGTGTTTACTAACAAGTTTCCTTAAACTCCACGCCAGCATTTGCCTGCAGGTGTTAAATATTTGCTAAATGAAGACATAAACCATATACACTTGGTGCTCTGCATCTGTGATTCAACCAACCCCAGATGGAAAATACTTTGGAGGAGCACATACAGTAGCTCACCCTGTAGTCCCAGCTACTTAGGAGGCTGAGGCGGGAGGTTCTCTTGAACCCAGGAATTCAAGGCTGCAATGAGCTATGATCCTGCCACTGCACTCTAGCCTGGGTAACACAAGACCTCACTCCTTGTTCTTTTTTTTTTCTGAGATGGGGTCTCGCTCTGTCGCCCAGGCTGGAGTGCAGTGATATGATCTCGGCTCACTGCAACCTCTGCCACCTGAGTTCAAGCCATTTTCCTGCCTCAGCCTCCCAAGTAGCTGGGATTACAGGCATGCGCCACCACACCCGGCTAATTTTTGTATTTTTAGTAGAGACAGGGTCACCTTGTTGGCCAGCTTGGTCTCAAACTCCTGACTTCAGGAGATCCACCTGCCTCAGCCTCCCAAAGTGCTGGGATAACAGGCATGAGCTACCACACCTGGCCAAAGACCCCACTTATTTTTTTTTTTTTTTTTTTGAGACAGGGTTTTGCTCTGTCACTCAGGCTGGAGTGCAGTGGCACAATCTCAGCTCACTGCAACCTCCGCCTCTCGGGTTCAAGCAATTCTCCTGCCTCAGCCCCCTGATTAGCTAGGATTACAGGCGCATGCCACAGTGCCCGTCTAATTTTTTGTATTTTTAGTAGAGATGGGGTTTCACCATGTTGGCCAGGCTGGTCTTGAACTCCTGACCTCAAGTAATCTGCCCGCCTCAGCCTCCCAAAGTGTTGGGATTACAGATGTGAGCCCAGCTGACCTCACTCTTAAAAAAAAAAAAAAAAAAAAATTCAGGGGAAAAAATGAAAAATAACCGTAAAAAGTAATACAAATTTTTAAAATACATTATGTACACTGTATTAGCTATCAGTAATCCAGGCCAGGCAGGGTGGCTCAGGCCTGTAATCCCAGCACTTTGGAAGGCCGGTGGGTGATCACTTGAGGCCGGGAGTTTGAGACCAGCATGGCCAACATGTCAAAACATCTCTACTAAAAATACAAAAATCAGCCGGTGGCCGGGTGGGGTGGCTGACATCAGTAATCGCAGCACTTTGGGAGGCCGAGGTGGGCAGATCACTTGAGTCCATGAGTTGGACACCAGCCTGGCCAACATGGTGAAACCCGGTCTCTACTAAAAATACAAAAATTAGCAGGGCATGGTGGCACATCCTTGTAATCCCAGCTACTTGGGAGGCTGAGGCAGGAGAATCGCTTGAACCCGGGAGGCGGCGGAGGTTGTGGTAAGCCAAGATCGCATCACTGCACTCCAGCCTGGGTGACAGAGTGAGTCTCTGTCTCAAAAAACAAAACAAAATTAAATTAAGTTAAAAAAAAAATTAGCCAGGTGTGGTGGCGCATGCTTGTAATCCTAGCTACTTGGTTGGCTGAGGCACGAGAATTGCTTGAGCCCAGTAGGCAGAGGTTGCAGTGAGTCGAGATTGTGCCACTGCACTCCACTCTAGGCAAGAGTGAGACTCTTGCCTCAAAATAAATAAATAAATAAATAAAGCTATTAAGCAATCCAGAGAGGATTTAAACTACATAGGCGGAAGGAGTATAGATTATATGCAAATACTACAACCAGTTATTTATTTATTTATTTATTTTTTGAGAGAGTGTCTCGCTCTGTCGCCCAGGCTGGAGTACAGTGGCACGAACTTGGCTCACTGCAACCTCCACCTCCCGAGTTCACGCCATTCTCCTGCCTCGGCCTCCCGAGTAGCTGGGACTACAGGAGCCTGCCACCATGCCCGGCTAATTTTTTATATTTTTAGTAGAGACGGGGTTTCACCGTGTTAGCCAGGATGGTCTCGATCTCCTGACCTCGTGATACGCCCGCCTCGGCCTCCCAAAGTGCAGGGATTACAGGCGTGAGCCACCGCGCCCGGCCTACTACAACCATTTTATATAAGGGACTTCAGCAGTCTGAGATTTAGGCATCTGTGGGAGTCCTGGAACCAACCCCTTAAGGACACTGAGAGACAACTATACCTGGTCTGTCAAACCGTTGGGGGGAGCTCGTCAATACCAAATGTAGTCCAACACATGCGGGATAAAACTCACCAAATAAAAATTCTAATTACTTTCTCTTGGTTCCCCACCATTACCTCCTTCTTTGCCAAAAGTGCCTGCTTTGCCTGGGTGGCTTTGAGGGCTTGATAAGCCTTCCTCTTTTTCAGGAGATTTTCTGGAACCAAAGGGATTTTTCTTTGCCTGATGCAGAAAATTGAGATCAGAGATAACATTTAGAAAAGAACACTTGGCCGGGCTCGGTGGCTCAAGCCTGTAATCCCAGCACTCTGGGAGGCCGAGGTGGGTGGATTACCTGAGGTCAGGAGTTCGAGACCAGCCTGACCAACATGGTGAAACCCCCGTTTCTACTAAAAATAAAAAATCAGCTGGGCGTGGTGGCGCACGCCTGTAATCCCAGCTACTCGGGAGACTGAGGCAGGAGAATCGCTTGAACCCGGGAGGCGGAGGTTGCACCGAGCCGAGATCCCGACACTGCGCTCCAGCCTGGGGGACAGAGCAAGACTCCGTCTCAAAACAAAAACAACAACAAAAAAGAAAACGAACATTCAATGGATTTCCAAACCAATTCAATATCCTGGGCTTTAGGGAACATTACTGTTTTCAAGTATCTGAAGAAAGATTCCCCTGAAACCTGCGGTTTCTGACTCCAGGCCTCATAAATCCATCCCTAATAGTCACTCATCCCCAAAGCCTCGGAAAATAATGAATCCTTTAGCCTCTGGGTTCGTATAAGTTAACAGGGTTTTCACGGCCACAGTTCTTCATAGGCACTAGCAGCGACGAATCTATGGGGTTGGGGCGGGGGCAGGCCTATCTGCAGAGTTAACACTTGTCGGGCTGGGTGAATTCAACTGTGGCACTCCAGCCCGCTGCCTGAAGTCAATCCTCGCCTCTCCAGATAACCCGAACTTGACCGCGGTCCCCTCCCTCCTCCGCCACAGCGCTACTCCTCCTCACCCCCACCCTTTGTAAACTGTGGCCTTTTCTATTCCTAGAGCCCACAGGAATCCGCCACCAAGGCATAAACACCGTGGATGGCACCGGATACTCAAGACCCCACTCCAGATATTCAAAGCCCCAAACACTCACTCTTGCTCCGCCATCTTTCTAGTGGTGCAGCTACTGATCATGCGCAACCCCACCACATGGGGAAGACAGCACACGCTCTGTTTACTTGACCATAGAGACGTCTGTTCTAGCTCACGCTGGAGGACCAGTCAGCGTTCACTTAGCCGCAGTGAGCCCTTGAGGTCCCGCTAACCCCGATTCCTGCCAAAAGTTGCACCGCTTCTTAGGGTTTTTAGAGCCTGTGTTATTTTCAAAACCCAGCCCTTTTCTTGTAAGTTACAGTTTCATCACAAGCGGCCTGGCTGTGGACAGCAAAGTGCTTCCCACAATGCACCTATGGCGTCCGCTCCTAGCTACGGCGCCGCACTTCCGGCGCGGCTGTGCTGCGTCTCTGGGGAGGAAGACAGGCAAACTCCGCGAAACATTTTCGCTCTGTGGAAAAACTTGGAGGCTATGGCTTTGGCTCTCACGTGTAGGTGGAAGTGTTTGTTGAGGACTTAGAGTGGTAAAGCAGGTAGCTGCAATTCCGTCTGCTTGGCCCCGTCGATGCGTCCTTGAACACGTTATTTAACCCCTCTATACTGCGGCTTCATTACCCATAAAATGGGTGTACAGTAATAATAGGTCTACCTAATGGCGTTACGAGGATTACAGGAGATTAGATAAAGCGTTTAGCAGTGTCTGTCAGCACTATGTTTGTTACTATTACTGCTGGACCGAAAACTACAACATGCTTCCTTCCCGTCTAAAACCGTTACACAGGCCGGGCGCGGTGGCTCACGCCTGTAATCCCAGCACTTTGGGAGGGAGGCCGAGACGGGAGGATCACCTGAGGTCAGGAGTTCGAGATCAGCCTGGCCAACACGGCGAAACCCCGTCTTGGGCGGAGGTTACAGTGAGCCGAGATCGCGCCACTGCCCACCAGCCTGGGCGACAGAGCAAGACTCCGTCTCAAAAAAACAAAAAGAAAAGAAAAGAAAAAAAAAGAATAAAAATAAAACCCTTATGCAGCTCTCATCGCCCGGAATTTGCGTTCTTCCCTCCCAGTCTATATAGAATCCTGAAAAACAGTAGGTCGGGCCGGTGGCTTTCACCTGTAATCCCAGCACTTTGGGAGGCCAAGGCAGGTGGATCACTTGAGGTCAGGAGTTGGAGACCAGCATGGCTAAGATGGTGAAACCCCGTCTCTACTAAAAATACAAAAAATTAGCTGGGCGTGGTGGCTCGCGCCTGAAGTCCCAGAAGGCGGAGGCTGCGTGAGCCGAGTTTGTGCCACTTGCACTCCAGCCTGGGCGACAGAGCGAGACAGTCTCAAAAAAAACAAGAAATAAATTTTTTTTAAAATTAAAAATCCTGAAAAACAACACAAGTCTTATCATCTCTGGAAACCTCCAGAGCAGCGCTTCTCAAGCATTAATAGTGAATAGGAGTCACCTGAAGATTTTACTAAAATACAGATTTTTATTCAGGAGGCCGGGTGGGGAGCTGATATTCTGCTTTTTTTTTTTTTTTTTTTTTGAGATGGCGTCTCGCTCTGTCGCCCAGGCTGGAGTGCAGTGGCGCGATCTTGGCTCACTGCAAGCTCCGCCTCCCGGGTTCACGCCATTCTCCTGCCTCAGCCTCCCGAGTAGCTGGGACTACAGGCGCCCGCCACCACGCCTGGCTAATTTTTTGAATTTTTAGTAGAGATTTCACCTTGTTAGCCAGGATGGTCTCGATCTCCTGACCTCGTGATCCGCCCGCCTCGGCCTCCCAAAGTGCTGGGATTACAGGCGTGAGCCACCGCACCTGGCCAATATTCTGCATTTTTAACAGGCTTCAGAGTGACGCTGGTGCTACTGGTCTATGGGCTGACTAGTAAGACTCTAGAGTAGTGTCTGATTTCCCTCAGGACATTATTATATTTTTAATATTTCTTCCACATGATACTAGGGGGGGCAGGAACCATGACTGCTTACTCATCACTGATCCTAAGGATCTAGCACCAATTTCTCGATTTTGGCACTATTGATACTGATACTGGTGGCAGCTAAAGGCCTCGTGTTGCCATGTAACTAGTCCAACCGGAAAGAGTGCCATGGGCACAGGTCACTTTCTGATGAGTAAGTGTCAGGACAACCCAGCATTCAAGGTCACACACTGAAAGAGGGAGGCTCATTCTCTTTCAGCACCTCACCATGTGTCTTTGTAAAGAGGCTAAACACAAGGGTCACCAAAGTGTAAGACATTCACTAAATAGTAAACAAAAAAGCAAAAAGTTAAATGTTTTGTGATTTTTCCTGTCTATGGATAAAAGGTAGAGTCTGTGGTACCAATAATATTAAAAGGAGGAGGAATTTTAGGGTTAACAATACTTCAGCCAGGCGGCGATGGCTCACGCCTGTAATCCCAGCACTTTGGGAGGCCGAGGCAGGCAGATCACTTGAGCTCAGGAGTTCAAGACCATCCTCAGCAACATGGCAAAACCCTGTCTCTACCAAAAATACAAAAATTAGCCGGGCATGGTGGCACATGTCTGTAGTCAGCTACTTGGGAGGCTGAGGCACGAGAATTGCTTGAACCTGGGAGGCGGAGGTTGCAGTGAGCCGAGATTATGCCACTGCACTCCAGCCTGGGCAACAGAGCAAGAATCTGTGTCAAAACAACCCCCAAAAAACCAGTACTCCAAGACTGAATGGGATTGAGGCCAGGATTCAGGAATGGCTTTCTACTGCCAGCAGATGGTGCTAGGAGAATACTTATTCTCAGTGCCAATCCCCTTACTCCACCAGACTGACAAAGGGAAAAAGAAAGGAGCCCCACCTCTTAAACAATTATTCACTAACTGAATATGTGTTTATTGAGCATTGAGCATGTGTCCTAGATTTTTTTTCAAAGTGAGGTTACTGAGGTCAGGTGTGGTGGCTCATGCCTGTAATCCCAGCACTTTGGGAGGCTGAGGCAGGCAGATCGCCCGAGGCCAGAAGTTCAAAACCAGCCTGGCCATCATGGTGAAACCCCATCTCTACTAAAAATACAAAAATTAGCTGGGTGTGGTGGCGCATACCTGTAATCCTAGCTACTTGGGAGGTTGAGGCACGAGAATCGGTGCACTCCAGCCTGGGCGACAGAGTGAGACCTTGTCTCCCCCCACCAAAAAAAAAAAAAAAATTCCAGTCCTCTTGTGAACTTATTTCCTCTTCATCATGTACATTTGGGCAGCTGTTGGGAGGATATCAAATCCAAACGCTTGCCCTCCAATACTTAAACTGAAGGAGTCTTTGGAAGATCTTTTCAATTCTTTTCATCACCCCATTGGGAGTGGGTATGAGATGCTAAATTTCTCTGTGATTTTGAATTTTAAGCAGAGTGATGATGGAACAAAGCACCAGATTTGAGACAAGACTTTTTTTTTTTTCGTTTTTATTTTTATTTTTTTTTTGAGACAAAGTCTTGCTCTGTCGTCCAGGCTGGAGTGCAGTGGTGCAATCTTGGCTCACTGCAACCTCTGCTTCCCAGGTTCAAGCAATTCTCGCGCCTCAGCCTCCCGAGTAGCTAGGATTACAGGCGTGTGCCACCACGCCCGGCTAATTTTTGTATTTTTAGTAGAGATGGGTTTCACCATGTTGGCCAGGCTGCTCTCGAACTCTTGACCTCAAGTGATCTGCCCACCTCGACCTCCCAAAGTGCTGGGATTACAGGTATGAGCCACCGCACCCAGTCAGGGGCAAAACTTTTAACGATTTCCACCTAAGAAAACCTCCTAGAGTTTCTTTGTCTCTGTCCTTCTCAAGCCTCATGGGTTCTTCAATTTTTTAATTCTTATCTTCCTTACAAAATCCCTTTATGTTGGTTAACTAGAATAATTTTCTGTTGTTTACAACCAAATAATCCTGACTGTAACAGTCCCAAACATATGGAATACAGACTAGGGTGTAAAAAAATGGTCCCAGATTGTTTTGGTTTTTTGTGTTTTTTTTTTGAGATGGAGTCTCGCTTTGTCGCCAGGCTGTAGTGCAGTAGCACTATCTCGGCCTACTGCAACCTCTGCCTCCCAGGTTCAAGCAATTCTCCTGACTCAGCCCCCCAAGTAGCTGGGACTACAGGCGCACACCACCATGCCTGCCTAATTTTTGTATTTTTAGTAGAGATGGGGTTTCACCATATTGGCCAGGATGGTCTCAATCTTTTGACCTCGTGATCTGCCTGCCTTGGCCTCCCAAAGTGCTGGGATTACAGGCATGAGCCACCGTGCCCAGTCCCCAGATTGTTTTTCTTTTCTTTTTTCTTTTTTTTTTAGACAGAGTCTCGCTCTGTCGCCCAGGCTGGAGTGCAGTGGCACGATCTCGGCTCACTGCAACCTCCACCTCCTGGGTTCAAGCAATTCTCCTGCCTTAGCCTCCTGAGTAGCTGGGATTACAGGTGCCCGCCACCACGCCTGGGTAATTTTTGTATTTTTAGTAGAGATGGGGTTTCACCATGTTGGCCAGGCTGGTCTCGAAGTCCTGACCTCAGGTGTTCACCTGCCTCGGCCTCCCAAAGTGCTGGGATTACAGGCATGAGCCACCGCGCCCGGCCAGTTATAGGTATATTTGTATGTAACAATTTTGGAAGCATATATGAAAAAGTGCTGACGGTGGTCTTTTTGGGAAATAGTAGTAGAGTCTGGAATCGGAGGAAAACTTCCATTTTATGATACGCCCTTTGTTTACCACATACGTATTAGTTTAAGAAAAAGCTCTGAGCCAGGTTGGTGGCTCACGTCTGTAATCCCAGCACTTTGGGAGGCCCAGTTGGGCGGATCACTTGAGCTCACAAGTTTGAGACCTGCCTGGGCAACATGGTGAAACCACATCTCTTCAAAAAATATAAAAATTAGGCTGGGTGCGGTGGCTCACACCTGTAATCACAGCACTTTGGGAGGCCAAGGCAGGCGGATCACTTGAGACCGGGAATTTGAGACCAGCCTGGGCAACATGACGAAACCCTGTTTCTACTAAAAATACAAAAAATTAGCCGGGCATGGTGGTGCACACCTGTAGTCTCAACTACTTGAGAGACTGAGGTGGAAGGATCATTTTAGCCTGGAGGGTCAAGGCTGTAGTGAGCCCAGATCTTGCCACTGCACTCCAGCCTGGGCAACTGGAGTGAAACCCTGTCTCAATAGATAGATAGGTAGATAAATAGACAGATAGACAGACAGACAGACATGGCTGGGCAAGGTGGCTCACACCTGTAATGCCAGCACTTTGGGAGGCCAAGGCAGGTGGATGACTCGAGGTCAGGAATTCGAGATGAGCCTGGCCAACATGGTGAAACCTCATTATCTGCTAAAAAAAAATACAAAAATTATTTGGGTGTGGTGGTGGGTGCCTGTAATCCCAGCTACTCAGGAGGCTGAGGCAGGAGAATTGCTTGAACCTGGGAGATGGAGGTTGCGGTGAGCCCAGATTGCGCCACTGTGCTTCAGCCTGGGTGACAGAGCGAGACTCCATCTCAGAAAAAAAAAAAAAAAATCTTGGCAGGGCATGGTGGCTCACGCCTATAATCCCAGCACTTTGGGAGGCCGAGGAGGGTGGATCATGAGGTCAGGAGATCGAGACCATCCTGGCTAACACAGTGAAACCCAATCTCTACTAAAAATACAAAAAAATTAGCCAGGCATGGTGGCATGCACCTGTAGTCCCAGCTACTTGGGAGGCTGAGGCAGGAGAATCGCTTGAATCTGGGAGGTGGAGGTTGCAGTCAGCCAAGATTGCACCACTGCACTCCAGCCTGGGCGACAGAGTGAGACTTTGTCTCAAGAAAGAAAAAAAAGGCCGGGTACAGTGGCTCATGCCTGTAATCCCAGCACTTTGGAAGGCCGAGGTGGGCAGATCACAAGGTCAGGAGTTCGAGACCAGCCTGGCCAACATGGTGAAACCGTTTCTACTAAAAATACAAAAGTTAGCTGGGCATGGTGGCACGTGCCTGTAATCCCAGCTACTTGGGAGGCTGAGGCAGGAGAATCGCTTGAACCTGGGGAGGTGGAGGTTGCAGTGAGCTGAGATCACGCCATTGCACTCCAGCCTGGGCAACAGAGTCAAACTCCGTCTCAGAAAAAAAAAAAAGAAAGAAAAAGGAAAAACATCTATATCTATATATAAATTAGATGGGCATGGTGGTGTGTGCCTGTAGTCGTGCTACTTGGGAGGCTGTGATGGGAGGATGGGTTGAGGCTGGGAGGTGGAGGTTACAGTGAACAGAGATCACGCCACTGCACTCCAGCCTGGGTGACAGAGCCAGACCTTGTTTCAGAAAAAAAATAAAAAAAGAAATAAAAAGGAAAAAAAAAAAAAGAAAGCTCTGTAAGTAATTGGATTTTTGTGGTTCTCTCTGAATTGGTTCCAGAATCCCTTTCCTAACACGTCCGTGCATAATTTATTTCAGTATTCTCTGCACTTCTGGATTATTTGGAATCCTACTCTTACTTAAGGCAAAGCTGCCACACCTAACACACCCTAAGAGGAACTCTATCTGCAATTTCCCATCTGCTCCATCCTCTTTCTTGGATTAAGACACTTTTTGCAGTCAGCTTCATTTTGCTTCAAGCTTTGCTTGTAAGTGACAAGGGGTTATCAGGAAGCAAGTAGGAAAGAGATTAGTCTGAGAGCAGTGGATGAACCTGGAGTTGAGGCAGACAATGTGAACAACAGCTTTTGATCCTAATGAAAAACAAACATAAGGTAGCAAAAGTGGGAAGGAAAGGGAGAGAACAGGTGAGGGGCAGCAGCCTTTTGAGGCTTGAGGATAGACAAGAAAGCTGGGGTAGGAAGGTGAAAGTATGTAGCAGGTAAGACTAAAAGCAAAACAGAAAAACCCAAACTTCTGAATTATTTAGGGATAATGGAACATGGCTCGTTTTACTTTTTTTTTTTTTTTTTTTGAGATGGAGTTTTGCTCTTGTTGCCCAGGTTGGAGTGCAATGGTGTGATATTGGCTTACCACAACCTCCGCCTCTGCAGTTCAAGCGATTCTCTTGCCTCAGCCTCCCAAGTAGCTGGGATTACAGGCATGCACCACCACGCCTGGCTAATTTTGTATTTTTAGTAGAGATGGGGTTTCTCCATGTTGGTCAGGCTGGTCTTGAACTCCCAACCTTAGGTGATCCACCTGCCTCGGCCTCCCAAAGTGCTGGGATTACATGTGTGAGCCACTGCGCCTGGTCTCTTTTTTCTTTTTCTTTTTTCATGTTTGAGATGGAGTCTCGCTCTGTCAGCCAGGCTGGAGTGCAGTGGCACAATTTTGGCTCACTACAACCTCCACCTCCCAGGTTCAAGTGGTTCTCCTGCCTTAGCCTCCTGAGTAGCTGGGACTACAGGCATGTGCCATCATGCCTAGATAATTTTTTGTATTTTTAGTAAGATGGGGTTTCGCCATGTTGGCCAGGCTGGTCTTGAACTCCTGACCTCAGGTGGTCTGCCCGCCTCGGCCTCCCAAACTGCTGGGATTACACGCGTGAGCCACTGTGACTGTGCCCGGCCCTGCTCTTTTTACTGTCTACATGTCTTCAGTAACACCCTTTTTTTTTTTTTTTTTTTTGGAGACAGAGTCTTGCTCTGTCACTCAGGCTGGAGTGCAGTGGCACGATCTTGGCTCACTGCAATCTCCACCTCCTGGGTTCAACCAATACTCCAGCCTCAGCCTTCTGATTAGCTGGGATTACAGGTACCCGCCAACATGCCTGGATAATTTTTGTATTTTTTTTTTTTTTAGCAGAGACAAGGTTTCACCTTGTTTGCCAGGCTTGTCTCTAACTCCTGATCTCAGGTGATCAGCCCTCCTCTCAGCCTCCCTAAGTACTGGGATTACAGGTGTGAGCCACTGCACCCGGCCTTAGTAACACATTTTACACCCTAAGAAGTAGAGGGCCAAGACCAGTCTTCTTAGTTTATGGGCAAGGACACGGTGACTGAGAGTTAAGTTGTATGAAGATACATGATTATGTGATAGATGAGATACCAGAACCAATTTCCACATTCTGCTGCCAAAGGCACTTTCTGCCCACCCAGTTGCACTGCTTTCCTTGACCTTCATAGAAGTAATTTTTTTCCCAAGGATCTTCTTGCCTTTGCAATTGGTTTCAAAGGTCAGACTCCAGCACATACCCAAGAGTAATACAGATGAGGGTTTCTTTTTTTTTTTTTTTTGAGACTGAGTCTCACTTTGTTGCCCAGGCTGGAGGCTGGAGTGCAGTTGTGTGGTCTCGGCTCACTGACTGCAACCCCGCCTCCTGGGTTCAAGCAATTCTCTTGTCTCAGCCTCCCGAGTAGCTGGGCCTACAGGTGTACCACGCCTGGCTAATTTTTGTATTTTTAGTAGAGACAGGGTTTCACCATATTGGTCAGGCTGGTCTCAAACTCCGGACCTCAGGTAATCCACCTGCCTCAGCCTTCCAAAGTGCTGGGATTACAGGCGTGAGCCATCACACGCGGCCTGGGTTTCTTATAAAGGTCTTTTACCTGCAGCAGCGTAGACAGGCAATTCATATTACAGAATCCACTTTATACTACATATGTGCTCCTGCTATTTGTGAATACACTGAAACAGATTTCTCCACATAATTAACAATTTAATTACAAAGGTCTTGGTGTGGTAGCTGACGCCTGTAATCTCAGCACTTTGGGAAGTCGAGGCAGGCCGTTCACCTGAGGTCGGGAGTTCGAGACCAACCTGTCCAACATGGAGAAACCCCATCTCTACTACAAATACAAAATTAGCCAGCATGGTGGCAGGCGCCTGTAATTCCAGCTACTCGGGAGGTTGAAGTAGGAGAATCGCTTGAACCTGGGGGTAGAGGTTGCGATGAGTCGAGATTGCGCCATTGCACTGCAGCCTGGGCAACAAGAGGGAAATTTCCCTCCGTCTCAGAAAATAAATAAATAAATAAATAAAGTCTTTTATCTTTGTTACTGCAGAAGGTATATTTTTTTCTCAAGTTTAACTCAGGAAAATACTAAGAACCAGGGCATGGAAATGTAATTTACAGCTCTCTGTGCAATTTATTGTGGCAGTCCAGAAGAATTTTATTTTTTGAGACAAGGTCTTGTTCTGTGACCCAGGCTTGAGTCCAGTGGCATGATCATGGCTCACTGCAGCCTTGAACTGGGCTTAAGCAATCCTCTGGCCTCAGCCTCCTGAGTAGGTGGGCCTACAGGCATATGCCACCATGCCTGGCTAATTTTTAATTTTTTTTGTAGAGATAGGTCTCACTGTGTGTTGCCCAGGCTTGTCTTGAACTCCTGGCCTCAAGCAGTCCTCCTGCCTCAGACTCCCAAAGCGTTGGGCTTACAGGCATGAGCCACATGCCCAGCCCAGAAAAATTATAGCATCCTATTTTCTTCTCTCCTGAACTCCAGTCAGTTCCCAAATGTAATGTATATCTGTGTGTTGCTCCCCCTGTATACTGTGAGCCCTTTGAAAGCAGAAAGCATGCCTGAATTATCTGTATATCCCAATGTCTGGCACAGTGTCTGCCAACAGTCAACTGCTCAAGTAATATTGTTGGTTAATGATCATCATTTTCAGCTGGATACCCAACGGGTCCTCCTCTGTCTTGGAGAGCACACACAAGGCTGCAAGTAGGGCATGACCCTGAACCCCAGGGCCTAGCCCTTTCAGTACAGCACAGCTAGAGCCCTGCCTGAGCAATGCTGTTGCAGTGCCCCCACACTGTAAAGGTTTATTTTCCCTTACCTTTCCCCCAATAATTAACTTGGAACTTTCTCTGCCTCAGGAAGTGCTTAGGGCCCCTTTCCTGGAATGTGTCCTCCCATACACACAGCTGAGGGTTTTAACCATCCTAAGAGAAGATGCCTGTCTTTCCTCCAGGCATGCCCCCAGGGAACAGAGACAGATCCTAACCTAGCAACCAGATGATCCTTCCTTTTTTATTTGAGATGGAGTTTCGCTCTTGTTGCCCAGGATGGAGTGCAATGGCGCGATCTCGGCTCACCACAACCCCCACCTCTCCCTGGGTTCAAGTGATTCTCCTGCCTCAGCCTCCCAAGTAGCTGGGATTACAGGCATGCGCCACCACACCCAGCTAATTTTGTATTTTTAGTAGAGATGGGATTTCTCCATGTTGGTCAGGCTGGTCTCAAACTCCCGACCTCAGGTGATCTGCCTGCCTCGGCCTCCCAAAGTGATGGGATTAGAGGTGTGAGCCAACACACCCGGCTGATCCTTCCTTCTAACTCTTCATTCCTGGGGCACTCCCATTGTAAATGGCCTGAAGAGGGACAAAAATGTCATTCTGGACACACATTTATCCTTAGCAAGAAGAGAAACTTGACATTAGGGTAACACTATACATGACATCAGTGGATAGATCCCTTCATATCATTCTGTTAGTTATTTGAAAATGACTTTCTTTGTTGCCTTTTAATCTTTTTAGAAAATGACTTTCTATTTATGTACTGATTACTGCTGAATCTTGATTTTCTACTGCTCTTAGGGCACAGGGGAGAATCTAATTAAACCATAAATGAGTACAAGTGTAAATTCTAGGCCCTAAAGAACAATTTGTTCCCAGAAATACATTTCACCTCTAGAAGCTTCCCTAACAATTTGGGTGGAAAAACACTTGTGAGGGCAGGAATTCAAAAGGGCCTCATGGGGCTGATTTTACACATAAGGTTATAGAGTTATTTTTTAATACAAAATTTGGTCCAATATGTTGAATCCAAAGAGAAACGTTAATTCTGGAATATCTCTTATGTAAAATCATTTATCACTTAGCTTTTTCCTTGTCCTTGCAGAAACAAAATAAACATAACTGAAGAAAATCTCCTAGGCCGGGCACAGTGGCTCACGCCTGTAATCCCAGCACTTTGGGAGGCCGAGGCAGGTGGATCACAAGGTCAGGAGATCGAGACCATCGTCTCTACTAAAAATACAAAAAATTAGCTAGGCGCAGTGGCGGGCGCCTGTGGTCCCAGCTGCTAGGGAGGCTGAGGCAGGAGAATGGCGTGAACCTGGGAGGTGGAGCTTGCAGTCAGCGGAGATTGTGTGCCACTGCACTCTAGCCTGGGGGACAGAGCAAGACTCCACCTCAAAATAAAATAAAATAAAATAAAATCTCCTGCAGAGTGAGGCTCACTTACCTGACTTTTCACATGACCCCCACTTTTCCTTCCATAGCTAAGGACCTATGTGGCAGGAGTAGGGATGGAGGCCAAAGGTGTACAGGACCAAACCTCCTCACTGACCAGCTTCATTAATTTGTAACTGTTTGGAAAGGCCAATCAATTAAAATCCTATCCCTTCCCTGACTGGGGTAAATTGATTTTGGTATTGGTAAATCTATTAAAATAGAATTCCCATTGAACACTTACCCTTTTCTTCTGGGAAAAGTAGCCATTCCTATTTGCAAAATCAAGACAATCACAGTTGCACATTTTCCCAAATCTTTGGCTGTATTGCAATGGTTGTTTCAATTTGTAATCTCCAACTAAACATTTCCTAACCATGGATTAACAATATAGTTACTGACTGGTTTCTTTTAACAGTATTTATCCAACATAACAAAATAAACTGCAATTTGTTATAGTTTTTTTTTTTTTACAAAACATTTTATAAATATTTTTACAAAATGTATACAAAGCAATTTCAAGTGAGACGTACTATACAAATGAAGGTATTTAAGCAAATAAAGCCCACACCACACTGACAGCGAGTGACGCGTCCTCTTTAAGTAAAGTCAGTCTGTAAGGCCTCCCTAATCTAACAGAATCTACTAAATCCTTCAGAGCTAAAATATTTCTTTTTCATAATTGCCAGATTAAAATTTTGCTTCATCTTCAGGAAGTACTTAAGGACACAGAAAATCAAATGCTTAATAACAAATTCACGCTTTTCCACAACAGAAAAAAAAAAAAAAAAAGAAAATGATTTTTGTTACTGAGTACAAATAGTTCTAAAACTTAACTTTGACGAATGAACCTGAACAACTGAATGTTGGCCATCCGAGGCTGAGCTCTCCTACCCTTCACTAGAGGGGGCTCGACATGCGAGTTATGACCCATGTGCGTAGAACCTAATCACAGGAGTGAAATACATGTCATAATCTTCATTTGTCATTATCTAGAATCCTTCCTCCATAAAAAGTAAACTTACATACAATGACACAAAAATTTACAAGTTTCATTTTGGTAAATTAGGCTCTCCATTTGCTAGACAAGTGTTAGGGCTTAAAAACCCTTTAGGATGGTATATAGAAAAGCTAGGATTGGGACAGCAGGGCAGGATAGGGAAGAAAGAGAGGTGACAAATGTACATGAAGCTTATCTTGTCTCTTGAGAATTCCACTGATTTGCAGTAATTAATGTAACTCACTAGCAGCCCACATGAAGGCTTCCAGGGATAAAGTTCTGCAATGAGAAGAATTTGATTAGGAAGGATCATCTTGCTAGGAATTAGGGGAGCATGAGCCCCAAGGGAAGAAAAGCCTATGAAATCATGGAGTTTAGGGCAGGGTGTTACCCTAGGACTACCCAAACAGAAAGTACCAACTGGCGACACCAACTTATCTAATATGTTACAATACAGGAAAAAGGGGAAATCTGCAACTTGGACATTGGCACAAATAAGGAAAAAATGGTAACCCTAAAATGGGCCAGATTTTCCAATTTGTATTGGCTGGGGCATGTGGCTGGGGTGAAGGTACGTTGCTATTATGAAGACTGGCCATCTCACAGGGTTTTCTGTGTGTAGTGGGACACAGGGGCACCGGGGTATAGGTCTTCTGTTGCTGTGTTTTCTAATTAGAAGCCTTCCTTTCCATCACAGGCCAATCTGGAAAAGAAATGCCCAACATGATGACAATGGGGGTCATCCCCATGTTGGCGACAGCCAGAAGCAGATTCTGGCAACACATTAAAGTGAAGACCAGTGGCTGCACCTCCAGAGCCAGGGAGATAAACAGAATAAATGAGAGAGTATGCACACTAAGAAGGAGAGTGAGTGTGCACACACTGTAACAAAAATGACCTCTGGATCCGAGCAGCTCAGATACATGCACGTGTGTGTATGTGTGGGAGAAGAGTGCATAAAAATACTATCATGTAGCTTTCCCAATGAGAGGAGATAAGTGATGGTTACAATGACATTAAGAATAAAGGTAACAACAGAAATGGGATAACCTGGGGCAGGTATACGAGAAAGGAAAACGGAGAATACTCCCTGACAAGAAATAAAAATAAATAAAGCAGTAAGCCATGCTCACTAATATGAACACAGGCCAAACAGAAACCATGACAGGGCATATCCTTTGGCTCTCAAATGGGAATCCCATGTCTCAGATCTTTCCTTTCAGTGGTGGGCTAGCTGGTTACCTTTGGTTTGTCTGTGTTTTGGTAATGAATTGCTGCCAGGGGTCACTACTGTTCTCAGACAAGAAGCATAAACAAGGCCAGAGTCTCCTTAAAGTTTAAACTGAAAAATTACAACATAATAATTTTCAAATGAAAGTGCTTTTGATGCTTGGTATTTGTTGTGGGAGAGGGTGCAAAGAGAGGTTAAATGAAACAAAATCCAGCAACAAACAAAAACATACATTATATGTTGACTATATCCAATTATAAAATGCAAAACTTGTTTTTTCTCAATAGTTAACATATATATGCTTTTACATATATACATATTAATATTATAACCCTCATGGCTCTATCCCGGCCTCCTCTGTACACTGTGCCTCTTAACTGGTTTCCATTTTCCTTTATTTAGCCTGGTGAAATTATTTCAAATTTTGCTGCTGTAACTAAGAACAGAACATTCCCTAGGTGAAATTCAACATAGATATGCCTAAAAGCATGAGGTTTTGCTCCGGAAGCATCAGAAAAGCACTTGAACCATCAATAGGGAAGCCCTGCAATGCCCTGCGTATGTGCTACTGGCTTTTCCACCAGGGCTGCGGGTCCCTGGCAGCACAGCCAGCAATTTACTGCTCAAAGATGGCTGAGGGGGAAGAACCATGTGGTCTTCCCCTCAACAATAACAACAAAACACACACAAAAAAACTCAAAATAATAATAATAAAAAAACCCAAAACTAAATTTGCAGATGCAGTGGGATATTCTTTAAAAAGTAGCTTCTATCCGTCTCGTTTGATTTTAGTAAGTCTGTTCTTTTCAAATGACTTATGATTGTCAAAATTTTACCAAGGGCCAAGTATACTGTGGTCTCATTGAGTTACAGTGTTTTTAAAAAACAAAACAAATAAACAAAATGCCTATAAGCACTTTCATAACACTTGAAATGAGTGGGGCCTATCAGACTGCTTTCTGCCAAGGATTAATTTTACTAAAGGATCTCCCTGTAATCACGACAAGTATTGCTCTTAAACAAAGAACAGGATTGAGATTAGAAAGAATAACCTGTGATGAAAGATCAAGCAGGCTGGAGACAGGAGACCATTTCCATTTGCTTTTGCCAGGAACGAATGTAACTGGTCCGGGGTGGGGTCTCGGGGTGGGGTCTCGGGGCGGGGTAGGGGGAGGACTGCTGCTATTAACACTCTAGGATACTATTTACAGCTGCTTCTAAAATGGAGTCAGTTTCTACAACACCTTCACTGTGGTCCGGGATGAACTTTTCCAGGCAGTTTTCCTGTGAAGCCATAGGAGAAAAGTTGGGGAAATCTAACTCAACAGAGCCGCTAACCGTGGGGTCACTCTGGGGCTGCCGTCCCGCCTTTTTGAGTTCCAAGATGTTCTTAAATGTGGTTTCCAAGCTCTTTGTCAGCTGGAGATCTGGCTGGGGTTCGCCTGACCCTTTCATGATGTCTGTGTGTAAAACTTCATTCTTTGGAGAATTCCTCAGACTTTTGTCCTGGAAGGAATTGTTACACGTCATCTCCAAGTGCGAATCTGCTAGGATGCTTGACAGTTTGCTCTCAGTACCATGATCCGATCTGGATGAGGTTTTCCGGTGCCCCTCAGGGCCGGGAGAGCACTGACTGGCCTTCAGAGGCTCTCTCCGGCTGGCCTTCTCTTCAGACGTGCTCTGGTACTGCACTAAGCCCACTTTGTCAAATTTCAGTGCTCTGCCAAGGCATTCTGTTTTTTTAGAAATGTTTCCTTCTGCAGAGACCACGATGTGATTAGGCACTAGATGAAACTGGTCATGATTCATGGGTTCCGTCACACCGGTTTTGGCTCGGTCTCTGCCTTGGGCCTTGGCTGGCGGTTGCAGAGAGCTGCTTGCTTTACTGCCATGCTGGTCACTCCGGCCAAACTGTGTCTCATGAGCAGCTTTATCAAGTTTGAAGGAACAACAGAAATCAGCCTGAAAACCCTCTGGAAATGGGAACAAAAAGAACATTAGTGAGTGATTGGGAGAGGACAGACTATACAGCAGAACTTCAGTGGGTCAGGTGCTGAGGGCAAAGCCAGCCCCACTCACAGAATCCATCTGCTTCACATACAGGAACATGCAGAAGCAGGACCCTGATCCTGAGAGGGCATCCTGTAAAGGCAGCCAAGGCTGTGGAGCCCCAGCTTCAAGATGGGGAGCTTAAACCTTTTGAAAAGGTAGATGCTTGATGACAAATGGGAAAATGTGATGGGCAAAAAGCATCACTCAGTCCTGATCTCTAAGTATCATTTTATTTTTTTTGAGATGGAGTCTTGCTCTGTTGCCCAGACTGGAGTGCAGTGGTACGATCTTGGCTCACCGCAAACTTTGCCTCCCGGGTTCAAGCAATTCTCCTGCCTCAGCCTCTCGAGTAGCTGGGATTACAGGCGCCCGCCACCATGCCCATTTAATTGTGGTATTTTTTTTTTTTTTTGAGACGGAGTTTTGCTCTTGTTGCCCAGGCTGGAGTGTAGTGGCGTGATCTCGGCTCACTGCAACCTCTGCCTCCTCGGTTCAAGCGATTCTCCTGCCTTAGCTTCCCGAGTAGCTGGGATTACAGGCATCTGCCACCACAACGGACTAATTTTTTTTGTATTTTTAGTAGAGGCAGGGTTTCGCCATGTTGGTCAGGATGGTCTCGAACTCCTGACCTCAGATGATCCGCCCACCTCGGCCTCCGAAAGTGCTGAGATTACAGGCGTGACCCACCACGCCTGGCCTAATTTTGGTACTTTTAGTAAAGACGGGGTTTCACCATGTTGGTCAGGCTGGTCTTGAACTCCTGACCTCAGGTGATCCACCCGCCTTGGCCTCCCAAAGTGCTGGGGTTACAGGTGTGAGCACCTCACCCAGCCTCTAAGTATTATTTTAAATTAGTTTTCAGCTAATGACCTCCTTGAAACAGTCTGAAAACAGAAATTAGTTCCTGGTGTCAGCCTGGTTTCTTCCTTAGAGCAGAAGGGCCTGGAATGGGGCTTTGCAGGGAAGGGTGATAGACACCAGGAAACAGAAAACCTATCTGTCTTACATACTTTCCGGGTGAAGATAGCTACTTGTCTTTGGGTGAAAGCACTTCAATCCCTTTAGACACACAGGAGAAACCTGGCATCACTTTCCCAAGACCACAAAATGAATAGCCAACACTCATCCAAAATGATATGGAAGGACAATGGGTATGTAGGAGCTGCGTCTGTGAGTGAGCACTGAACTGCACCAGGCTTGAGGAGGCAGAGGATGGCAAAAGAAATGTCCGTGGCTGGGCACGGTGGCTCACGCCTGTAATCCCAGCACTTTGGGAGGCCAAGGCAGGCGGATCATGAGGTCAGGAGATGGAGACCATCCTGGCTAACACGGTGAAACCCCGTCTCTACTAAAAATACAAAAAATTAACCAGGTGTGGTTGCAGGCGCCTGTAGTCCCAGCTACTTGGGAGGCTGAGGCAGGAGAATGGCGTGAACTCGGGAGGTAGAGCTTGCAGTGAGCCAAGATCCGCCACTGAACTCCAGCCTGGGCGACAGAGCGATACTCCGTCTCAAAAAAAAAAAAAAAAAAGAAATGTCCATGAGGATTTAGAACATTGAGGGTACAGATGGAGGCAGGCAGACTGCTGTTACACAAGAGTGGAAAAAGTGTTAATGCTGGAAATAATCGAAGTGAAATAGAGCTTTGATGACATCTACAAAACAACGAAGAGTATGTATGTATAGTGTGAACATGAATTTGTTCACCAAATTCTAAAATGTGAGTTCTAGGGAATATAGCCTTGAAATCTAAAAAGATGATTCCATCCAACAAACATTGGCTGTGCAGGCCAAAGAGGAGAAGGAAGTAGATGGGATTACAGGTGTGAGCCACCGTGCCCAGCTCTCCCCAGAATTCACGTTCTACCTTCAAGTTTCTTACCCAAAGTTCAGACAGACTGCCAAAGGCCCCATGGTCCCTGAACCATGGCAGGAGCTATCCACTACTTTCACTGCGATGTTTCTTACCAGGGTCTACAAGTGCCAAACGCTTGTCTCGGGACAGGGAAGCTCTTTCCTCCTGGTTGAACATCCTATCGATCATCACCATCTCAGCAGAGGGATTGATTCGCTGAAAAAGAGAGAGGCCAGTCATTTCATAGACAATTTTTAAAAAATGGTTGCTTTTGGAAAAAATAATTTACACATTGGTACAAAATTCAAAAGATACTACAGGGCATGTGAAAAGTGAGCCTCCTTTCTTTGCCTCTCCCTGGTGTGCACCCACTATCACCCAGTGCCTCTCCCTGGAGGCATCTGCCTGCCTAGTAGTTTTCAGTACTCTTCTGGAGATATTTCTGACACACATAAGAATATATATGTACTATAAATATATTTATATATAAAGAAATATACTTCTTTATTTTGTACCCAAATAGTAGCAACTATATATACTGTTCTGTATTTTTTTCTCCTCTACTTAATAATGTATCTTAGAAATCTTTTTGAACTCTTGACCTCAGGTGATCCATCCGCCTTGGCCTCCTCAAGTGCTGGGATTACAGGCATGAGCCTCCGCACCTGCCTGAGAACAATTATTACAGACTTTGGTGGCATTATTTTTTATTGTATTTATTTATTTTTAGACAGAGTCTCGCTCTGTCGCCCAGCCTGGAGTGCAGTGGCACAATCTTGGCTCTCTGCAACCTTCACCTCCCAGATTCAAGCAATTCTCCTGTCTCAGCCTCTGGAGTAGATGGCATTACAGGCACGCACCACCACACCCAGACAATTTTTTTATTTTTACAAGAGACAGGGTTTTGCCATGTTGGCCAGGCTGGTCTCAAACTCCTGACCTCAGGTGATCCACCCACCTCGGCCTCCCAAAGTGCTGGGATTACAGGCGTGAGCCACTGTGCCTGGCCTGGTGGCATAATTTTAAGTAAATATAGATATATTTAAGTAAATACAGACACACGGATACACATTTACTCTATGTTGTATATGTGTATAATATAGCTCAACCAATCTCCCAAGGTACATTTTCAAAGTTGATATCAAATTGAAAATGAGTTATAAGAGACCAATTGATAGGTTAAAGCCTATATGATTTTAGAACTGCTTCTCAAATCTCAGGTTCGGTCTTTCTATCATTTTCTGAGGTATCTTATTCTCACTCCTTTCTCTATTTAACTGGCACTTCAAATGAATTGCAGTTTCTATCTGGGATGATCAAAATGTTCTGCAATTAGACAGTGGTGATGACAATATGACCTTGTAAATGTATTAAAAACCATCAAGTTGTACACTTCATTTATTTATTTATTTTTGAGACGGAGTCTCACTCTGTCACCCAGGCTGGAGTACAGTGGTGCGATCTCGGCTCACTGCAACTCTGAACACTGAAATGTTTGTATTTTAGTAGAGACGAGTTTCACCATGTTGGCCAGGCTGGTCTCAAACTCCTGACCTCAGGTGATCCATTATTTTTCATTATTATTATTATTATTTTATTGAGACAGAGTTTCGCTCTTGTTGCCCAGACTGGAGTGCAATGGCATGATCTTGGCTAACTGCAACCTCTGCCTTCCAGCTTCAAGTGATTCTTCCGCCTCAGCCTCCCGAGTAGCTGGGATTACAGGCATGCGCCACCACGCCTAGCTCTTTTTGTATTTTTAGTAGAGAAGGGGTTTCTCCATGTTGGTCAGGCTGGTCTTGAACTCCCGACCTCAGGTGATCCACCCGCCTTGGCCTCCCAAAGTGCTGGGATTACAGGCATAAGCCACCATGCCTGGCCTCAGTTGTACACTTTAAATGTAAATTTTATGGAATGTCAATGATCTCTCAAAAACAAAACTAATTTTGACATTTGTCACCAGCTTATCTGTTCAGATGTGCCTCCAGTCCTTCTCCCACATCTCTGGGTTGGTGAAAGGCGGTAGATGGCATCAGAGTGTGGACCAGGGGTCAGATGATCCTGGCTCGTATCCGAGCTCTGCTAATTACTCTGCAAACTTCTTAGCCATCTGTTCTCGAGCAAGTTACTTAACCAAAGCCCTGGTTTCCTTATCCGTTAAACAAGAGAATAGTACTGACCCACCAAGTAAAGTACAGCAAATGTTCACTGCTGTTTTTGTAGTAGCAGCTAAGCGTAAGTTTTTCTACAGTGTGAAATATCTGTTACTTTTACATTATATTCTATAATTCCTTGACCTTTCTGTCTCTGATTTAGTGGCTGTGACCTGTAAAGTTTTAAAGAACAAATATCAGTAGCATGACTTTTACCATGGCATCTTCTAGGAGCAGGCATCTGTATTTGTTAAGCATAGCTTGGGTCCTTTTTAGGAGCTGAGTGGCAACTGTCTCAAATTCATTGTCCACTTTAAAAAGAGAGAGACAAAGAAATAGTGAGAGACTGTAAATCACTGACTAGGTCTTCTGTTTCTTAAGACTGAAATACATTACTCTTCTGTTATTCAAACATGGCTTATCTGGGGCAATTTTCTCTTCTTAGATGAGCTTTTCCCCGGCTAAGCATCATCCTTCTACACTGCATTCCCTCACTGTCCACTGGTCATGGAAACTCATTTTATTACTAACTCTTTTAACTTTAACTAGGAAACCAAAAACATAATTACTTTGATATCACCTATAAAATAAAACCATATAACAGACTCGCAATAAATATCAATGAGTAGGCCGGGCACGGTGGCTCATGCCTGTAATCCCAGCACTTTGGGAGGCCGAGGTGGGCGGATCACGAGGTCAGGAGATGGAGACCATCCTGGCTAACATGGTGAAACCCCATCTCTACTAAAAATACAAAAAAAAAATTAGCTGGGCGTGGTGGCGGGCACCTCTAGTCCCAGCTACTCGAGAGGCTGAGGCAGGAGAATGGCGTGAACCCAGAAGGCGGAGCTTGCAGTGAGCCAAGATCGTGCCACTGCACTCCAGCCTGGGCAACAGAATGAGACTCTGTCTCAAAAAAAAATATATATATATCAATGAGTAGAGAATGATCTGCTAGTTTAGATGACCTAAGCCTAATGGTATGAAAAACTAAAATAGCTGAAACAATGAAGTCCAACTGTCTGGACTAGGTAAACCAGTTTAATGTAAAGACACAGCTTTACATTAAACTGTCATGGTCATGTGGCTCTGTCCTCTGTCTGTTGGTCTCCAAGGATTTGAACACCTTCTAATTCATTCTTCTTCTCAGTCTTCACACCCACTGTGGGTTTTTTTTTTTTGAGACAGAGTCTTGCTCTGTCGCTCAGGCTGGAGTGCAGTGGCGCAATCTCAGCTCACTGCAACCTTCTCCTCCCGGGTTCAAGTGAGTCTCCTGCCTCAGCCTCCCGAGTAGCTGGGACTACAGGTGTGCACCACCATGCCCTTGCTAATTTTTTTGTATTTTTAGTAGAGATGGGGTTTCACCATGTTGGCCAGGATGGTCTCGAACTCCTGACCTCATGATCTGCCCACCTCGGCCTTCCAAAATGCTGGGCTTATAGGCGTGAAGAACCATGCCCAGCCCTTTCACACCCCCTGTTTAACGCTGGATCTTGACCCTATTCCTTGGTGTCCTAGGGAAGCCCACAGTGGACTCACAGAAACCACTGTGCCCTGAGATTAGAGGTCCCTGCCAGGAGGAGTAAGACTTGTAGCAGCTGAGGAAGGGATTAGAAAAGAGGAGGGCACTGATACAGCCAGGCCTTAGCGGTGGTGGTGGGAAAGAGCATGGCCAGGCATCAGGACAGAAGGAGTTCTAGGTTTGGGGAAGGGGCTCTTATCTCTAAATTATTATTTATTTATTTATTTATTTTTTAGATGGAGTTTCGCTCTTGTTGCCCAGGCTGGAGTGCAATGGCACGATCTCGGCTCATGGGAACCTCTGCCTCCCGGGTTCAAGTGATTCTCCTGCCTCAGCCTCCCGAGTAGCTGGAATTACAGGCATGTGCCACCACGCCTGGCTAATTTTGTATTTTTAGTAGACACAGGGTTTCTCCATGTTGGTCAGGCTGGTCTCGAACTCCTGACCTCAGGTGACCCACCCACCTCAGCTTCCCAAAGTGCTGGGATTACAGGTGTGAGACACTGCGCCCAGCCTTTTTTTTTTTTTTTTTTTTAAAACAGAGTCTTGCTCTGTTATCCAGGCTGGAGTGCAGTGGTGCGATGTCCGCTCACTGCAACCTCTGCCTTCCAGGTTCAAACGATTCTCCTGCCTCAGCCTCCCAAGTAGCTGGGACTGAAGGCGTGTGCCACCACGCCCAGCTAATTTTTGTATTTTTAGTAGAGACGGGGTTTCACCATGTTGGCCAGGCTGGTCTTGAACTCCTGACCTCAGGTGATCGGCCTGCCTCAGCCTCCCAAAGTGCTGGGATTACAGACGTGAGCCACTGTGCTCAGCCTTTATCTCTCACATTTTTGTCAGTTTCTTGATGTGTGGCCAATGCTCTGGACTCATTTTGGAATCTTAGGGAATGCTTTTGGGAGCTCAAGTGCCTAATTCATAAAACTATTAGAAACAGTTTGGCCAGGAGTGGTGGCTCATGCCTATAATCCCAGCACTTCCGGAGGCTGAGGCGGGCCAATCACCTGAGGTCAGGAGTTCAAGACCAGCCTGGCCAACATGGTGAAACCCCATCTCTACTAAAAAAATACAAAAATTAGCCAGCCGTGGTGGTGGGCGCCTATAATCTCAGCCACTGGGGAGGCTGAGGCAGGGAGAGTCACTTGAACCTGGGAGGCAGAGGTTGCAGTGAGTTGATCGTGCCACTGCACTCCAACCTGGGTGACAGAGCGAGACTCCATCTCAAAAAAAAAAAAAAAAAAAAAAAAATTCAGGGTATGCATATGGCCTAAAGGCAAGGACTATGCAAAACCACTGTGTAGAGTGTCTAGTGCAAAGCCATCCCATCTGGAGCCGGCAGTCCATACAAAGCTTTGGATTTACTGTCCCTAATTTGTCAATAAAATACTCTGACATTAGGGTACCCTCCTAAAAAATATATATATATATATATATATTTTTTTTTTTTTTTAAGAGACAGTGTCTCCCTATGTTGCCCAGGCAGGAGTGCAATGGCTATTTACAGGCGTGATCATAGCACACTATAGTCTCAAACTCCTGGGCTCACATGATCTTCTTGCTTTAGCCTTCTGAGTAGCTGGGACTACAGGTGTGTGCCCCTACTCTTGACTTCCCTTCAAAAAATACTGAGAAGTGTAAGTCACAACCTTAAACATGGACTGGGAAATTGAGTAAACAGGGAACAAGTTTGGTCTGTGATTAAAAACAATAACCTGCCTACCATCTGGGGGTGATGTGGCTCTTGCTTTTCTGGGGGGTGTCCATGGAGGGTTTCCTGGTATCAGAGTGGTGCCTTAGGGTCCCAGCCTGCTTACCTTTTCTCAAGTCTTCTTCAGTGGGCATGGAGCCCTGGCACACGTGGTAGGAGAGCAGTCTCTGTACCGCATCACTTAGTGATCGGAAGTGACTTTTGTCTGGTGTCACAGTGTGGGCTTGGTCCCTCTGCAACTGCTGGAGAATGCTTTACAAGGGAAATGGTCAATGTCAATGTAAAGTCATGTTAGGAAATTAAATCTAGTCATATTTATTTGCATGCAAATAAAATAAGATATATAGGAATAATACGGCAGTTTTTTAGTTTTATATTTTTTATACCATAGTGGGTTTATAACTTAGTTTAACTAGCCCCACAGAGGACTCAAACTATGACCCTGACCTCAAAAGCACAGGTTCCCACCAATCATTTATGTGTTGGCACCCCTATAAACCTTGGCAGTGCCTGACCATTGGCCAACTAAGTTCATGCTAACATTTCTGTTCTAAACATGGGAGTTTACCAAACCACGCTTTTCCTCAGAGATTCTTTGTCTCTGAAAAGACAAAGAACTATTCTCCTTAAGAAGAAAAGAGCAAACAGTAGGCTGAAACTACATTCAATATATTTGAAATGTATACACTACCTGTAATCCTAGCACTTTGGGAGGCTGAGGTGGGTGGATCACCTGAGGTCAGGAGTTCAAGACCAGCCTGGCCAACATGGTGAAACTCTGTCTCTACAAAAATACAAAAATTAGCCAGGCGTGATGGCGGGTGCCTATAATCCCAGCTATTCCAGAGGCTGAGGTGGGAGAATCACTTGAGCCCAGAAGGCGGAGGCTGTAGTGAGCCGAGATCGTCCCACTGCACTCCAGCCTGGACGACAGAGCAAGACTCTGTCTCAAAAAAAAAAAAAAAAAAAAAAAAAAGGAAAAGAAAGTATAGAAAAAGATTTTCAAAGTATATATGTATATATTTTGAGACAGGGTCTTGCTCTGTCACCCAGGCTGGAGTGCAGTGGCGCAATCTCCAATTCACTGCAAGCTCCACCTCAGAACTCAAGCTATCCTCCCACCTCAGCCTCCCAAGTAGCTGGGACTACAGGCCCGTACCACCACGCCTGGCTAATTTTTGTATTTTTTGCAGAGCCATGTTGCCCAGGCTGGTCTCAAACTCCTGGGCTCAAGTGATCCTCCTGCCTTAAGACTCCCAAAGTGCTGAGATTACAGGAGTGAGTCACCATGCCTTGCCTCAAAGTACATTTTTAAAAAGGCTAATATACTCATTATTATAACCTGTTTTCTGTGGTATATTTATTGAAGGCTAGGGACCCAAAGAAGTGTTCAGAATTGATTTGTCATTTCCGAGAGTAACTCACAAAGCTCCTTTCGTTAGCTGTTTCGCAGCAGGCCTTTTTTGTCCTCCCGAATGACTCTCCACCTAAAGACAAAACAAACCTCTTATTATTCCCTTTTATAGAAAAAAGAATACAGTTATACATAAAGGTCACTATAGTTCACATATTTTCAACTACCTATCAAGAACATATTCTAAGACTACAGAATGTGCCCTGCTGAAAAATAAAAAAAAAAAAACCAGTACACAGAGTCCATGAAACAAAGTTGTACTGTGTTAAGATTACAGAAAGGTGTATAATCGGTTCCTGAGAGGGACTCAGTTTGCACTTTAAAGCCTGAATGCCTACCTCCTCTCTAAATGCACCATCATCATCATCATCATCATCATCATGTTTTTTGACAGGGTCGTGCTCTGTCGTCCAGGCTGGAGTGTGGTGGTACAATCTCGGCTCACTGCAACCTCTGCTTCCCAGGCTCAAGTGATCCTCCCACCTCAGCCTCCCAGGTAGCTGGGACTACAGGTATGCACCACCACGCCTGTTAATTTTTTGGTATTTTTTGTAGAGACGGAGTTTTGCCATATTTTCCAGGCTTGTCTCGAACTCCTGGACTCAAGCCATCCGCCTGCCTTGGCCTCCCAAAGTGTTGGGATTACAGGTGTGAGCCACAGCACTGACCCATCGTTATATTTTTGAAATTCCACAGACATCTGAAAAGTCAGTAGATACTATCTAATCCATCTTCTCAGTGTAAGTATGGGATACACACTTTTAAGCTCCTGTTATATATAGTCCAGGTGTGTGATCTAACGAGGCATTTTTTACATCATGTTAAGGAAACAAATAGGCCTTATCTCAGAACCTTAGAACTGAACAGATCCTTCACTGTGTATTCCAGGCAGTCCCACACTGCAGCAAGTTTCATTCAACCACTAATTGGTAGGTCTGATGGAAACGAAACTGTCTTAGTAAGCTGAAAACAAGAAATGTTTCCTTCCATTTTAGACTAGTAGTTTGAAATCTTTTAGGTTTAAAAGCCAAACTTGAAGTTATCAAATGTGCCCTGAAAATATGTACATCTATCATGTATCAAAAAAACAAACAAACAAAAAAAACTAGGCCAGGAGTGGTTGCTTAAGCCTGTAATTCTAGCACTTTGGTAGGCTGAGGTGGGAGAATTGCTTGAGCCCAGGAGTTTCAGACCAGCCTGGCCAACATGGCAAAACGTTTTCTCTTAAAAAAAATATAAAAATATTAGCCAGGCGTGGTGGTGCGTGCCTGTAGTCCCAGCTACTCAGGAAGCTGAGGTGGGAGGATCGCATGAGCCCAGGTGATCGAGGCTTCAGTGAGCTGTGATCACACCACTGCAGCACAGTCTGAGTGACAGGGTGAGACCCCAACTCAAAACAAAACAAAAACAAAAACAAAAACAAAACAAAAAACCCAGCTGGACTAGACAGGGCACAGTGGCTCACACCTGTAATCCAGGTACTTTGGGAGGCTGAGGTGGGTGGATGGCTTGGGCCCAGGAGTTTGAGACAGGTGTGAGCAACATGGCAAAATCCTATCTCTACAAAAAATACAAAAAAACAGCTGGGCATTGTCCTAGCTACCCAGAAGGCTGAGGCAGGAGGGTCACCTGAGCCTGGGAGGTCAAGGCTGCAGTAAGCTGTGATTGCACTACTGCATGCCAGCCTGGGTGACAGAGTGAGACCCTGTCTCAAACAAAAACCAAAAAGTTGGACTTTAAAAAGTGTCAAAGTTGGGTCAAAAGACCGTAGGGATGGCCTACTTCCTATACGCCTGGTTACTACTACAGAAAAACAAAAATCCCTCAGTATAACTAAGAAGAAGAGATTCGCTTTGATATAATAGTGAACGATATCACCTAGTAGTAAATGACATTTTTTGAGTGCCTAGTATGTACTAGCTGCTGGTATATTACTAATTCATGAGGAAATGATGGATTAATGAAGCACTGTAAACATGTCAGAAATAGAATAGACATTCATCTCAGAAACATAAACATAACAAGGCCCAGCCCACCAGGAAGGTCTTCAATGACCACCCTGTTGTGGGCACACAGGGGACTGGGTGGACTGTGCACACAAAGCTAGCCAGCAACCACAAAGATAGCACGACTACATTTTCATTCAATTATGCCGAACATTAGGAAGAGGCTATGCCAATAGTTTTCTACCTGCACAGCTGGATGGCCAGGAGATGATCCAACTACTTTTTCCTGCTGTGGTTGTGCGGTTCCTAAGGATGCGGATATAACTTTGCTTCCAGAATCCTGCCCTATTAGAATTAATACATGAGACAGTGTTCAAAAGAAACAGTAAATTGGGTCCATCATATAACCCTAGAACCCAATGGGTACAGACTGTTGAGCATTCTGAAACGGGTTTCTTTATCATGGCTGCTTGCTGTGAAGAAGGAGGGCAGGGTAGTGCATTTACTTACAAGCTCTAAAGGAAGAGGTTATTAAAGCCTATTTAAGTAATAAATAAGTAAATAGTAATAAATAGAAGCTCCAAATGCTATAGTTTCAAATTATTTATAGTCTGAAAAACAGGCCTCAAGCCAGTAATCTGTCAGCACTACAGAATCCCAAAATACAATTTAAGGAAAGGGAGGCCCAAAGAGGCAATTGACTGGGAATATTCAAGCTTTTTCTCTTTCTTGCCTTTTTTTTTTTAAGTACTAATTGGGTACTGCAGATGTTCAAAGCCTTAGAAAAAACGGAAGACATAGTCCATAATATTTTCAGTCTGGGTGGAGAATTCCAAACATGCATGTAGAGAGCAACATGGGGATAATTTCAAAGTCACAAGTACTGTAAAATACCTTTTCTTTTTTTTTTTTTTTTTTGAGACAAGGTCTTGTTCTGTCGCCCAGGCTGGAGTGCAGTGGCGCAATCATAGCTCACTGCAGCCTCGACCTCCCAGGCTCAGGTGATCCTCCTGCCTCAGCCTCCTGGGTAGCTAGGACAATGCCCAGCTAGTACAGACAGGGTTTCACCATGTTGGCCAGGCTGGTCTTGATCTCCTGACCTCATGATCTGCCCGCCTCGGCCTCCCAAAGTGCTGGGATTACAGGTGTGAGCCACCGTGCCCGGCCTCAATTTATTGTTTCTAAGAAGTATTTTTTTTCCACATAATTTAATGTGTCATAATTTAGATAGAAGTGCTTGTTTTTCTTTTTGGTAGTATAAAAAATGATAGTACATCTTACAATTGATGCTATCTTAGTGGGGTTTTTTTTTTTTTTTTTTGAGACAGAGTCTCGCCCTGTCACCCAGACTGGAATGCAGTGGTGTGATCTCAGCTCACTGCAAGCTCTGCCTCCCGGGTTCAAGCGATTCTCCTGCCTCAGCCTCCTGAGTAGCTGGGATTACGGGCGTGTGCCACCATGCCTGGCTAATTTTTGTATTTTTAGTAGAGATGGGGTTTCATCATGTTGGTCGGGCTGGTCTTGAACTCCTGATCTCAGGTGATCCACTCTCCTTGGCCTCCCAAAGTGCTGGCATTACAGGCGTGAGCCACCGTGCCCGGCCCAATGCTATCTTAGAGTTGATGCAACACAGTATATTATTTGCGGAAAGGATACAGAAAGAAAGGAATAATCGGAGTGGAGACGAGATTAAGCCAGAAAGCTTTCGTGCAGAATGAGGGAGAAAAGTGAGAAGAGCATCCCGTGGTGTTGGGAGGACAGGGACAAACTGAGGAAGCTCCTGACCTGGCAGTGTGGTGCTCAAGAGCCCAGGGATCTGTGCTTGCCTCAGGCCGTCTGTGGTCTTGGGAGCAGAAATGGGGGAAGTCTGATTCAGACATTTTTTCTGAGCCTGTGAAACATGACAAAGATGAAAACATTAATTTCATTTCTAAAGCTTTAACAGATTATTTTAAATACCAACCAAGCCTCTTCATGCCTCCCTGGTACCTTCAGGTTAGATTATAAACAAACCAAAAATTTAATAATTGTATTTTCTTATCACTTCAGGGGAACTGCAAAGTACATCCTTTAACAATCTGCAGGCACACTGAATTTTCCTGATGCCATTCAGCGGGGATGCTGAGTTGATACCAGGCTATTTTCTTGCTCCCGGGGCTGCTGTGTTTGTGGTGCTCAGATGAAAAAGCTGCAGCTGGGAATTTCTACCCCCAGTAACCTTATATCCTGCCTGCTAGGATTATGATCCTGACTATCAGCTCCTATGTGGGGTCTGCACAGACTCCAAGCACCTGGTCAGGGACCAAGGGCCAACCCCAAATTTTTTGTCACCACTCATTGTTTTGCTGTGTAGATGATATAAAGTATATTTCATCACTACCATCTGGTATATCTCTAGTTTGTGTTGTGTCAACATCAGGTGGCATGCAATTGAGAAATGAAAATCAATTTAATATTAGCCTGAGCAAAATATAATTAGAAAAATTAATCCAATGTTTAAATTGTTGTGTGTTTCTTTTCTATAAATGGGGAAGATGAAATGGATAATGTTTAAGAACTAAGTTCCTTTTAGTTCTTAAAAAAAACTTATGTTATCTCATAACGTATTTTATTATTATTATTTTTTTGCCATAGGGTCTCATTATGTTACCAAGGCTGGTCTCAAACTCCTGGGCTCAAGTGATCCTTCCACCCAAGTCTCCCAAGTAGCTGGGATTGTATGCATGCACCACCATGCCCAGCCTCTATAATACATTTTAAGTAAAAAGATAAAGGGCTTTTATTTATTTATTTTTTTTGAGACGGAGTCTCTCTCTGTCGCCCAGGCTGGAGTGCAGTGGCACGATCTCGACTCACTGCAACCTCCGTCTCCCAAGTTCAATGGATTCTCCTGCCTCAGCCTCCTGAGTAGCTGGGATTACAGGTGCATGCCACCACGTCCGGCTAATTTTTCTATTTTTAGTAGAGACAGGGTTTCACCATATTGGCTGGGCTGGTCTCCTGACCTCAAGTGATCCATCCACCCTGGCTTCCCAAAGTGCTGGGATTACAGGCATGAGCCACCACACCCAGCCAATAAAGGGCTTTTAAATTACCCTCAGTTTTTTTTCCTTTTGAGATGGAATCTCACTCCGTCACCAGGCTGGAGTGCAGTGGTGCAATCTCGGCTCACTGCAACCTCCGCCTCCCGAGTTCAAGTGATTCTCCTGCCTCAGCCACCCAAATAGTGTGCCACCATGCCTGGCTATCTTTTGTATTTTTAGTAGAAATGGAGTTTCACCATGTTGGTCAGGATGGTCTCGAACTCCTGACCTTGTTATCCGCCCGCCTCAGCCTCCCAAAATGCTGGGATTACAAACGTGAGCCACCGTGCCCTACCTACCCTCAGTTTTTAATCCTCTGTGCCATTACTACTTCATAGTGCAGTAACTTTTCAGAGTTTTTTTCTTGTTTTTTTTTTTGAAAGATGAAGTCGTGCTCCGTTGCCCAGGCTGGCCTGCAGTGGCGTGATCTTAGCTCACTGCAACCTCCACCACCCAGGTTCAAGTGATTCTCCTGCCTCAGCCTCTCGAGTAGCTGGGATTACAGGCGCCCACCACCACACCTGGCTAATTTTTGTATTTTTAGTAGAGACGGGGTTTCACTGTGTTGGCCAAGCTGGTCTCCAACTCCTGACCTCAGGTGATCTGCCCACCTCAGTCTCCCAAAGTGTTGGGATTACAGGCGTGAGCCACTACACCCAGCCTCTTCGGTTTTATATTATTTATACTATCTATGGATTTAGAGTTTAGTCTAACCATCTGCACAGTGGACTTAACTATGACCTTGGCCTCAGCAAAATGTTCCCACCAACCATTCACATGTAAGTGCTCACATAGACCCTGGCAATGCCTGACCATTGACAAACTAAGCTTATTTATTTATTTATTTATTTTATTTATTTATTGAGACAGGGTCTCACTCTGTCACCCAAGCTGGAGTGCACTGGTGTGATCTTGGCTCACTGCAACCTCTGCCTCCCAGGTTCAAGCGATTCTCTTGCTTCAGCCTCCCAAGTAGGTCTGACCATGCCTGGCTAATTTTTGTATTTTTTGGTAGAGATGAGATTTAACCATGTTGCCCAGGCTGGTCTTGAACTCCTGACCTCAAGTGATCCACCTGCCTTGGCCTCCCAAAGTGCTGGGATTATAGGCGTGAGCCACTGCATCCGACCAAACTAAACTTATGTTAACATTTCTGTTCTAGGCCGGGCGCAGTGGCTCATGCCTGTAATCCCAGCACTTTGGGAGGCCGAGGTGGGCGGATCACGAGGTCAGGAGACAGAGACAATCCTGGCTAACTCGGTGAAACCCTGTCTCTACTAAAAATACAAAAAATTAGCTGGGCGTGGTGGTGGGCACCTATAGCCCCAGCTACTTGAGAAGCTGAGGCAGGAGAATGGCGTGAACCTGGGAGGCGGAACTTGCAGTGAGCCAAGATGGTGCCACTGCACTCCAGCCTGGCCGACAGAGTGAGACTGTCTCAAAAAAAAAAAAAAAAAATCTGTTCTAAACAATTAATTATTTGGTTCTCTTTTGTAATATAAAAATGAAAAGGAGGCCAGATGTGGTGACTCATGCCTGTAATCCTGACACTTTGGGAGGCTGAGGTGGGAGGATCACTTGAGCCCAGGAAATTGAGATCAGTCTGGGCAACACAGGGAGACCTCATCTCTACAAAATTAAAAAATTAGCTGGATGTGGTGGCACATGCCTGTGGTCTCAGCTACTTGGCGGTGCTGATGTGGGACAACTGCTTGAGCCCAGGAGGTTGAGGCTGAAGTGCAGTGATGAAGCCACTGTACTCCAGCCCAGGTGACAGAAGGTTATTAAAGAGGTGGACATGGTCACCTTTTTCATTCTTCCACTAACAGGGAAGGGTGAACCTAAACTATTCCAGGCAATGAATTATTAGGAAGAAACCCACAAGGGGAAGGGTCAACGTGAAAATCTTCCAGTTTTACAGCATGTCCCCTACAAGGTGACCCCATGATGTCCTACTGTAGTATGGGAAGTTCCCCATATGGTGGACACCTGGACAGGTGTCCTGGCCAGGCTTGAGCCACCAAGCCCAGCCGTGAGTACCTGCTTTATAATTAATTGTTTTGTCATTGTTTGTTTGTTTTGAGACAGGGTCTCACTCTGTGGCAATCCTGGGTCACTGCAACCTCTGCATCCTGGGCTCAAGGGATCCTCCCACCTCAGCCCGAGTAGCCGGGACTACAGGTGTGTGCCACCAAGCCTGGCTAGTTTTTGTATTTTTTGTAGAGATGGGCTTTTACCATGTTGCCCAGGCTGATCTCAAACTCCTGAGCTCAAGCAATCCACCTGCCTCGGCCACCTAAAGTGCGGGGTTATAGGCGTGAGCCACTGCTCCCGGCCATAATTAATTGTCAATGATACATTTATGTTTTATACATTTCCTGAATGTGTTCTATTTTACAATATAAAAGATTGAAAGAAAACAAAAATAATAATCTAATGTCAGAGCATGAAAATTTGCAATCGCTTGAGGATTTTATTTTTTTTGGAGATAGGGTCTTGCTCTGTCACTGAGGCTGGAGTGCAGTGGTGCAATCACAGCTCACCGTAGCCTTGACCTCCCAGGCTCAAGCCATCATCCCACCTCAGCCTCCAGGAGTAGCTTGGACTACAGGTATGCACCATCATGCCTGGCTAATTTTTTTTTTTTTGAGATGGAGTCTCACTCTGTCGCCCAGGCTGGAGTGCAGTGGTGTGATCTTGGCTCACTGCAACCTCTGCCTCCCGGGTTCAAGCGATTTTCTTTTTCTGTTTTCTGTTTTTTTTTTCTTTTTGAGACAGAGTCTCACTCTGTCGCCCAGGCTGGAGTGCAGTGGCGCAATCTTGGCTCACTGCAAGCTCCGCCTCCTGGGTTCACGCCGTTCTCCTGCCTCAGCCTCCCGAGTAGCTGGGACTACAGGCGCCCGCCACCATACCGGGCTAATTTTTTGTATTTTTAGTAGAGATGAGGTTTCACTGTGTGAGCGAGGATGGTCTCGATTTCCTGACCTCATGATCCGCCCGCCTCGGCCTTCCAAAGTGCTGGGATTACAGGCGTGAGCCACCGCGCCCAGAAAAGATTCAAGCAATTTTCTGCCGCAGCCTCCCAAGTAGCTAGGATTACAGGTGCCCAGCACCACACCCGGCTAATTTTTGTATTTTTAGTAGAGACAGGGTTTCACCATGTTGGTCAGGATGGTCTCGAACTCCTGACTTCATGATCCACCTGCCTCGGCCTCCCAAAGTGCTGGGATTACAGGTGTGAGTCACCGTGCCTGGCCAATGCCTGGCTAATTTTTTAATTTTTTTGTAGAGACGAGGTCTTCCTATGTTGCCCAGGCTGGTCTCGAACTCCTGGGCTCAAGAGATCCTCCTACCTCAGCCTCCCAAAGTGCTGGGATTATAGGCGTGAGCCACCGTGCCTGGCCAAAAATCAATACTTTTAATGTATCACATCAATATCGATAAGCTAAAGAAGAAAAATCCCATGATTGTATCAACAGATGCAGAAAAAGTATTTGACAAAAAGCAACACCCATTCATGAAAAAAACTCTCAGCAAACTAGGAATAGAGGGGATCTTTCTCAATTTGATAAACATCTATAAAAAATCTACAGCTAATTTATGCTTTTTAAAAAGGTTTTGAGAGGTTTATTCATTGTTGTTTTTGTTTTCCCTAAGACAGGGTATCTGTTGCCCTGGCTGTAGTGTAGTGGCACGATCTTAGCTCACTGCAACCTCTGCCTCCCAGGCTCAAGTGATTCTCCCACCTCAGCCTCCTGAGTAGCTGGGACTATAGGCATGCGCCACTGTACCTGGCTAATGTTTCTATTTTCAGTAGGGATGGATTTTCACCATGTTGGCCAGTCTGGTCTGAAGTGATCTGCTCACCTCAGCCCCTCTAAGTGCGGAGATTAAAGGCATAAGCCACCAAGCCTAACTCATATTTAATGGCAAAAAACTTGAAGTTTTCCTGCTAAGATCAATAATAAGGCAAGGATGACCCTCTTATCACTGCTTTTCAACATGTTTTTGAAAGATGTAGCTAATGCAGTAAGACAGAAAAGAAAATACACAACATGGTATTACTTGCCAGAGGGCAGATAAGAGCTAAAGTCCAGGGAAGAAGCAACCGCTACACACCCTCTAAAAGTGCCAAGCCTACCAGTAAAGCAGGTTGTCTACCCAGAGGGGTGCCTTTTTATACTTTGGCCCTGAGGGGCACTTTTTCCTAATTTGTACAAAGGCTCCAGATTGAGCAGCAGAGGCCCTGGAAAACTACTTCCTTGTGCCGCCCAGAAGACTACCCCTCCAGTCATGGTTTACTCAACCACAAGTGGCCTAATCAGACTCTCTGGAGAATTTGAAGCTGGGGTAAGGGATGGATATCAAGAGGCAGTGGTTCTCAAATTCAGGTTGCGTCAAGATCACCTGGAGAATTTCTGGGTTCCATCCACAAAGATCAATTCAGAAATCTAATGTGGGGTTTAGGAATCTATAACTCTTTATTTATTTATTTATTTATTTATTTAACTTATTGTTTATTTTATTTTTTTGAGCCGGAGTCTTGCTCTGTCGCCGAGGCTGGAGTGCAATGGCGCGATCTCAGCTTACTGCTACCTCCGCCTCCCGGGTTCAAGCGATTCTCTTGCCTCAGCCTCCTGAGTAGTTGGGATTACAGCCACCACGCCCGGCTAATTTTTGTATTTTTAGTAGAGATGGGGTTTCACCATGTTGGTCAGGCTCGTCTCGACCTCCTGACCTCGTGATGCGCCTGCCTCGGCCTCTGAAAGTGCTGGGATTACAGGTGTGAGCCATGACGCCTGGCCTAGGAATCTATAACTTTTTTTTTTTTTTTTTTTGAGATGGAGTCTCACTCTATTGCCCAGGCTTGAGTGTATCTCGGCTCACTGCAAGCTCCGCCTCCTGGGTTCCCGCCATTCTCCTGCCTCAGCCTCCCGATTAGCTGGGACTACAGGCACCCGCCACCACGCCAAGCTAATTTTTTTTTTTTTTGTATTTTTAGTAGAGACGGGGTTTCACCGTGTTAGCCAGGATGGTCTCTATCTCCTGACCTCGTGATCCACCCACCTCGGCCTCCCAAAGTGCTGGGATTATAAGCGTGAGCCACCGCGCCCGGCCAGGAATCTATAACTTTTTAAAGCTTTCCAGTTGATTCTGATGTATTGTTAAGTATTGGAAACCGGCGCACCTGCCAGTGGCTGTTAAATGCTTGGTTTGGAATAATGTAAAGATAGCCTGGGGCAATCATTTTAGTCCAGGAGAACAAGGAGGGAGAACAATGAAGGAGAGCTAAAAGGCCATGCTGTCGTGAAGAGGCCCAGAGAGCAGCAGAGAACCTGAATTCTTGCCCTCATAAGGTGCTACACTATACTTCCTGGACTTGGGCTCATTCACAAAACACATCTCCCAAACATGTTACGGGGAGTTTCTGATAGCTGCAATCCAAAGTCCCTTGATGAGCCATTTGAGTAACCACTGTGTACACAGCACTGTGGTAATCACAGAGAAGGCAGGCTGGGCGCTGTGGCTCACGCTTGTAATCCCTCCGGAGGCTGAGACAGGAGAATCGCTTGAACCCGGGAGTCGGAGGTTACAGTGAGCCGAGATCGCACCATTGCACTCCAGCCTGGGTGACGACTGAAACTCTGTCTAAAAAAAAAAAAAAAAAAAAAAAAAAAAAAAAAAAAAAAAAAAAAAAAAAAAACACCCAAAAAACAAAAAACAGAGAAGGCAGCCGAAGGATACCAAACAGTCTTTATCTCAAATTTACCATCCAAGAAACACACAGGCTCACAGAAACATGATAGATCAGTGTGTTATAATTATGGTGCCCAGCCTCAACTGGAATCCAACCCCACAGCTGTCCAGTAATCCTTTTTTTCCCTTTAGTCAGCTCTTTTGAATGCTATTTTATTATAAGCAAACCTATAAGCTAGATAACTTTCTACCACGAAAGCTACAATCTTACCCTTTCCCACCTTCTCTTGCTACAATAGGTGTCCCTCCTCTGTCTACAAAGAATCCTAGCAATGCTCTAGAATGAATGTCTTTCTCCTTCTCATCAGCTGTGAAAAAAGCTCTTCTTTCACTACAAAAATAATTCCCTTAATCCCACACATCCTCATAGCTATTGCTCTTCAGTTACTTTCATTTATCTGACAGCTGTCTATGCTCATGAGCACACCTCCTGCTCTCTCCTCAGTCTGTTGCCATCTGGCTTCTGCACCTACCATTCCACAGAAACAAGTCATACCAACCAGCAGCCTCCCAGTTGTTAAATCTATCAGAACGCCCACTCCTTACCTTCCTTCTCAGTGTGCATCACTCTGTGGATCTTCTTTCTGCAACACCCTCTTTTTTTTTTTTTTTTTTTTTTTTTTTTTTTTTTTTTGAGATGGAGTCTTGCTCTGTAGCCCACGCTGGAGTGCAGTGGCGCGATCTCGGCTCACTGCAAGCTCCGCCTCCCGGGTTCACGCCATTCTCCTGCCTCAGCCTCCCGAGTAGCTGGGACTACAGGTGCCCGCCACCACTCCTGGCTAATTTTTTGTATGTTTAGTAGAGATGGGGTTTCACCGGGTTAGCCAGAATGGTCTTCATCTCCTGACCTCGTGATCCGCCTGCCTCGGCCTCCCAGTGCTGGGATTACAGGCGTGAGCCACCGTGCCAAGCCCATCCTCTTTTCTTAGCCTAAATGTTGAGGTGCTGTGGGGTTCTCCTCTGGCTGTTTTCTACTCTATCTATATGCTCTCCTTGGTCCATTTCCTCCACTCCCATTGCTTCAGTTGAAATTTATATGCTGGCCAGGCGCGGTGGCTCACGTCTGTAATCCCAGCACTTTAGGAGGCCGAGGCGGGCGGATCACAAGGTCAGGAGTTCGAGACCAGCCTGACCAACACGATGAAACCCCGTCTCTACTAAAAAAAAAAAAAAAAAAATTAGCCGGCATGGTGACGCGCACCTGTAATCCCAGCTACTCAGGAGGCTGAGGCAGGAGAATCACTTCAACCAGGGAGAAGGAGGTTGCAGTGAGCCGAGATCGTGCTATTGCACTCGCCTGGGTGACAGAGTGAGACTCCGTCTCAAAAAAAAAAAAAAAAAAGAAGAAATTTATATGCTGATCAATCCCATTTCAGCTCATATTTCAGTGTTCAGCTTCAGCATATATAGCCGTGTATCATATAATTTGGCTGTCCTACAGGTACCTCAAACTTGACGAACATACCCTAAACTCAGTAACTTCCCTTCAAATCCAAATCTCTCCCCATTTTTCTAACTCAGTGAACCTGTGTGTCACTGTCAGAAACCTGTAAGTCATCCTTATCCTTCCACTATGCCCAATCAATCACAAGTTCTATCTAACCTAGTTGTCTCAAATCCATTCATGTCTCGTCATCTTTCCTATACTGCTAGTGTAGGTCTACTTCATGCTTAGATTACAACACTGGCTCTTATCATGGCATCCAAGACCTACATGGTTTGTGCTCGCCTTTCCCACCTAACACCCTACTCGCCTCACCTAAACGTGTTTTCCTTTCCCCACAGCACCATGGTCTCTTTTCTCTCCAGGCTCTGCACTTGCTGTTTCTATTTCATGGAACATTCTTCACCCAGATCCTCTCTGCCTGGGTAACTCTCAGAGACCACCACCTCAGGAAACCTTCCCTGACCATCCCAACTGGGTTAGAGGCTCCTTTTCGGAGCCCGCACTCTGGACTACTCCTAGCACATGCTTAAAATACTGTGTTGCCTGGGCGCAGTGGCTCACGTCTGTAATCCCAGCACTTTGGGAGGCCGAGGCAGGCAGATCACGAGGTCAGGAGTTCGAGACCAGCCTGGCTAACATGGTAAAACCCCGTCTCTACTAAAAAAATACAAAAAATTAAATGGGTGTGATGGTGGGCGCCTGTAGTCCCAGCTACTCGGGAGGCTGAGGCAGGAGAATGGCATGAACCTGGGAGGCGGAGCTTGCAGTGAGCCAAGACTGTGCCACTGCACTCCAGCCTGGGTGACAGAGCAAGACTCCATCTAAAAAAAAAAAAAAAATACTGTGTTCTGACTGTTGGCTTATCTGTCTGTCTGGGATACATTGTTATATGTCTGGGGCTGGCATGTGGTAGGTACTCAAATACTGTTTGATGAATGAATCAATGTAGAAAACATTTAACAAAGTAAGTGGTTATGTACCTAGTGGGGTGTACAAATAAAAAGTATAATAGGCAGGAAGAGATCAGTGAAGGGACTGAAAAACCTTCATTTTTTCTAGGGGCTTTGGGTGGGACCTTGAAGGAGGGGAAGAATTTAAACAGGGAAGGAAAGGACATTCAATGTATACCCATCAACAAAGGCCTGAACACACAATGAGTCTGGCCTATTTGTGGGAAAAACAGGGGATCAGCCTGGTGGAAGTGGAGGGTTTCTGACTAGAGAACCCTGACTGCCAGGTCGGAGATTTGTGCTTTCTCCCGTGGGAATGAGAAGCTCCCTGATGATTTGGTTCAAATATTTTAGGAGGATTAATGTGGAAATCTGCCTTCTTTAGGAAGAGGACGAAAGCAGATTAATCACCTAGATAATTGTTGCAGCTGTCTAATTCGGAGGCGTTAGGGTTGCAATGGGCTTTGGAAATCAGGTAGCACAGTACTTCTGTATCCTGGCTGCACTTTAAAATCACTTGGGGAGCTTTTGAAAAATGCTGATGCCTAAAGCCCTTTCTCCAGACTATTTAAGTCAGAATTTATGTGGGTGAGGCTCAGGCATCCACAGTTTTAAAAAGCTCCCCAGGTAATTCTATTGCACAGCTAGAGTTCCTCATTTTAGAAAAGACAAAACTAGGGCTCAGAGAGTTTAAGATACAAGCTTAGCTCAGAAACCACTCGCTGGCAGAGTGGTACCTATGACTGAACTGGAACTGCTGATTCACCTCCTGTTTTTCTGTTATATTCTAGTCTCTCTTAAAGCCTACCTTGGGGTATGGATGTAGAAAAGGAGAAAAATGGGAAGCAGTGTGGTATAGATAACTAACAGGTAAAGTTAGCCTTTATGAGTAATTTGTCCAAGCTCTGAACCCCCATATTCTCTGCTGTGACGTGGGAACAATAATGCTACATGTAGCTCCAACGTAATTAGAAATAGTGTGTGGAGCCCCAGCACTGTCCTCGTTAGTAATATGATTAGTATTTTCATTGTTATTGGAGAGAATGGATAGGAGACATTTTCAAATCATTTATTGGATTTGGTAATTCATTAAAGGCATAGAAGGAGAAGAAGAAAACAAGAACATCTAGATTTTTAAGTCCAGACGTCTGAAAATACAACGGTTCCACATAAGGAAGGCAGGCTGAGCTACAAGGGGGATAGGGAAGTAGGGAGGGGCAGAGCGGGACTAGAAACTTCAGCAAAAATTCAGAGCGATTGGCAGGGCAGCGTGGCTCACGCCTGTAATCCCAGCACTTTGGGAGGGTGAGACGGGAGGATCACAAGGTCAGGAGTTCGAGACCAGCCTGGCCAATATGGTGAAACCCCATCTCTACTAAAAAATACAAAATTAGCCAGGTGTGGTGGTGCACGCCTGTAGTCCCAGCTACTCAGGAGGCTGAGGCAGGAGAATCGCTTGAACCCGGGAGGTGGAGGTTGCAGTGAGCCAAGATCGTGCCACTGCACTCCAGCCTGGCGACAAAGTGAGACCCCATCTCAAAAAAAAAAAAAAAAAAAAAAAATATTCAAGAGTGATCATTCAGGCACTCTCACATCCAAAGCATGATAGGTACTATATAGGTGATATGGGCTCAGCCGCTTTCAATTTTTTTTTTTTTTTTTTTTTTTTTAAAGATTGAGTCTTGCTCTGTCGCCTAGGCTGGAGTGCAGTGGTATGATCTCGGCCCACTGCAACTTCTGCCTCCTGGGTTAAAGCTATCTTGTGCCTCAGCCTCCTGAGTAGGTGGTATTATACAGGCATGCCCCACCACACCTGGTTAATTTTTGTATTTTTAGTAGAGACGAGGTTTCACCATGTTAGCCACGCTAGTCTTGAACTCCTGACCTCAAGTGATCCACCCGCTTCGGCCTCCCAAAGTGCTGGGATTACAGGTGTGAGCCACTGCGCCCTGCCTGCTCTCAATAAAATTTGAATCTACGAAATCCTTTAGTGATCCAAAGAGATTTGGGGCCAGGTGCGGTCTCTACTAAAAATACAAAACTTAGCCAGGCATGGTGGCAGGCGCCTGTAATCCCAGCTACTAGGGGGTGCTGAGGCAGGAGAATTGCTTGAACTGGGAGGTGGAGGTTGGAGTGAACTGAGATTGCACCACTGCACTCCAGCCTGGGTGACAAAGCAAGACTCCATCTCAAAAAACAAAAACAGGCAGGGTGCGGTGGCTCATGCCTGTAATCTCAGCACTTTGGGAGGCCGAGGCAGGCGGATCACGAGGTCAGGAGATCGAGACCATCCTGGCTAACACGGTGAAACCCTGTCTCTACTAAAAATACAAAAAATTAGCGGGTGTGGTGGCACATGCCTGTACTCTCAGCTACTTGGGAGGCTGAGGCAGGAGAATAGCTTGAACCCGGGAGGCAGAGGTTGCAGTGGGCCAAGATTGCACCACTGCACTCCAGCCTGGGTGATAGAGCGAGACTCTGTCTCAAAAACAAACAAACAAACAAACAAACAAACAAACAAACAAAAAAGAACAAAAATAAAGAGATTTGTCTGAGTGTTATGGCTAGTGCCTGTAATCCTATTTGGAAGGCTGAGGTGGGAGAATCACTTGAACCCAGGAGTTCAGCTTGGACAACATAGCGAGACCCCATCTCTAATAAATAAATAATAGAGAAATTTGGACCTATACTAATTTCTTTACTTTTGTTTGATAGATTATTTTAAATTGTCTCCTTAGCAACTGACTTTTGAATTTTAATCCACTTACAAGAAAGTGTAAATCCTGTAAATCACTCTCTGCACAAAAAGACTTAGTTCACAGGCTCCTTCGGGAATGGCTGATTCCAGGTTTGAGGCAAGGTAATCTAAGGCAGTCCTACAGTGTCTTGTGACACAAAGCAAGGAAGTGTTCAGAGGAGGTGAAGACATGTCAAAAGTATAGGAGCCAGCTCAAACAGGCTTCCATTGATCAAATTTGGGACAATTTAAGCATCAAAAAGAATGAGGAACACAATAAATTACAATATATTAAATACAGAAATAATACATTAAATACAGAAAGAATACATGATCTCTTAGAGATATGTGTTAAAATATGACAGATAAACTGATATGATGGGTGAGCTTCAAAATCATACCAGGCAGGGGCAAAGGGGGTGGGGATGTGGATGAAACAAGAGCAGCTATGAGTGGTAAATACTCAAGCTGAGGGAGTATGAGGGCTCATGACAGTGCTTTGTCTACTTTGTGTTTAAAATTCCTCATAATAAAAAGTTCTAAAAAACAAACATAAAAAATCCTGGGCCGGGCCTGGTAGGTCACATCTGTAATCCTAGCACTTTGGGAGGCTGAGGTGGGAAGATCGCTTGACCCCAGGAGTTAGAGCCAGCCTGGGTAACATAGCAAGACCCCAGCTCTATTTTTTAAAATAATAATAATAATTTTAAAAATCCTAACAACAACAATAATGATCCCTATGAGTTCACAGTGCTACTCAAAAAAAATGGGAAGGAGAGGAAGAAAAAGCTCTTTTTTTTGGAGACAGAGTCTCACTCTGTTGCCCAGGCTGGAGTGCTGCAGTGTAATGGCACAATCTCAGCTCACTGTAACCTCCGCCTCCCAAGTTCAAGTGATTCTCCTGCCTCAGCGTCCCAAGTAGCTGGGACTATAGGCACACGCCACCACACCTGGCTAATTTTTGTATTTTTAGTAGAGACAGGGTTTCGCCATGTTGACCAGGCTGGTCTTGAACTCCTGACCTAGGTAATCCGTTATTTATTTTTTTGAGACAGAGTCTCGCTCTGTCACCCAGGCTGGAGTGCAGTGGCGCAATCTCAGCTCACTGCAACCTCTGCCTCCCAGGTTCAAGTGATTCTCCTGCCTCAGCCTCCCAAGTAGCTGGGATTACAGGCATGCACCACCACACCCGGCTAATTTTTGTATTTTTAGTAGAGATGGGGTTTTGCCATGTTGGCCTGGCTGGTCTCAAACTCCTGACCTCAAGTGATCTGCCCGCCTCTGCCTCCCAAAGTGCAGGGATTACAGGTGTGAGCCACTGTGCCTGGCCAAAAAAGCTCTTCTTTCTGGAAAAATCCCAGGCAATAAATATAGATAGGATACTACAATTATAAAATCATTATTTTGTGACTATCAATATAATATTCAGGTGAGAGGCATCAAAGGGTGAGAGGCTGAGAAACAGAATAGTCACATGGTCTATCCTGGAGATCATTTCTTCTTTACAAAGGGAACAAGACACCTTTGAGACCCTTGCGGAGAAATCTGGGAGAGGCCACTTAACCAAGTGCCCACACTCAGCATCACCACGAATGGGACAAACCAACATGTGTCTTGCCCAAACCATTTAGCCTGATGAAGCCGAGTCATGAGGAAACATACTTCCAGTCAGACAAGTCCAGTCAGACAAGGCCACTCTAGAAGACAACTGATCAGTGCTGTTACAGACTAAAGAGATGTGACAACTAAATGAAATCAGTGCTCTCTGGATTCTAAAGTGAAAAACTGTTTTTGTAAAGGGCGTTATTAGGCCAAATGGAAGAAATTTGATATAATTATATTAAAAGGTCCTTGTTCCTAGGAGACACCTGCTGAAGTATTTAGGGATAAAAAGTTGTGATGTTTGCAGAGTACTTTCAAATGGTTAAGAGAAAAAAGTATATAAATAAAGTATAAATGTGTGTGTGTACATACACATAGAGACTATAGACATTTAGCACCAATAAAGCAAATACTGCAAAACAGAAATGACTGGTGATACCACGTCAATGTATTCACTGTACTCTTCCAATTTGTCCATGGGTTTGAAAGTTTTCCCAATACAAAAGTGAGGAAGGAACTTAAGCTCACACCATAAAAGCTGGTTTCACTGGTTGCCTGATGGCAACTGGGTGGGTGGGCAACGAGACGAGGAGGGAAACTCTTCATTGTAGTACACATCTTTCTGTACCATTTGATTTTTCTTTTTTTTTTTTTTGAGATGGAGTCTTGCTCTGTCACCCAGGCTGGATTGCAGTGGCGCAATCTCAGCTCACTGCAACCTCCACCTCCCAGGTTCAAGCAATTCTCCTGTCTCAGCCTCCCGAGTAGTTGGGACTACAGGCGCCTGCCACCACATCCGGCTAATTTTTGGATATTTAGTAGAGATGGGGTTTCACCTTGTTGGTCAGGCTGGTCTTGAACTCCTGACCTCAGGTGATCCACCTGCCTCGGCCTCCCAAAGTGCTGCGATTACAGGCGTGAGTCAACATGCCCGGCCCCATTTGATTTTTTGAACCAAGTTAATGTATTATCTATATTAAAAACAATATTATATTTATATTTAAAAACATAGTTATCTCTAACATTAACCATTTATAGTATCAAAACCTGCTGAATTACATTTCTACAAATATACAAACGCCAAAAGCCTTCGGTAATTATATTTTTGTGTTTGTTACAACATTCTATAAAGTAATTTATATAGAAATATTACACAGAAAAACTGAGTGCAGTGGCTTACACCTGTAACCCCAGCACTTTGGGAGGCCGAGGCAGGCAGATCACCTGAGGTCAGGAGTTCGAGACCAGCCTGGCCAAAATGGCAAAACTCTGTCTCTACTAAAAATACAAAAAAATTAGCCAGGCATGGTGGCACACGCCTGTAGTCCCAGCTACTCGGGAGGCTGAGGCAGGAGAATCGCTTGAACCTGGGAGGCGGAGCTTGCAGTGAGCCGAGATAGTGCCATTGCACTCCAGCCTGGGCGGTAGAGTGAGACTCCATCTCAAAAAAAAAAAGAAAAGAAATATTACATAGAAACTACACAGAGGACCAGGCACAGTGTCTCACACCTGTAATCCCAGCACTCTGGGAGGCCGAGGCAGGTGGAGCACTAGGTCAGGAGTTTGAGACCAGCCTGACCAACATGGTGAAATCCCATCTCTACTAAAAATACAAAAATTAGCTGGGTGTGGTGGCAGGCGCCTGTAATCTCAGCTACTCAGGAGCCTGAGGCAAGATAATTGCTTGAACCCAGGAGGCGGAGGTTGCAGTGAGCTGAGATTGTGCCACTGCACTCCAGCCTGGGCAACAGAGCAAGACTCCATCTCAAAAAAAAAAAAAAAAAAAAGAAACTACACAGAAAGCAAATAATTTCTGTGTTTCTGGGTGTCCCGGGAATTTAAATGGTAGCTGACCTAAATACTACTATTTCAACTAATTGTGTACCCAAGGGTATGTTCCTTAATTTTAATAAACCTGGGGTTTCACTTGTTCCTGAAAACTTATAGCGGAAACACACTTGAACACCTGAAATAATGCAACTGACCTAGTTCCCAATGCTTTTTGGCATAAAAAGTCAGCTGCTTTGAAGCTGCTAGTGTAGGCTTCTTTTTACCTTTGAATAACTGAAACTTTTGGGAGTCAGAGAGAAAAAGGTATTTTTCTCCCCCCTCCCTTTGAAGCATTATTTATTATATAGCAAAGAAGAAAAGGAAATGACCATGCTATGGATGATTGCTTAATTAATTATAATAAACATAAAGCTGATCAATACATACATATATAAAATGATCCTCAAGTTCTATCATTAAGTGAAAACGTCTATGGCGTGTTGCAGGTAAGTATGTGTATGCACTGTGCGTGCTTGTCTATGCAGAGGATAGCTCTGGGGGAATACAAAGAACTTACAGTGAGGCTTCTGGAAGGAAACTGGAGGTTGGGGAAAGACTTGTTTTTCACTCTAGACTACTTTGGAACTGTTTTACATTCTTACTAATTAACTGCACATTTTTTGTTTCTTTATGTTTCTTTGTTTTCTGAGACAGGGTCTCGCTCTGTCACCCAGGCTATAGCGCAGTGGTGCCATCACCCTCAGTGCAGCCTTGACGTTCCCGGACTCAGATGGTCCATCTCAGCCTCCCAAGTAGCTGGGACTACAGGTGCACACTACCACACTCACCTAATTTTTGTATTTTTTGTAGAGACAGTGTTTCACCATGTTACCTAGGCTGGTCTGGAGCTCCTGAGCTCAAGCAATCTGCCCCCTTCGCTTGCTGGGAAGTACTGGGATTACAGGCATGAGACACCGCAACCAGCCCCAAGTAACTTTTGAACACAGTATGTTGACTGTAAACACTTAGGCTAAACACAGAACTGTAAACCAATAGTAAAGTCTAATTAATAGTTTTTTTTTTTTTTACAATGGTTTAAAACATGGATTAGCCATTCTAAGACTATTTTCTGTATATTCTAGGATTGAACAAGTAAGTAAATAAACATGGTGGAGCTGGCTTTCTCACTGTTAGAAAAGGGAGTTACAGGCCAGGCATGGTGGCTCATGCCTGAAATCCCAGCACTTTGGGAGGCTGAGGTGGGTGGATCACCAGAGGTCAGGAGTTTGAGACCAGCCTTGCCAACATGGTAAAACCCTGTCTCTACTAAAAATATAAAAATTAGCCAGTTGTGGTGGCGCACGCCTGTAATCCCAGCTACTTGGGAGGCTGAGGCAGGCGAATAGCTTGAACCCGGGAGGCAGAGGTTGCAGTGAGCAGATATCGTGCCATTGCACTCCAGCCTGGGCAGTAGAGTGAGACTCTGACTCAAAAAAAAAAGAAAAAAGGGTAGAGGGGAAGGAAAGGGAGTTACAAATATACAAATATGGAAAAGAGAGAGACTTGGATGAATTCTGTAGTCATGGATTAGAATTGGAACTATCAATATGAACTCACAGCTTTTAATATAGATTCACAGAAATGTAAATACCTATAGGCGTTGGGTGTATAAATATACATATTTTCCAACTGAAATGACCTTAGTAGCAATGAACACACATAATGCTTAGATCTTGGTTTCTAAATATTGTTCTCCACTAGAAGGAACAAGCCTTCTTAAAAAAATAGTTGATGGTAGGGCAGGAGCAGGGAAATTAAAAGATAAACACAGAACATTTGTTTTGCCAGAAATTGAAGGAAGTGCTCAAAGCATGATGGAAACATGTCAGAAGGATGAGCAGCCAATTTGGAGGGGCACCCACTTGCCAAATGTGGGTAGACTTGAGCATTAAAATAAATTATTGTATAATTATTTTATACAATATATTTTATACAATTATAGTCAGTTTATAACCCACTGACTACAAATAATCTAAGAATTCACACATAAAGAAAAAGGTAAAGGGAAGAAAAGGAAAAGCTGTTCCTTAAATTAGAATGCTACTAGTAAGTACAGGACAAATGAAGGAATTAGAAAGTCTCTATTTCGAGGCCATGATAGTAATAGCTCTGTAATAACTGATTCAATCAGGAATCATCAATGGAAACTTAAATTATCATGTGCAAGTTTGATGAGAAACTGGATGCCTACAGAGTTTCAAATTATCTTCTGGAAGATTCTAATTAATGACAAAAGGAAAAACAGTGGAGAAACCTGAAGGACAACATCTTATGCAAGTGTTCAAGGTGAGATCACCAGCAATGGGACAAATTCACATCCTGAGCACTGAGGACACCTCACTTCTGTGGCAATCCTGTTAAAAATGTACTGAATCTAATCATGAGGAAACATCAGAGAAACCCAAATTATAGAAAATAATTGGTTTTGCTGGGCGCCATGGCTCATGCCTATACCAGCACTCCGGGAGGCCGAATCAGGCAGATCACCTGAGGTCGGGAGTTCGAGACCAGCCTGGCCAACATGGAGAAACCACGTCTCTACCAAAAATACAAAATTAGCTGGGCGTGGTGGTACATGCCTGTAATCCCAGCTACTTGGGAGGCTGAGGCAGGAGAATGGCTTGAACCTGCGAGGCAGAGGTTGCAGTGAGCTGAGATTGCACCATTGCACTCCAGCCTGGGCAACAAAGAGCGAAACTCCGTCTCATAATAATAACAATAATAATAATAATTGGTTTGCACTCTTCAAAAATATTAATAGCATGAAAGACAAAGAACGACTGAGGAACTGTTGCAGATTTTAAAATCTGACAATGAAATGAGATAGTGATCCTGGGTGGATCCTGGACCATAAAAACCAAAACAAATTGGGAGGCTGAGGCGGGCAGATCACCTGAGTTCAGGAGTTTGAGACCAGCCTGGCCAACACGGAGAAACCCTGTCTGTACTAAAAATACAAAAATTAGCAGGGTATGGTGGCAGGCAGCTATAATCCTAGCTACTCGGGAGGCTGAGGCAGGAGAATTGCTTGAACCCAGGAGGTGGAGGTTGCAGTGAGCCGAGATCGTACCACTGCACTCTAGCCTGGACAATAGAGTGAGACTCTGTCTCAAAAACAAACAAACAAAAACAAAACAAAACAAAGCTGCATGCCGGGGCATGAGCCTGTAGTTCCAGCTACTCAGGAGGCTGAGGTGGGAGGATTGCTTGAGCTCAAGAGTCTAGCCTGGGCCGGGCGCGGTGGCTCACGCCTGTAATCCCAGCACTTTGGGAGGCTGAAGCAGGTGGATCACGAGGTCAGGAGGTCACCTGGCTAACATGGTGAAACCCCGTCTCTACTAAAAATACAAAAAACTAGCCAGGCATGGTGGCGGGTGCCTGTAGTCCCAGCTACTCGGGAGGCTGAGGCAGGAGAATGGCGTGAACCCGGGAGGCGGAGCTTGCAGTGAGCTGAGATCGGGCTACTGCACTCCAGCCTGGGCAACAGAGCGAGACTCCATCTCAAAAAAAAAAAAAAAGACAGTCTACCCTGGGTAACATAGCAAGATCCCATCTCTAAAGAAAAAACACCAAAACACCAAAACCAAAACCAAATAATTTGTTTTCTCTTGTGCTTTCAGTGACATTTCTGGGAGAACTGACTAAATCTGAGTAAGGTCTGCAGATTAGTTATAGTATTGTAATAATGCTGATTTCTTAATGTTCATTACTGTACTGTGGTTATGTAGGAGAATGCCCCTGCTGTTACAAATACACATTGAGGTAATTAGGAGTCAAGAGGCATAAGCATCAGGTCTGTAATTTACTCTGAAAAGTGTGTGTGTGTATGTTTGTGTGTGTGTGTTTGTATATGAGAGAGAGAGACAAAGGGAGAGAAAAGATTTCGGGAATCTTGGTGAAGGGTATATGACAATTCTTTGTAGTAATCTTGTAACTTTAACTTTTCTGTAAGTCTGATGTTATTTCAAACACACACACACACACACACACACACACACGCCCCTTTGATATCTTTGAAACCAAAACAAATAAACTGAACATCCTTAATCATAAGCAATCTTTGTTTCCCTAGGATTCTTAGTGAAATTAGTAAGTCAAAGGTATATGGTTTAAAAAATTGATATATACATTAATATATATATAAATACATAATATATTATATATATACATATATATGTATATATATATACATACATACATATATATATAATATATATACTTTTTTGAGATGGAGTCTCACTCTGTCTGTTGCCCAGGCAGGAGTGCAGTGGCATGATCTTGGCTCACTGCAACCTCTGCCTCCCAGGTCCAAGTGATTCTCCTGCCTCAGCCTCCTAAGTAGCTGGGACTACAGGCGTGTGTCACCACACCCAGCTAATTTTTGTATTTTTAGTAGAGACAGGGTTTCACCATGTCAGCCAGGCTGGTCTTGAACTCCTGGCCTCAAGCAATCTGCCCACCTTGGCCTCCCAAAGTGCTGGGATTACAGGCATGAACCACAGCTCCTGGCCGATATATATATTTAAAAGATTGATATTGGCTGAGCACAGTGGCGAATGCCTACAATCCCAACACTTTGGGAGGTCGAGGCGGGCAGATCACTGGAGCCCAGGAGTTCGAGACCAGCCTGGGCGACATGGTGAAACCCTGCCTATCAAAAAAATACAAAAATTAGTTGGGCATGGTGGCTTGCACCTGTGTTCCCGGCTACTTGGGAGGCTGAGGTGGAAGGATCACTTGAGGCTGGGAGGCGGAGGCTGCAGTGAGCTGAGATTTCGCCACTGCATGCTAGCCTGGGCAACAGAGTGAGACTGTCTCAAAAAAAAAAAAAGATTTTGAAATATGTTGACGTATATAAACAGAAGTTTTTGAATCCTTCTGAATGTGGAGGAGGAGAAAGGCAGGGGAAACGCAGGACTGAGGGGTCGAAAGTAGGGTATGGCATGGGTCCTCCCAGATGAGAAGAGGAGGAGCTGGAACTATGGAGCATGCTCAGAATGAGTGGGAACCAAATGATGGAGCCGTCGAAGGATCAGCAGATGACAGTGAAGGACTAAAGCTCATGACCATTTGAGATTCTTTTCAGAAACATAATCCTTATGTGGTTTACCAAGTGCCCACAGTAATTAATCTGCATAACAGTATAGTAAGAGCAAGCTCAGGTCAGGTACTTGGTCAAATGAGAGTGCCTCGATCTCTCCCTTTATGTGCTTCCCTCTGGGGCAGGCCAGTTACCCACTACTGAGTCACACTGAGTCCCTGAGCCTTTCCTGTTGGCAACCAAGAAGCAGCTACCACATCTTCAACAAGTCCACAGTCACATGTCCTAATAGCCTGCTATACAATGTAAATACATAACCTAAAATAAGCTTTCATTTTAAATGCCCATAATGAATTTAATTAAGTATAAATACAAGCTCCTATGGAGTATTTGCTATTTGCCAGGGTCTATGTCTAAGTGCTTTGTATAGATTATCTCATTTCACCCTCCTGATAACTCCATGGGATGGCAGTATCATTATCCCCATTTCACTAATGAAGACAATTAAGTCTAGAATGGTAAGTTAACTTTTTCCATGTCATAAAGCTTAGATTCAAACTCAAGAGTCTAACTCCAGAGTCTCCACTCTACAATGCTACACTGGATAAAAAATTTTAAGAAAAAAGGTCGGGTGTGGTGGCCTGTAATCCCAGTACTTTGGGAGGCCAAGGCCAGGGGATTTCTTGAGCCCAGGAGTTCAAGACCAGCCTGGGCAACACGGCGAAACCCCAAATCTACAAAAAATACAAAAAACTAGTTAGGTGTGCTGGTATGTGCTTGTAGTCACAGCTACCTGGGAGGCTGAGGTGGGAAGATCATCTGAGCCCAGTAGGTTGAGGTTGCAGTGAGCTATGATTGCGCCACTGCCCTCCAGCCTAGGCGACAAAGTGAGACCCCCTACCCCTGCCCCCTGGCAAAAAAGAAAATCAAGAAAAAAGATAACCAGTCATAAGTGTAAAAAAAAATTTTTTTTTTTTGAGACAGGGTCTCACTCTATCACCCAGTGCAGTGGTACAATCATGGCTCACTGCAGCCTCAACCTCCCATGCTCAAGCTATTCTCCTGCCTCAGCCTCCAGAGTAGCTGGGACTACAGGTGTGCACCACCACACTCAGCTAATTTTTTAATTTTTGGTAGAGTCAGGGTCTCACTATGTTGCCCAGGCTGGCCTCGAACTCCTGGGTTCAAGTGATCCTCCAGCCTTGGCCTCCCAAAGTGTTGGGATTACAGGCATGAGCCACTACACCTGGCCTAAAATTTTTAAGAAATTGGATGCCTAGGATGAAAATTATATTCTAGTAAATACACATCTCATTTTTCCATTCTATAATCAGCCAAATATTTATTTGGGAAAGGGCATTACCTGGCAGAAGAATTGTTGCTGGGTTCCTGTTCCAGGTGTGTTACTGAAGGTGCTGGTAGACTTGGAAGAAGAAACTGGAAGACGATGAGACACACTGACTGGTACTGGAGTCCTGTTTGGCTGGGTCAGCTGATCTCCTGTAAAGTTTGATCCTGATGAACCAGACTGAACTGCAGACCCAAGACTAGGATGGGCAGTGCTGGCTGAGCTGACAGCAGGGAACCGACTAGGTCCTGACATGCTTGTCACCGATGGCATGGTGGCGAAGCCAGGTCTTCCTTGGGAAACGCTGCTCTGCCCAGGTGACAGGTGTAATACAGTTGGGGATGCCTGCTGCAAGGGCATCTGTCCACCCACAAGCTGAGGAGAGGCATGATTGGCTATCACTGGACTTCCAGAGGCAGCAAATGTCTGCCCAGACACTAAGTGGACAGCAGTATTCTGGTTGTTAAGCATCGGTCCAGTATATGGTTGGTTGGTCCTGAGCATGTTGGAAGAGTTTCTGTTCAACATGACATGCTCTGAGGCCACTTGGCCAGAAATGAGCTGAGAGGGTTGAGTTTGAAGAAGTTGCCCATTTATAGTCTGGACGTGGTGTACCGAGTTGGAACTGACAGAAAGGCTTGTAGGTATAAGGAACTGACTTTGGGGTGCGTGAGGTTGGCCCATGGGGGAATGAATAACAATACTGCCCCCAGTGCTGCTCACTGCCTGTGAGGTGACTGGCTTTCTTGTGTTCTGTTGGTTTACAATGTTCACAGACATGTGTGGACCAACTACTGAGCCCTGGGGTGAGCTTGCAGAAGCAAAAGAGATCCCTTGTTGTACGTGGTGCTGCTGAATTCCCAAATTGTTCACATTGTATGTATTTTGCTGACCCATCTGGATAGGCTTTGGCTGTATATTAATTGGGACTTTATTTGAATTTGGTGCAAGACCCCTTTGTATGATGATGTTATGCACAGGTAAAGATGTTTGAAAATTTGTGCTGTTAAATGGAACGGTAACAGGCTGTGCTACTGGACTGGAACTAGAGTTCCCAAACAAGGAGTTGCCATTAGGAGTCTGTCTATGAACCAGGAGCCCTCCACTCACATTTGATGGGGCTTGCTGCCCGCTGCCCTTTAATATGATTTGAGATCCATCTAGGTTATTAATAGTCATCATGGAAGGATGATTACCAAATGACCCAATTAACTGTATTTGACCAGAACCACTAATCTGACTGCTATTAGACAAATGCTGGCTGGGAACACTGATCCCCACATGTTGCATAAAGCCATGTTGTACACCCACTGTATTGCTTGCAAACGATGCTCCAACAGGCACATGCGTCACCCCTATAGGCTGCAGCGTCTGACCTGAGTAATTAGAAACATTAGAAGCCTGAGTAAAGGATGCTGATGAAGAAGGATGAAGCTGAGCTTGTGCAAACTGTTGGCTTGAACCTATACTGGCATCCAAATATGCCTCTTCTGCCAATGTCTGTTCAGTGATATTGGCCTCTTGCAAGGATTTCTGAAGAATGTCGAAAGGTTGGTCCTCAGTGAGATCAGGAAGAGGAGAAGACTCGAGTTCATCTTCAAGAAACTGGAGGCTACTTGAAAGTGGCAGTCCATCACTGGGCCCTTCTCCAAGCTGGTTGCTTACACCTTTGAGGGATGACTTAGGATCAGCATTCTAAAAAAATAAACAGTATGTTACATGGCATATGTAACCTTTGAAAAGGATGCATAAAAATTAATCTTACTTTTACTTTTTTTTTTTTTTTTGAGATGGAGTCTCGCTCTGTCACCCAGGCTGGAGTGCAGTGGCGTGATCTCGGCTCACTGCAAGCTCCGCCTCCCGGGTTCACGCCATTCTCCTGCCTCAGCCTCCCCAGTAGCTGGGACTACAGGCGCCTGCCACCGCGCCCAGCTAATTTTTTGTATTTTTAGTAGAGATGGGGTTTCACCATGGTCTCAATCTCCTGACCTCATGATCTGCCCGCCTCGGCCTCCCAAAGTGCTGGGATTACAGGAGTGAGCCACCGCGCCTGGCCAATCTTACTTTTGAATATGAATAAAGCATGACAGTCTGCTTCTCAGGCATAACTCTCTAAACTGCTCACCTTATTCTGATATTTTATTTCCATCATAATGATGCTTGACATTATAAGTATATGCATCCATCATGCTGATAAATTATTTTATAGAGAACAGATAATGCGAACATACTGAGGACTACTTGGAGCTTAGCTTCATTTTTTTGAGATACTGCCACAGACTTTATTTACTTTTTAATTTTTTGATCTGGGGTCTCGATCTTTTGCCCAGGCTGGAGTGCAGTGGCCCAATAATAACTCACTGCTGCTGTGAACTCCTGGGTTCATGAGATCCTCCCATCTCGGCCTCCTGAGTAGGTGGGACTACAGGTGTGCCCCACCACACCGAGTTAAATTTTTTTGTTTTTGGTTTTTAGAGATGGGGTTTCACCATCTTGCCCAGGCTGGTCTTGAACTCCTGCACGCAAGTAATCCTCCTGCTTTGGCCTCCCAAAGTGCTAGGATTACAGGCGTGAGGCACCGTCCCCAGCCTCAGAGTATTTTCGAGATTGCTACTACACCGACATGATGCAAAAATAGTTGCCAATAAATACATATTGAATGAAGCAATTTGAAAAGATAGAATTAATACTCACATGGAAATAGGACAGTTGCTAAATAAAAATCATTAATGTTGAGGGATAGGCCAAGTATCTACTTTCTGGGTTTAATGGCATCATATGTAGTGATTATTTGTTCAAAATGAATGTCAGAAATGCTACTGATTCACAAGCCTTACCAGAGATCAGTGTTGTGGCAGAGATATCCTGCATGATATGATCTTACGTGCCTTACACACACGTGACTATTAAAAAGAACTGTCCATCCCAAGGACTTTCTGAACACCATTCCATTTTATAGGTGAAGAAAATATAGGTCCTGATGATAGTAAGTTAATATTTACTGAGCACCATACCAAGTGAGTTCAACAGTATAGTCAACTAATGTTAACCACCCTCTGAGGTAATTCCATTGTTATTCTGGTTTCATAAATGAGGAAATTGGCCAGGCGCGGTGGCTCACACCTATTAATCCCAGCACTTTGGGAGGCTGAGGCGGGCGGATCACCTGAGGTTGGGAGTTTGAGACCAGCCTGACCAACATGGAGAAACCCTGTCTCTACTAAAAATACAAAATTAGCTGGGGGTGGTGGCGCATGCCTGTAATCCCAGCTACTAAGGAGGCTGAGGGAGGAGAATCACTTGAATCTGGGAGGCAGAGGTTGCGGTGAGCCAAGATTGTGCCATTGCACTCCAGCCTGGGCAACAAGAGCGAAACTTTGTCTCAAAAAAAAAACAAACAAACAAGAGGAAATTGACCCTCACAGAGATTTAGTGATATATCTAAGGTTACATGGCTAATAAGTGGTAGGGCAAGGAGTCAACCTTGGGCAGTACAACTTCTGACTACCATCCACAGCACAACAAAGCAACTGAAAAGAGTAAGGGAACCTAAGGCTCAAACACAGTAATCTCGATATAGTCTCCAGGCAGGACACTCCAATCCCCCAGGTCAGGTTTGTTGCCTAGATGCCCCTGGAGGTTAAGAACATGGAGGCTGGGCACAGTTGCTCACTCCTGTAATCCAAGCACTTTGGGAGGCCGAGGCGGGTGGATCACCTGAGGTCCGGAGTTCAAGACCAGCCTGGCCAACTGGGTGAAACCTCGTTTCTACTAAAAATACAAAAATTAGCCGGGCACGGTGACACACGCCTGTAATACCAGCTACTCAGGAGACTGAGGCAGGAGAATTGCTGGAACCCAGGAGGTGGAGGTTGCAGTGAGCCGAGATTGCACCACTGCACTTCAGCCTGGGCAACAGAGCGAGACTCTTGTCTCAAAAAAAAAAAAAAAAAAAAGAACATGAGTTTCCAGAGCCTGGTGGCCTGGGTTAGAATCCTAGCTCTGCAACTCATGGCTGTGTACTATTTGGCCAAGTAACTTAACCTTTCTGTGCTTTAGTTTCCTCATCTCTAAAATATGTATCTTTTTTTCTTTTTTCCCCTGAGACAAGAGTCTCACTGTGTCACCCATGCTGGAGTGCAGTGGCCCGATCTCGACTCACTGCAACTTCCGCCTTCCTGGTTCAAGCAATTCTCCCTGCCTCAGCCACCCAAGTAGCTGGGATTACAGGTGCCCACCACCACGCCCAGCTAATTTTTATATTTTTTAGTAGAGATAGGGTTTTGCCATGTTGGCCAGGCTGGTCTTGAACTCCTCACCTCAGGTGATCCACCTACTTCGGCCTCTCACAAGTGTTGGTGTGAGCCACCGTGCCTGGCCAAAATATGTATCTTAATAGAACCACTTCATGGAATCATTGTGAAGATTAAATGAGGTTAATACATGTCTTGGGTTTCTTTTTTTTGAGATAGGGTCTCACTCTGTCACCTAGGCTGGAGTGCAGTGGCACAATCTTGGCTCACTGCAGCCTCCAACTCCTGGGCTCAAGGGATCCTGCCTCAGCAGGACTGGGACTATAGGCACGCACCACCATGCTCATCTATTTTTTCTTTTTTTTTTTTTGAGACCGAGTCTTGCTCTGTCGCCCGGGCTGAAGTGCAGTGGCGCAATCTCAGCTCACTGCAAGCTCCACCTCCCGGGTTCAAGCCATTCTCCTGCCTCAGCCTCCCAAGTAGCTGGGACTACAGGCAGCCGCCACAACGCCCGGCTAATTTTTTTGTATTTTTAGTAGAGACAGGGTTTCACCGTGTTAGCCAGGATGGTTTTGATCTCCTGACCTCATGATCCGCCCACCTCGGCCTCCCAAAGTGCTGGGATTACAGGCGTGAGCCACCGCGCCCAGCCAATTTTTTTTTTTTTTTTTTTTTGAGACAGAGTCTTGCACTGTCGCCCAGGCTGGAGTGCAGTGGCGTGATCTTGGCTCACTGTAACCTCCACCTCCCAGGTTCAAGCAATTCTCCTGCCTCAGTCTCCTGAGTAGCTGGGATTACAGGCACACGCCACTACGCCCGGCTAATTTTTTGCATTTTTAGTAGAGATGGGGTTTCACTATGTTGGCCAGGCTGGTCTCGAACTCCTGACCTCGTGGTCTGCCTGCCTCGGCCTCCCAAAGTGTTGGGATTAGAGGCGTAAGCCACTGCGCCCAGCTGCTGGTCTAATTTTTAAATTTTTTGTAGAGATGGGGTCTCACTATGCTGGTTGGTCTCAAACTCCTGAGCTCAAGTAATCCTCCTGCCTTGGCCTCCTAAAATGGTGGGATTATAGGCATGGGCCACCATGTCTGGCTGAGGTTAATATATGTTAAGCTCTTAATGCCAAGCACATACTAAATGCTCAAGTGTTACTCATTATCTTTGTTTTTCTCATTTAAGATGAAAACAACTTATAAGTAACTATGAATTAAGAATAATTTCTTTAAAGATTATTATGTAACAAGGTTCAAAACATTCTAATATGAGTTTCTCAGGTTGTAACATTTCTGAGTCATTTTAGAAAGAATGTTGAGGCCAGGTGCAGTGGCTCACGCCTGTAATGGGGCGGGGATCACTTGAGATCAGGAGTTCAAGATCATCCAGGCCAACATGGAGAAACGCAGTCTCTACTAAAAATACAAAAATTAGCTGGTGTGGTGGTGGGTACCTGTAATCCCAGCTACTAGGGAAGCTGAGGCAGGAGAATTGCTTGAACCCAGGAGGCAGAGGCTGCAGTGAGACGAGATCGTGCCACTGCACTCCAGCCTGGGCAACAGAGCAAGATTCCGTCTCAAAAAAAGAAAGTTGAAAGCTTAGAAAAATGGCAAAGTGGATATATAACTTGTCTTTTTATTATTTAAAAGACAACCTCATATAGTTTGTCTTTTTATTATTTATTATTTATTTTTATTTTTTTTATTTTTTTGAGACAGAGTCTCCCTATGTGGCCAGGCTGGAGTGTAATGGTGCGATCTTGGCTCACTGCAACCTCCAACTCCCTGGTTCAAGCGATTCTCCTGCCTCAGCCTCCTGAGTAGCTGGGATTACAGGCACGCGCCACCACACCAATTTCTGTGTTTTTAGTAGAGACGGGGTTTCACCGTGTTGGCCCGGATGGTCTCGATCTCCTGACTTCATGATCTGCCTGCCTCGGCCTCCCAAAGTGCTGGGATTACAGGTGTGAGCCACCATGCCTGGTGTATTATTTTATTTATTTATTTATTTATTGTTTGAGATGGAGTTTCGCTCTGTCGCCCAGGCTGGAATGCAGTGGCGGGATCTCGGCTCACTGCATCCTTTGCCTCCTGGGTTTATGCAATTCTCTGCCACAGGCTCCCGAGTAGCTGGGATTACAGGCGCCTACCACCATGCCTGGCAATTTTTTTTTGTATTTTTAGTAGAGATGGGGTTTTACCATCTTGGCCAGGCTGATCTTTAACTCCTGACCTCGTGATCCACCTGCCTCGGCCTCCCAAAGTGTTGGGATTACAGGCATGAGCCACCACATCTGGTCTATTTTATTTTTTAAAAATAGAGACAGGGTCTTGCTATGTTGCCCAGGCTGGTCTTGAACTCCTGAGCTCAAATGATTCTCCCACTTTGGCCTCCCAAAGTGCTGAGATTACAGGTGTGAGCTACTGTACCTGGCCACATAGCTTGTCTTAATTGACTAAGTTAAAAGTAGAAAATGTCTACATAATTCAATAGATTTTCTTCCTATATAAATTACAACAGGCTGGGCACAGTGGCTCATACCTGTAATTCCAACATTTTGGGAGGCCAAGGTAGGTGTATTGCTTGAGCCTGAGAGTTCAAGACCAGCCGGGCTAACATGGCGAAACTCTGTCTCTATTAAAAATACAAAAATTAGCCCGTGTGGCATGCGCCTGTAGTCCCAGCTATTCGGGAGGCTGAGGTGGGAGGATCGCTTCAGCCTGGGAGGTCAAGGCTGCAGTGAGCTGTGATCGCACCACTGCACTCCAGTCTGGGCGACAGAGTGAGGCCCCATCTCAAAATAAATAAATAAAATTAAATTAATTACAACAGACAAGGTAAGGATTCTCATGATACAAAGGCAGTTAAAGGCTCAGTTCACAAGGCATCAATCAGACAGAAACCATTCAATCATTGCATTTAGTTTCCAATACTCACACTAGAGTTGGCGAAAATTGAATTTGAATTGGCTGCAGAATATCCTGCATTAGTCAAGTCATCATTGCTCTGCAAAGATACAAATTCAATAGGTGGTTACTACTTTAACTGTAAAGCAGAAACAAAATAGATGTCTGTGGTATTCTATGCATTACTTACAGATTTATTACTAGGTCCATGTAGAAAATAGTTCAATGCTTGTGGGTCTCTAGAAAAGAGAGGAAAAAAAGAGATAAAACAACAAACAAATATACTATCTATATTTAGAACTAATTTTTACTAGAGTAGAAAGAAAATGATTTATTACCTGAGTAAAATCCTCTCCCTATTTTAAAACTATTAGTAGGTTTTTTTTTTTTTAATCTTGTTTTTGTTTTGATGTTGTGCCATTTCCTATTATTATTCACTTCTGCCTCCTGGGATTTATTAGGAAATAAATTTAATAAATAATTACTTGCTGAGCACAGTGGCTCATGCCTGTAATCCCAGCACTTTGGGAGGCTGAGGCAGGAGGATCACTTCAGTCTAGGAGTTGGAGACCAGCTTGTACAACATGGCAAAACCCTGTCTCTACAAAAAAAAAAAAACACAAAAAATTAGCCAGGCATGGTGGTGTGTGACTGTAGTCCCCGCTACTTGGGAGGCTGAGGTGGGAGGATCGTGTGGGCCTGGGAGGTGGAGGCTACAGTGAGCTGAGATTGTGCTGCTGCACTTTAGCCTGGGTGACAGAGTGAGACCCTGTCTCAAAAGGAAAAAAAAAAAAAGAATTACTGAATTACAACCCCTATGTTAATCATGTCTCTGTTTCTCTACTAAACCTATGATTATTATTTAATTTTTATTTAAAATACCTATCAGGTGTTATATGCTATTAGGTTGTCTTAGTGTTCAGCAAACCTCACACATTTGATTTACCCAGGTTTTGGAATAAGCATCTTACCCAATAAGATCAAGGAGACACGAGTCATCATCATCATCCATGACAACTATAAAGAAAAGGGAGAGGAAAACAGGTTTCAGTAAAGCAGATTAAAGACAGTAGTATCAATGCAATACAAAAGTATGCCTTACACTTTTCTGGATAAATAACTGTAATTCACGTGAGTTTTCCTCTGCTTAATATTAATGTAATTTTAAAAATTTTGAGGTCATTTGAGAGATAAAGTATTCAATTTAAACTTTTTATTGAAAACAAACCTTTAACTTATAAGTCAAAAAAGAATCTAGACAAATCAAAGATAGTTGGCAGCAACCTCCCTCACATGCAGATTCCCCCAAGGGGCTATAAACCATGAACAGTAACTTCCTCAAAATGTACAATAAACAAGGGGAGAAATAATATTTATGTTTTAGAAAAGATCTCATAGACATAGAGGTCTTTTAATTTTGTGACTCAATGTTCCTAAACATGGTGAGCAACCTACATTTTTTGCCATATTCTGGCTATCTTTAGGAAGATAGGAAAATGGTTCTTCCTGCATTTAGAGAGAGAAGAGGGGGCACCCTAGCCGCAGGCAGTCTCTGCAGGCTCTGGCCGGCCGGTCCCACATTCTCCTTTTGCAGCAGCACCACCCCTGTTCAACTCCAAACAATCTACATCCTAACACTAGAATCCTTAAAGTAGAGAATCTCAACCAAAAAAGTTCACCCTAGCTCCAGGCCCCGAGATCCCTCTCTCCCCCACCAGCGACAGTGTCAAGCTTAGCCAGTGAAATGACTATGCTTGGGCTGAAACAACAACAACTGCACAGATTCCAAGAGCAGCTCTCCCCACAGACTGGGAAACTTACACTAGTGATCCGACACCTGGCACACAGCTTCACACCCTTTTGAGCCATGTGTGGAATAATTTACATCACGGAATGCCAGGGCCAAGAGTTCTGGAGCAGTTGGAAAGGGCAGTTGTGAACGGCAGTTGGACGTAGGAATGAAATCCTGAAAAGATGCCCAGAAGAGGGACACGCCCGAAGGCAGAAGGGACAGTCTCTACTAAATGTTTTTCCTCTGTTAAAACTGCATCTCTTCTCCAGTTCCCTCAGACTTCCCACTCTAACAGTCACAAGGCCAAACTAGTATAAAATGTACTCCTGCTACATGGAAGGTAACTTGCTTTCCTCAGGAAGAGTCTGGAAGGGGTAAGTACCCCCACTGGGATCTGCCAGTGATCTTCCCCTTGGCGGCTGAATTCATTCAGATGCTGAATGATCTGGGAGATTACAAACCCTGTGAGTAGAATCCAGTGGAGAGGAGAAATGATGGTTGAGAAAGGAGGAAGAAGCAGTGGGAAAAGATACCAAAAGGTGACTCCCAAGGCTGAAACTGACAAGGGCAGCTGGCTAAGTGAAATCTGCTTTTTAGAACTCAACTTGGAGTCACTCATGGGCACACTCACATGACTATACTAGTGTAACATGACTGTGGAGGAGTGAAGATGGGACAGAAAGGAAAAGCAGGAAAATGATCATCACGTAGATACAGAAAAATCTGTGTGAAGGTCTTCCCTTAAATCCTGACGACATTTAGTGAGATAAAATTGTATTAACCATGGCTCATCAGCATACCATAGGCTTGTCTCTCAGGCATCATAATCATATGGAAAAAATTAGCCAATTATGACATACATTAAGCCTATAAAGGAGATATTACTTTTTTAACATGACCGCTTAAATTGAATTCCCCTGTATCCTTTGTGAATTCATTTTTTTTAAGTGTCCGTCTCTGGAACAAACTAATTAATAAAAATGTAAGTGAAAAATAGCCTATACCAAAGAAAAACACTTCCACAACTCTCCCAGCTTCCCTCCTTACTTGACACACTTGCCTAGTTCCTCTACTTGATGAGGTGCCCTAAGGGTTAAACAAGCCCTGAGGCAGGAAGTCAACACCAGTCACTCCATTGAGGTGTTACTACCACTAGCACTTTCAAGCACAGAGAACAGCTGCTACCCCTAAGTTTAGAGTGACAAACTACTTGAGTAGTGCAAACAGAACACTTTTATAATATTGAATGAGATTAAAAGCCATTGTGCAACCTTCTCTACCAAACAAAACAGGGAGTCAAACACTTGGCTTGAAAGAAGGCTCCCTGGGAATATCTACCCCCTATCAGCAGCATCAGGAACTGCCAGACAGGCCTTCTCCTCTGGTCCCAGTAGGTACAACTCTAGGAGCCTTTACAGTCAGGGGCACCCTGAGAATTCTGCTTTTTAAAGGGTCACACTCTTTTCTCACCTTAAACAGTTTCAAATTAAAAGAGATGACCCTTAGCCCTGTATTCTCTAGCTTCAAATAATGCCAAAATGTAGTCATAATATAGCCTAATCCAGGGGTTCCTTTCACCAGATGACCTATGGTCCATCAAAGTAAATTTACCAGAGCAAAATTGTAAAATTGTCTATGATTTTAAAATGAGAAGATAGGCCGGGCATGGTGGCACATGCCTGTAATCCCAGCACTTTGGGAGGCCGAGGTGGGTGGATCACCTGAGGTCAGGAGTTCGAGATCAGCCTGGCCAACACGGTGAAACCCGTCTCTACTAAAAATACAAAAAATTAGCCAGGCATGGTGGCACTTGCCTGTAGTCCCAGCTACTCGGGAGGCTAAGGCAGGAGAATTGCTTGAACCTGGGAGGCAGAGGTTGCAGTGAGCCGAGATCATGCCACTGCACTCCAGCCTGGGTGACAGAGAGAGATTCTGTCTCAAAAAATAAAATTAAAAATAAAAATAAAAATAAATAAAACGAGAAGATAATCTGAAGATCAGTCACTAATGACCTAAAAGTGAAGAATTCTGTTTTCTCTGGAAAGATTCTCCATTTACTTCTGGACTCCTGTTGAGGCTCTTTTCACATTCAAGTAACAACCCTGGAATCCCTAGATGGGTGGCTGACCCCAGGTGGATTTTATGAGGCTAAGGGGAAATCCCTGGATGAGTGATTGGAAACTATTTCTTGGCCCAACAGACATGAGCAAGACGTCTTCCCCTCTGTAAATAGCACTAGACAGTGGGATTTGTCGTGGAGGGAAGGGGGCTGTAGGCACCCCAAGAGTTCAGAAATCACTGTCCTGAACACCTGACTACCTCTCTTAAAAAATTAAAGCTAATATTTAAAACTGTTCTGAATTGCACCAACAAACATCTTAAATAATAGCTTTTAATCAAGAGGACACAGTGTAAAAATGACGTTTCAAAGCGGTGGGGAAAAGTTGTTAACCATATGGGGAAAATAAGGTAGATTCACACCTCATATCTTACACAAAAATAAATTCTAGATGGATCTAGGAGTTAAATGGTGGATGGAGAAAGAACCTTAAAGTAATAGAATAACTCATGGGAGAATTTTTTTTTTTTTAACAATCTTGGAGTGAGGAAAGTCTAAGGATGTCATAAGACACACAAGTCATAAAAGACTGACAAAGTCAACGACATAAAGTGCAAAGCTTCTGCATGATAAAAGAAAAACACATCATAAGCAAAGTCAAAGACTAAAACAAATAAACAAAAATAACTAAGAAAAATACCTCCACTTCATACCCCAGAAGGCTTTTCTCCCTAATACACAAAGAGCTCCTATAAATAAGGAAAATTTTTTATCAGGGCTTTTCTCCCTAATACATAAAGAGCTCTTATAAATAAGGAAAATTTTTTTATCAGGATCCATCCAGAATATCAAAGATTTAATCAGTTTATGAGCAATCAATTCACAGAAAAGGAAATACAACTAGCTCCTAAGCATATAAAATAATCAACCTTACTTACAATAAGGGAAATAAAAATTAATATTGTAGTGAGATACTACATGTCCTGTCAGATTGGCAAAGACAGAAAAGTTGGATGAAGGATTCTGCTAGCAGGGAGTGGGGAAATAGGAACTTTTATACACTGACAGGATACAGACTCATATAACCTCTAGTGAGGGCAATTTAGCAATGTCTTTCAAAATCTTAAGTGCACAGATCAGCTTACCAAGCAAATCCATTTCCAGGTATTTGTACTGCAGATATTCTTTTTTACTCACTTTTTTTTTTTTTTTTTTTAGAGATAGGGTCTCTCTATGTTGCCCAGGCTGGACTTGAATTTCTGGGCTCAAGAGATCCTTAACCCCCTAAGTAGCTGGGCCTACAGGTATGTGCCACCATAACCAGCTGTCACGTGGGTATTCTTTCACATGTGCCAAATGATATGTGTATAAGAATATCCAGGGCAGTATTATTATTATTTTAGTATTAATTGGTTTTAACAAAGGACGGCAAAACCCTAGATGTCATGGGTATGGGGTTTCTTTCTGGGGCAATAAAAATGTTCTTGAACCTGCTTGGCAATGTAGTGAGACCCAATCTCTACAAAACATTTAAAAATTAGTTGAGTGTGCTGATGCACACCTGTAGTTCCAGCTACTTGGGAGGCTGAGATGGGAGGATTGTTTGCTTGAGCGTAGGAGGTCAAGGCTGCAGTGAGCTATGATTACACCACTGCACTCCAGCCAAAGCGACAGAGCCAGACTCTGCCTCTTAAAAAAAAAAAAAAGAGTTCTTGTATTAAACTACTGAATTATATACTTTAAAAGGGTGAGTTTTATGGTATGTAAATTATATCTTAATTTAAAAAACTCTCTTAAAAACCCTAAATGTCCATGATTAAATGTCCTGGTTAAATCAATTATGGTTTACCTACATAGTGGAGTACTCTGCAGTCATTAAAACTAATGAGGCAGTTTTAATCATACTAACTTGGTAGGATATATGGTCAATTAAAAAAGAAAGGTGCAGAATATTATGTACATTATGTTCCCAAATGTGTGTGTGGGGGAAATACACACACACACATATATACACACACACACACACACACACACATATAAATGATGTGTGTGTGTAAATGTATAGAACCTAAAATGAAGCACAGGTAACCAGTAACACTAGTTGCTTCTGGGAAGAAAACAGGGTGACTGGGGAACAGAGGAAGATACACAATTTTTTTTTTTTTTTTTTGAGATGGAGTCTCGCTCTGTCGCCCAGGCTGGAGTGCAGTGGTGCAATCTCGGCTCACTGCAAGCTCAGCCTCCCAGGTTCACACCATTCTCCTGCCTCAGCCTCCCGAGTAGCTGGGACTACAGGCGCCCACCACCACGCCCAGCTAATTTTTTGTATTTTTAGTAGAGACTGGGTTTCACCATGTTAGCCAGGATGGTCTTGATCTCCTGACCTCGTGATCCGCCCGCCTCGGCCTCCCAAAGTGCTGGGATTACAGGCGTGAGCCACCACGCCCGGCTGATACTCTTTATTTATATGTCCTTTTGTACATTTTGAAATTTGTGCCACATGCATGTAAGATCTAATCAAAAAAGAAAAACAATTAATAAAACAAGGAGAAGAAGGACACAAAATGAAGTACAAGAACCTCAAGTCAGTTTAGCTGGGTGTGGTGGTGCTTGCCTTTAGTCCCAGCTACTTGGTAGGCTGAGGTCGGAGGATGACTTGAGCCCAGGACATGAAGGTTGCAGTGAGCCGTGATCGTGCCACTGCACTCCAGCCCGGGCAAAAGTACCAAACCCTATCTCAAAAATAAAATAAAATTTAAAAAGAACCTCAAGTAAGGCTCGCTTTCCTTAAGTATACTAAATATACCAAATACTCAGAACTTTTTTTTTTTTTGAAGAGACAGGGTTTCATTATGTTGCCCAGCCTGGCCTTGAACTCTTGGGCCCAAGCGATCCTCCCCTTTCAGTCTTCTGAGTAGCTAGGATTACAGGTGTATGCTACAGTGCCCAGCTAAATACTTAGAACTTTTTTTTTTTTCATTTTTTTTTGGTAGAGACGAGGTCTCACTATGTTGCCCATGCTGGTCTCGAACTGCTGCACTTAAGTGATCCTCCACCTTGGTCTCCTAAAGTGCTGGGATTACAATTACCATGCCCAGCCCTTAGAATATTTTAAAGCAGCCTACTGGCCTGGAGAATAAGCCACATCAGCTGTCTTAAAAGAAATACTGTATCTTTTTTTTTTTTTTTTTTTTTTTTTGAGACAGAGTTTCTCTCTTGTTGCCCAGGCTAGAGAGCAATGGCGCAATCTTGGCTTACCACAACCTCCGCTTACCGGGTTCAAGTGACTGTCCTGCCTCAGCCTCCCGAGATAGGATTACAGGGCCACACCACCATGCCTGGCTAATTTCGTATTTTTAGTAGAGACAGGGTTTCTCCACGTTGGTCAGGCTAGTCTCGAACTCCTGACCTCAGGTGATCCGCCCACCTCAGGCTCCCAAAGTGCTGGGATTACAGTCAGGAGCCACCACGCCCGGCCAAGAAATACTGTATCTTAAAAACAGTCTGAATTTAATTAAGTTCACAGCAAAACTTCAAAGACCTCCAAGGCAGAGATATAACAGTGTATTAATTTTTTTTCCACACAGAGGGAGAAAATCTAAGCTCTCATGAAGAAACATAATTGGTTGCAAGAACAGATATTTCAGGAAACCCAGTTCAGCAAATCAGTTTTGCCTATTTAAGATATTCTGGGCTGGGCACGGTGGCTCACGCCTGTAATCCCAACAATTTGGGAGGCCGAGATGGGCGGATCACCTGAGGTCAGGAGTTTGAGACCAACCTGGCCAACATGGTGAAACCCTGTCTTTACTGAAAATACAAAAAATTTAGCTGTATGTGGTGGTGGATGCCTGTAATCCTATCTACTCGGGAGGCTTAGGCAGGAGAATTGCCTGATCCCAGGAGATGGGGGTTGCAGTGAGCCAAGATTGCCCCACTGCACTCTAGCCTGGGCAACAGAGCGAGACTCCATCTCAAAAAAAAAAAAAAAAAAAAAAGATATTCTGACCAGTAGCAATGGAAGAAAACCAAACTTCACCCTTAGGAGTCATAAAACAGCCTGGCCAACATGGTGAAACTCTGTCTCTGCTAAAAATACAAAAAAAATGAGCCAGGCGTGGTGGTGCGTGCCTGTAATCCCAGCTACTATGGGGGCTGAGGCATGAGAATCTCTTGAACCAGGAGGTGGAAGTTGCAATGAGCTGAGATTGCACCACTGCACTCCAGCCTGGGTGATAGAGTGAGACCCTGTCTCAAAAAAAAAGAAAAAAAAAAGTAATAGAACAGGATTTCAAAGACTGCGCAAACTGAAATTTGGTATGTGGCCACTATTACAAATGTTTTTGTTTCCTCCTTTATCTGCTTATCTGTTCTTTTGCTTCTTTCAAAAATAATAGCCTAGTGGCTGAGGCAGGCGGATCACCTGAGGTCAGGAGTTCGAGACCAGCCTGGCCAACATGGTGAAACCCTGTTCTACTAAAAATACAAGAATTAGCCGACCATGGTGGCGCATGCCTGTAATCCCAGCTACTTGGGAGGCTAAGGCAGGAAGGAGAATCGCTTGAACCTGGGAGGCAGAGGCTGCAGTGAGCCAAGATCGTGCCACTGAACTCCAACCTGGGTAACAGACCAAGACTTCATCTAAAAAAAAAAAAAAAAAAAAATATATATATATATATATATACACACACACACACACACACATGCATGTATATGTATGTATACGTATATATACATATACATACATGTATGTGTATATATATGTATGTATACATGTGTGTTGTGTATATATATAATTTATATATATACATATACATATGTGTATGTATATAGCCTAGTGAAGATGGCTTGAACTCAGGGGGTTGAGACTACAGTCAGCTGAGATCACGCCACTGCACTCCAGCCTGGGTGACAAAGTGAGACCGTGTCTCAAAAAAAAAAAAAAAAACCCACCAAGAGCCAATACGAGATACCTTACCAAAAACTACTGACATTTGCTTTACTTGTAGTAAGTTGCTATAACATGAGTCATAACTTCCTAATAATTTACAAACAAATTTACCTCTAAAAGGTGCTGAGGTTAGCAAATTATTGAGAGACTTTAAGCAGACATGAACTACGGAATAGTTGCAGTCTTCAAAATCACATTTTTACCCCCGGACCTATTGAAGGTAAAATGAACTGCAGTCACTTTATTTTTACTGACATATTTACTACTTCTAGTGTTCTTCATTCTCTTAAGTAAATCCAGATTTCCATCTGGTATCATTTTCCTTCTCCTGAAAGGAATCCTTTAATATTTTTTGTAGTGCAGGTCTTTGCTGATTAATTCTTTCAGTTTTGATATATCTTTAAAGAGTGTGAGATGGGCACGGTGGCTCACGCCTGTAATCCTAGCACTTTGGGAGGCTGAAGTGGGTGGATTGCTTGAATCCAGGAGTTTGAGACCCTCCTGCGCAACATGGAAAAACCCCACCTCTACAAAAAATAAAAAAATTAGCTGGGCATGGTGGTGCGCACCTGTAATCCCAGCTGCTCAGGAGGCTGAGGTGGGAGGACCACCTGAGCCTGGGGAGGTTGAGGCTGCAGTGAGCCGTGATTGTGTGACTGCATTCCAGCCTGGGAGACAGACAGAGATTCTATCCCCACCCCCACAAAAAGTGTTTATCTTGCCTTCGTTTTTGAAATATATTTTCACTGGGCATATTGTTCAAGATTGATGAGTTTTTTTCCTTTCAGTTCTTTAAAGATACTGATGTACTATTTCTCATTTGCATTATTTCCAAAGAAAAGTCTGCCATCATTCTTACCTTTCTTTTTTTCATAATGTGTCATTTTTTCCTCTGGACACTTTAAATATTTTTCTCTTTACCACTGGTTTTAAGCAATCTGATTATGAAAAGCCTTGGTGTAGTTCTCTTCATGCTTCCAGTGGTTAGGGTTCACTAAGCTTCTAGAATCTGCAGGTTTATAGTTTCCCTCCAATTTAGAAAAATTTCAGTCATTAATTTTTTCAAATATTTTATGCCCCTCCCTCTTCTTTGGGGACTACAATTACATCATTAGACTATTTGAAGTGTCCCACAGCTCAATGATGCTGTATTTTCTTTCAGTCTTTTATTTTTTTAATTTAATTTACTAATTTTCTTGAGACAGGGTTTTGCTCTGCTGCCCAAGCAGCAGTGCAGTGGCAGGATCACAGCGGATTGCAGCCTCGACCTCCTGGGCTCAGGTGATCCTCCCACCTCAGCCTCTTGAGTAGCTGGGACCACAGGCACTTGCCATCATGCCCAGCTAATTTCTGTATTTTCTGTAGAGACAGGGTTTTACTATGTTGTCCAGGAGGCTGGTCCTGAACTCCTGGGCTCAAGCGATCCTCTTGCCTTGGCCTCCTAAAGTGCTGGGATTACAGGTGTGAGCCACCATGCCTGGCCTTTTTTAGTATTTTAATCTCTCCGGCTTTCATTTAGGATAGCTTCTATTCATATATCTTCAGATTCATAAATCTTTTCTTCTGCAGTCTCTAATCTTCTGTTAATCCCATCCAGTGCGCTTTTATTTTAAAACACTGTAGTTTTCATCTCCAGAAGTTCAATTTGGGTCTTTTTAAAATACTCCATGTCATTATTATTTAAAATTTTTTTTTGCTTTGTTGTCTTGGCCCAAGATGAGATTCCATGCCATTATTTGTTTAATCTTTCCACTATTTTCTTGAACTTATATAAGATAGTAACAACTTAAACAAATTTTTTTTGAAGAGGCAGGGTCTCACTGTGTTGCCCAGGGTGGTCTTGAACCCCTGGTCTCAAGTGATCCTCCTGCCTCAGCCTCCCAAAGTAATGGGATTACAGGCATGAGCTCCATGGCTAGCTAATTTTTGTATTTTTTGTAGATACAGGGTTTCACCATGTTGCCCAGGCTGGTCTCATACTCCTGGCCTCAAGCAATCCGCCACCTCCGCCACACAAAGTGTTAGGATTACAGGCATAAGCCACCTCATCTGGCCAACAAAAAAAATGATTAATTCTATCATTTGTATAATTTCTGCATCTCTTTCTATTGATTGATTTTGTTGTTGTGGTTGGTCCCAAATTTGCGTGCCTGGTCATTTTTTTATTGGATGTCAGACATTGTTAATTTTACATTATCAGGTGTTGGATATTTTTGAGCTTTGTCTAGGACACAGTTAAGTTACTTTACAAAGTTTCTTTACAAAATGTCTGATCCTTTTAAGGATTGCTTTTAAGCTTTGTCAATCTTTAGGATTCATTTTGCCCTATAGTGAGGCAATAAATACCCTTCTGAGTACTTCATCTGATATCCCATGAATTACAAGGGTTTTTGCACTCTTGCAGATGGGAACACAAACTATTCTCTGCCCTATGTGAGCTCCAAGTAGTGTTTCTTCCCAGAACTTAGGAAGTTTTCTTAAACACATCAGTTATCAGCTGAAAACTTGAGAAAGACTCTGTAGATCTCCAGATAGTAGAGTGGAGTGCAGTGCTCTCTCTCTCTGGTACTCTGGGTACCCTGGGAACGTAGGCTTTTTTTTTTTTTTTTCTTTGAGATGGAGTCTCGCTCTGTCAGCAGGCTGGAGTGCAGTGGCGCAATCTCAGCTCACTGCAACCTCCGCCTCCCAGGTTCAAGTGATTCTCCTGCCTCAGCCTCCCGAGTAGCTGGGATTACAGGCGTGCGCCACCACGCCCAGCTAATTTTTGTATTTTTAGTAGGGACGGGGTTTCACCATGTTGGCTAGGATGGTCTCGATCTCTCGACCTCGTGATCTGCCCGCCTTGGCCTCCCAAAGTGCTGGGATTACAGGCGTGAGCCACCGTGCCCGGCCAAACTTAGGCCATTTTAACCTCTCAGAGACATCAGCTCAACTCAGGAAGATTATCAGCCTTCCTGTGGATTCCTCCTCCCCTGAGCTATGGTAAGGAAACACTCTTGACAGTAAGCTGGGTTGGTTACAGGGCTCATCTCATTTGTTTTGTCCTCTCAGGAGTCACTGTCCTGTGCTGCCTGATATCTAATATCTAAAATACCATTATTTCATATATTGTGTCTGATTTTCACCATTTCTACACAGGAAGTTAAATCCAGACCCGGTTACTCGATTTTGGCCCCATAGTCATTTATAAGGTCTTGAACCAAATCTCTTGAAGGGGTTATATGAGTTCATCGGCAGAGATTATAGGATCAGAGTATTCAGAAAGAGGGAGAATAGGAGAAAGGGAGAAGGAAGGAGGACAGATATTTAAATTGTTTATACAGTTTTCTCCTGTGCCTCCTTTTGTTTTCTACCCTTGAAAAACAGCTTAGGAAATTAGAAAGGCTCCTTCTTTAATTCCTGTCTCTAATAAAGCTATTCAATGGGCATAAAGAATATTCATTATTCATTTAACAAACACTAGTGCCAGGTACTATGCTAGGGGGTGGGAATATAAAATAGTATGACATAAATGTAATAACAAATTTAAAAATCCTTCACATTTTGTAGAACAGAAGAAGCAAGGCTGAAAAGTGAACTATTGTGTTTGAGCAAACAGTTTTCCAATGGGTGTCATCATCAAAAAGTTATGCCATGAATAGCCACTTATGCAGGGCAAATAACGATTCATGTCGATAAGGATGTAAAGTATTCTCATCTTATTCTTTTTACTATATTGTAATTGTTCTGTGCTGTTACATTTTGAAATTGCAAGACTTCACCTTCTGGCATGGTTCCCGTTTTGAAGGAACTCACTTTCTTTTGGAAGACAGACATGCAACAATTCATTACCATTGCAATGTGAGAAGTGCTACAATTTTTGGCAGGAGTTCCCAAGCTTCTTCAGGTGAAATCGCTGGGCTTTTTGTGAAATAATATGACGTTTTGCTAGAAGAAAACATGACAATATTTTCACAATTATATCCATTTGGGGAGAAAAGAAGCTGTCAAACTCAGCATGATTGGCTTTAAGTTTTTTAGTTATTATTCAACCAAGGATTTCTTCATTTATTTTGTCATCAGCTAGGGCCTCCTAAAAGCAAGGAGGAGTGGGTGGAAAAGAGTAAGGCAAATTATTACAAGAAAGACTTAGAAATTTAAAAATTTGGCCGGGCATAGTGGCTCACGCCTGTAATCCCACCACTTTGGGAGGCTGAGGTGGGTGGATCACCTAAGGTCAGGAGTTCGAGACAAGTCTGGCCAACATGGTGAAACCCCGTCTCTACTAAAAATACAGAACTCAACCAGGTGTGGTGGCACACGCCTATAATCTCAGCTACTCAGGAGGCTAAGGCAGGAGAATTGGTTGAACCTGGGAGGCAGAGGTTGCAGTGAGGTAGGATCATGCCACTGCACTCCAGCCTGGGTGACAGAGGGAGATTCCGTCTCAAAAAATAAAGAAAAATAAATAAATAAAAATTCCCAGCTGGGCACGGTGGCTTATAATTCCAGCACTTTGGGAGGCTGAGGCAGGTGGATCGGTTGAGCTCGGGAGTTGGAGACCAGCCTGGGCAACATGGCAAAACCCCATCTCTACAAAAAATACAAAAAATTAGCTGGGCATGGTGGCTTGGGCCTGTGGTCCCAGCTACTTGGGAGGCTGAGGCAGGAGAATTGCTTGAATCTGGGAGGTGAGGAGGCTTGAATCTGAATCGCTTGAACCTGGGAGGCAGAGGTTGCCGTGAGCCAAGATTGTGCCACTGCACTCTAGTCCGGGCAACAAGAGCGAAACTCTGTCTCAAAAAAAAAAAAAAAAAAAAAAATTCTCATAGTTGGAAAAGACGACAATTAACATAGGCAATAAACGACCCTCGTTCATCTCATGAAATGAAGAATTTGAAGGTCTTTAAACTGCTTTAATTCCTACTTGAGGTAGGAATGAGGTGGGGCAGAAATAAGCCTAACAGCAGCCATAAAAAAGAATGAGTTCATATCCTTTGCAGGGACATGGATGAAGCTGGAAACCATCATTCTCGGCAAACTAACACAGGAACAGAAAACCAAATACTGCATGTTCTCACTTATAAGTGGTAGTTGAACAATGAGAACAGGGAGGGGAACATCACACACCGGGGCCTGTTGGGGGGGGTGCCGGGGGCTAGGGGAGGCCAGAACTTAAAGTATTAAAAAAACAACAAAAAAAGAAATAAGCCTAACATACTAAGCAATCCAGCTGGCAAAAAAATGTGCTATAACATGGGGGAAAGAGTGACCAACCATGAAGGGGGCTGGGGAGAATTTCTGGCAAGGCTTTACAGAGGCTGGAGACACAGGGCAAGGACACTGAATTTGGAAGTCACAGGGCTTGTTTTGGATACTGACATTGACTAATCATGTGACGACAAAGAAGCTCCAACCTCTGGGTCCTGTTTCCCATTTCTTAATGAACTTAACAGACCACATCGGTGAGTGTTTAACTTTGGGACCCAGTATTCTTTAAGGTATCCAGGAGCTGTCTTGGAGGCCTAAAACAGCTGGTGGTGGAGGCACTCTTCACACTCCCATCTCTCCCCCACACACACCCTTCAGCTGAGTAGCTCAATTCTTACTCAACTGCAAGAAAAAAGTTTGAAAATCATTTCACTTAACCAGCTCCCAAACTCCCAGAAGTCCATGACTTGTCATCTATTATAAAGGAATGATCATCAACAATGGTGAATCTGGCAATGGAAACAGAAATCCGTGAAAATCAAGACATCCATGATTATTTTAGCAAGCAAGAGAATAGGTATACATATAGGGCCCACATTTCATTAAGATAAACAGCTGGGCACAGTGGCTCTTGCCTGTAATCCCAGCACTTTGGGAGGCTGAGGCAGGCGATCACCTGAGGTCGGGAGTTCGAGACCAGCCTGACCAACATGGAGAAACCCCATCTCTACTAAAAATACAAAGTTAGCCAGGCACAGTGGTGCATGCCCATAGTCCCAGCTACTCGGGAGGCTGAGGCAGGAGAATCGCTTAAACCTGGAAGGTGAAGGTTGCAGTGAGCCAAGATCGCACCATTGCACTCCAGCCTGGGCAACAAGAGCAAAACTCCGTATTAAAAAAAAAAAAAAAAGATATTATAGTACTACCCTCAAAAACAGGAATCTCATCATATTTGTCTTCATATCCCCAGCAAATAGCACATAAGTGGGTATAATAAATATTGAAAAAATACCCAGGTTTTAAATATAAGGCAGCTGTGTTTTGTATGGAGACTGTGCTCCCAAAGACCTTGCCTAATTAAAAGCTCATATAATTCCATAATCCTAGGTTAATCCTACAAATTTACAATTTCCCAGAGTCCATCAGCATTGAAATTCTGTAATTCCTGATGAATTATAAATATATCATTCTGTTAAATTTTTTCAGTTGTACAGGCGTGCACTATTTTTTTTTTTTTTCAGACGGAGTCTCGCTCTGTTGCCAGGCTAGAGTGCAGTGGTGTGATCTCGGCTCACTGCAACCTCCGCCTCCCAGGTTCAAGCGATTCTCCTGCCTCAGCCTACCGAGTAGCTGGGACTACAAGCACGCGCCACCACGCCCAGCTAATATTTGTATTTTTAGAGATGGGGGTTTCACCATGTTGGCCAGGATGGTCTCAATCACTTGACCTCAGGGATCACATTTTTTAAAAAAAGAATCTGTATCTTTTAGAAATCCATACTGAAATAGGTATGAATGAAAAAAAAATGACATCTGAGATTTGCTTCAAAATAATATGAAGGCCGGGTGTGGTAGCTCATGCCTGTAATCCCAACACTTTGGGAGGCTGAGACGGACGGATCACAAGGTCAGGAGATCGAGACCATCCTGGCTAACATGGTGAAACCCCATCTCTACTAAAAATACAAAAAATTATCTGGGCATGGTGGCGGGCGCCTGTAGTCGCAGCTACTCGGGAGGCTGAGGCAGGAGAATGGCATGAACCCGGAAGGCGGAGCTTGCAGTGAGCCTAGATCAAGCTACTGCACCCCAGCCTCGGTGACAGTGAGACTCTGTCTCAAAATAAATAACTAAATACATAAATAAATAATAATAATAATATGAACTGGAGTTGGTTATTAAAAACATGAATGGCTGGGCATGGTGGCTCACGCCTGTAAGCCCAGCACTTTGGGAGGCCGAGGCGGGTGGATCACTTGAGGTCAGGAGTTCAAGACCAGCCTGGCCAACATGGCAAAACCGTGTCTCTACTAAAAATACAAAAATTAGCCAGGACTGTTGACGGGTACCTGTAATCCCAGCTACTTGGGAGGCTGAGGCAGGAGAATTGCTTGAACCTAGGAGGCAGAGGTTGCAGTGAGCCAAGATCGTGCCATTGCACTCCAGCCTGGATGACAAGAGCAAAACTCTGTCTCAAAAAACAAACAAACAAACAAACATGAAATACCAGCTGAGCACAGTGGCTCATGCTTGTAATCCTAGCACTTTGGGAGGTCAAGGTGAGCAGATCGCTTGAGTTCAGGAGTTTGAGACCAGCCTGGGCAACATGGCAAAACCCTGTCTCTACTAAAAAAATATAAAAATTAGCTGGGCATGGTGGCACATGCCTGTAGTCCCAGCTACATGGGAGGCTAAGGCGGGAGGATCAATGGAGCCTGGGAGGTGGAGGTTGCAGTGAACCAAGATGGCGCCATTGCACTCCAGCCTGGCCAGAAGAGTAAGACCCCGTCTCAAAAAAAAAAAAAAAAATTAGCTGGGTGTGGTGGCACATGCCTGTGGTCCCAGCTACTGGGGAGGCTGAGGTGAGAGGATTGCTTGAGCCGGAAGGTCAAGGCTGCAGTGAGCTATCGCTGCACCACTGCCCTCGACAACAGAGTAAGACTCTGTTTCAAGAAAACAAAAACCATGGAGTCCTGTCCTCCCCTGCCCCAACCCTGGAGATTCTGATTCATCTGGAATCTGGGTTACTAGTTGCCCCTGGGAAAATTTCAGGCAAATTGGGGAACCTGTTCCAGGTCTGAGTGGAGTCAGGTGGGACCTGCAAACAAGGGCCTCTGGTTGACTCAGAAACACAAACTGAGGCTCCAACTCTCCAAACTTAAGGGGAGAATCCCGTTATCTTGGCAACCTGACTGAAGGAAAGATGCTGTGGGCAAAATCTTATTTGGGAATGCATCACCCTAAGCCACCTTCAGTATCAATCTTTTTTTACTCTTTCCCACCAAATAATTGCTCTACTTCTTCCTTCGTTTTTTTTTTTTGAGATGGAGTCTCACTCTGTCACCCAGACTGGAGTGCAGTGGCATGATCTCGACTCACTGCACACTCTGCCTCCTGGGTTCACGCCATTCTCCTGCCTCAGCCTCCCAAGTAGCTGGGACTACAGGTGCCCGCCAGCACACCTGGCTAATTTTTTCCTATTTTTAGTAGAGACGGGGTTTCATCGTGTTAGCCAGGACGGTCTCAATCTCCTGACCTTGTGATCCACCCGTCTCGGCCTTCCAAAGTGCTGGGATTACAGGTGTGAGCCACCGCACCTGGCCCGTTCCTTGTCCTCTTTAGCACACTGACTCATATTTACATTAGAAAGTCAGCTCCATCAGGGCAGAGGTTTGTGTCTGTTCACCAATGAACCTTAGCACCCAGAATAGCCCCTGGCACATAATAGGAACTCAGGAAATATTTTAAAAATGAACTTAGCACCCTTTCTAATGTGTTGGTCACAGGATGGCAAACCTGCAACAGAAGCAGGCACACAGGGAGAGTGTGTTTATTCACTTTTCCTTGAAAACCTCAGTTTTCCAAGAAAGCATATTTTTCTTACTTTGGAGACCAGGTTATTCCTATAGGATAACAATCTAAAGTGGAAAACAAAGACTTTTATTTAAGCTGACAACATACAATAGGGCTAAAGTTATTTTCCACTATTTCCCCTGCCCTCTATTCTAGCCCACTGCCACTCTCCTAGCCTCCAAACACAATGATGCACTTTCCCAGCATCTGTCTTTGTCCAGGTGACAAATTTCCTTACTTGAAATGCTCTTCTTCCTCTCCCATGTCTACTGAAAATACAACCATTATTCAAAAATTAATTTGGATCTGATCTCTGTGAATCCTTCTCTGACAACCTCAGCCTGTCTTCAGAATTCTCTGCCCAGAATTCTGAAAGCAGCAACTACATCTTTGGACACTGATCAGACACTGCTCTGTGCGATTATCTTCATTATGCTTATCTTATGTTCCCAATTAAAGCAGGGTGCAGGCTGGACATAGTGGCTCCCGCCTGTAATCCCAGCACTCTGGGAGGCCAAGGCAGGAGGATCGCTTGAAGACAGGAGTTCAAGACCAGACTAGGCTACATAGCGAGGCCCAATTTTTTTAAAAAAGCAGAGCCCAAATATAAATGAATACACACACCATAAAGTGCTATGAGAGTGCTGATGAGACAGCACTTAATTCTGCCATCCCGAAGGCAGGCAACTTTTAGATTGTATGGTTTTTTGGCATCAGAGAACTGAATATACTGGCTCATTACAATAGGCACTAGCTAGCCTCATTTGTGTCTCTACCCACCCCACTTGTCCCTGTAAGAAGCCCTTAGTTCTTTGCCACCTTGACCACTTGATGTCCCCAAAACTTATCAGTTTTTCAATTATTTGACTTTGCATGTTCCTTTTACTTAGAAGACATTCCCACCCACCTCCAAGCGGTCAACTGACAATGCCTACTTATCCTAAAGGTCTTGAGTAAAATGACACTGCCTTTCTTTAGTTTTATTTAAATCCCGAAGCAAAATTCATTATTCACTTATTCATATCCCTAGAGGACATCTGACATCTTACCAGCACCATGTATGACAATACAGCCATGCATCCCCATAACAACCTTTCATACACAGTGGACCACATATATGATTATGGTCCCTTAAGAGTATAATACTGGCCGGGCACAGTGGCTCACGCCTGTAATCCCAGAACTTTTGGGAGGCTGAGGTGGGCGGTTCACCTGAGGTCAGGAGTTTGAGACCAGCCTGACCAACATGGAGAAACCTTGTCTCTACTAAAAATACAAAATTAGCTGGGCATGGCGGCACATGCCTGTAATCCCAGCTACTCAGGAGGCTGAGGCAGGAGAATCGCTTGAACCCGGGAGGCAGAGTTTGCAGTGAGCAGAGATCATGCCATTGCACTCCAGCCTGGGCAACAAGAGCGAAACTCCGTCTCAAAAAAACAAACAAACAAACAAACACAACAACAATAACAAAAAACTATATTGTTAGTGTTTCTTTTCTGTGTGTGAATAGGTTTAGACACACAAATGCTTACCATTGTGTTATGGTTGCCTACAGTATTCAGTATAGTAACATGCTGCACAGCCTTGTGCCTGGGAACAATAGGCTATACCATATAGCTTGGGTCTGCAGTAGGCTAGATCATCTAGGTTTGTGTAAGTGTACTCTGATATTCACAAGATAATGAAATTGTCTAGCGACGCATTTCTCAGAACGTATCCTCCTTCTTAAGCAACATATGAGTATACTTGGTTTTTCTGACTTCCCCACTGGCTTACAAGTTCCATGAAAACTGGATGAGTTTCCTTTCATTTCTGTGTTAGCAGAGTTTAGTGCAATGCCTGATACATACATGCCTAATAACTGTTTACCCAATGCAATTACTTTCCTAAGATTCTGGTTTCCAAAGGACATTTTTAGGGTTAATGTCAGTTACTAATTTACTTTCCAAGAATATGCACCAAGGCTACATGTGAGCACTTTTTGACGATGGTACAGCACAGGATTTGGGATGCAGGCCTGGTCCTCCATGGTCCAGGATCCACTGACTAATGCTGGACCCTTATTATCCAGCCAGGCATCTATCAAGCCAGTGTAAAAAAAGTGAGGAATCAACTGATTCCCCACATCTGCTCCAAATCAGACAATTCACTTCTCTCAGGCGTAAGGAAATACAAGTTTTAAAGATCCACAGAATAAAAGATTGTGTGTCCTTCCAAGATAATCCACTTAATATTTAACAAACCTCCTTATAAAGGGATTTATGTGCTGAACATAAATATAAAATAATTAGTTGAAGTCTCCAAACATTTAGCACAGTAATTTATTATATTAATAATAGTTGTGGTTCATTAAAAGACTCGGAAGTAAATGTCTAAGTTGAAGAATTTCTGGCACAGCCAGGTATGGGTTTAAGGTCTAGTGAGTATACCAACACTAGACCTTAAAGAAAAGACAACTCTACAATATATTAAAAACCAGATGCCCTGACAAAAATGTTTTTATACTTCTTTACTGTGTTTTCTAAGAGAGTGTGAGGGCATTTTGATAACTATGGAAAACCATACACAGGAAATGATTGAGAAATGAGGAGCCGGGTGTGGTGGCTCACACCTGTAATCTCAGCACTTTGGGAGGCTGAGGACGGAGGACTGTTTATGTGCATGAGTTCAAGACCAGTCTGGGCAACATAGTGAGACCTCATCTCTATTAAAAACAAAAAAAAGGCCAGGCACGGTGGCTCCTGCCTGTAATCCCAGCACTCTGGAAGGCTGAGGTGGGCAGATCACCTGAGGTCAGAAGTTCAAGACCAGCCTGGCCATGGTGAAACCCTGTCTCTACTAAAAATACAAAAAATTAGCTGGGCATGCTGGTGTGTGCCTGTAATCCCAGCTACTCAGGAGGCTGAGGCAGGAGAATCGCTTGAACCCAGGAGGCGGAGGTTGCAGTGAGCCGAGATCGTGCCACTGCACTCCAGCCTGGGCAACAAGGGCGAAACTCCATCTCAAAACAACAACAACAACAACAACAACAACAACAACAAAAAAAAACACGAAAAGCTGAAAGAGCCAAAAGTAAGTCTTACTTATATATTCTCAATAAAGACAAACTATCTGAATATTAAATAGAAACTGCTCTGATACTTATCTGATTTCTAGTTTTATTCAGGAAAATATTTATGCATATGCATGTATTTTTTTTCTTTTTCTTTTTCTTTTTTTCCTGAGATAAGGTCTTGCTCTGTTGCCCAGGCTGGAGTACGATGGCATGAACATGGCTCAAAGTGATTCTCCTACCTCAGCCTCCCAAGTAGCTGAAAACAAAGGTGCATGCCACTGTACTAATTTTTAAAAAATTCATACAGAAGGGATTGCTCACCATGTTGCCCAGGCTGGTCTCAAACTCCTGGCCTCAAGGAATCCTCCTGCCTTGGCCTCCCAAAGTGCTGAGATTATAGGTATGAGTCACCATGCCCAGCATTATGATATATTTTATTAAACAAAATGGAGATTTATCTAAGTCATTTATGTTTTTCCTAATGCAAAGGGAATTTATTTTAGGGAACATTTTATTTTTATTTATTTTTTTTGAGATGGAGTCTCACTCTGTCACCCAGGCTGGAGTACAGTGGCGTGATCTCGGCTCACTGCAATCTTGGCCTCCTGGGTTCAAGCAGATTCTCCTGCCTCAGCCTCCTGAGTAGCTGGGATTATAGGTGTGCGCCACCACAGCTGGATAATTTTTGTATGTTTAGTAGAGACAGGGTTTTACCATGTTGGCCAGGCTGGTATCGAACTCCTGACCTCAAGTAATCCGCCTGCCTCTGCTTCCCAAAGTGCTGGGATTAAGGTATGAGCCACCACATCTGACCTATTTTAGAGAACATTTTAAATGAAATAAAAGCAATACTACTACCAATATGATTTTTTCCACTTTTACAGACTATGGACATTTTTGTACAATGCCAGTCATAAATAGTAAAAAAGATGGGACACTGCCGTTTGCATTCCTAGCCCACAGTCAAAACATTCACTAAAATACAGTATGGTAAAAATTGAGCTATTAAAGTCAAAACTGCTTAATAGTAGGACACCATTTCTTAGTGTCGTTTAAATATATTCTGGTCCCTATGTATGTAACTGCTTTAAAAAATTCAAAATGTCAGTAATTATAAACAAAATGTAGATTTCTCTCTCTCGCTCTCTTTTTTTTTTTTTTTTTTAAACAGAGTCTCGCTCTGCCAGCCAGGCTGGAGTGCAGTGGCTTGATCTCGGCTCACCACAGACTCTGCCTCCAGGTTCTAGCAATTCCCCTGTTTTAGCCTCCTGAGTAGCTGGGATTACAGGCACCTGCCACAACGCCTGGCTAATTTTGTATTTTTAGTAGAGACAGGGTTTCACCATGTTGGCCAGGCTGGTCTCAAACTCCTGACCTCAGGTGATCTGCCCACCTGGGCCTCCCAAAGTGCTGGGATTACAGGCATGAGTCACTGTGCCTGGCCGTATATTTCTTTTATTAAGCATCAGTATTAGCAATCTGATTAAAAGTTATTATGAAAACTCTTGACTCTTTGCTCTCTGTCAATGAGTAACATTCAAAATATTTTGGTTTTATAGCATGTTCCAAGAAAAATAAACCCTATGAAAATAACAATGTTAACAAACAAAATTCCATTTTACAAAGTCAATGTTACCAAGGAAGATACACTGAGGATTCCCTTTTATAAAGACAGACTCAAATAGAAAATGTGTGGACATAGCCGGATGTGCTGGTGGGTGCCTGTAGTCCCAGCTACTCAGGAGGCTGAGGCACAAGAATCTCTTGAACCCAGGAGGCGGAGGTTGCAGTGAGCTGAGATCACAGCACTGCACTCTAGCCTGGGCGATGAAGCGGGACCCTGTCTCAAAAAAAAAAGAAAAGAAAAAAGAAAAAAAAATGTGTGGACAAAATCAGTTTCTTAGCAAGGAGAAAACAAGAGTGCTTTTGTTTAAGCTTAAAAATGATTTAAGGCCGGGCGTGGTGGCTGAGCCCTGTAATCCCAGCACTTTGGGGGGCCGAAGTGGACGGATCACTTGAGGTCAGGAGTTGGAGACCAGCCTGGCCAACATGGCAAAACCCCATCTCTACTAAAAATTAAAAAAATCACTTTGGGAGGCCGAGGCAGATGGATCACAAGGTAAGGAGTTGGAGACCAGCCTGGCCAACATAGTGAAACCCTATCTCTACTAAAAATACAAAAATTAGCTGGGCATGGTGGCAGGCACCGGTAATCCCAGCTACTCGGAAGGATGAGGCAGGAGAATCACTTGAAGCTGGAAGACAGAGGTTGCAGTCAGCTGAGATTGTGCCATTGCATTCCAGCCTGGGTGACAGAGTGAGACTGCATTTTAAAAAAACAAAACAAAACAAAACAAAAACCCAAAAATTACCCGAATGTGGTAGTGCATGCCTGTAATTCCAGCTACTCGGGAAGCTGAGGCAGGAGAATTGCTCGAACCTGGGGGCGGAGGTTGCAGTCGGCCAAGATTGGGCCACTGCACTCCAGCTTGGGAGACAGAGCAAGATTCTGTCTCAAATAAATAAATAAATAAATAAATAAATATTTAAGAAAGAATATGGACAAATATATTTGTAGCATATTACTCCAAGCAAGGTTTCACAATGAGTTTCTACAAAGAGTTTAAAGATATTGATTTAATGTCATCTTTCTAAACTCTCTTTAAGAGACATAAACTTCTATCTACTGAAATCTTTAATAAATCCTAAGAAATGCCATGTGAACTGGAATTTGTATTGTAATTATTTGTATCAAGAGATCATGAGATACATAGTTTCAGTTGGAGAAGATGAACACTTCTGGAAAAGAATGGTGGTGATGGGCTGGGTGCAGTGGCTCACGCCTGTAATCCCAGCACTTTGGGAGGCTGAGGCTCATGGATCACAAGGTCAAGAGATCAAGACCATCCTGGCTAACACGGTGAAACCCCATCTCTACTAAAAATACAAAAAACTAGCCGGGCGTGGTGGCACGTGCCTGTAGTCCCAGCCAGGAGACTGAGGCAGGAGACTCCCTTGAACCCAGGAGGCTGAGGCTACAGTGAGCTGAGATCGCGCCACTGCACTCCAACCTGGGTGACAGAGCAAGACTCCATCTCAGAAAAAAAAAAAAAAAAAAGATTTAGTGGTGAATCTAATAACTACCCTCATTTGGAAGACAGTAATATTTCAAGATATCTGCTAGTATAATGTGATATAAAAATATTTCAGCCAGGTATGGTGGCTCCTGCCTGTAATCCCAGCACTTTGAGAGGCCAAGGCAGGAGGTTCATTTGAGCTCAGGAGTTCAAGTCCAGCCTGGGCAATATAGTGAGACCTTGTGTCTAATACATATTTCTACTGGGTAAAAAATTTCCAGGCACTGTTAATATAGTCAGCCCTCCATATTCATGGGTTCTGCACCCCCAGATTTAAATGACCACAGATTGAAAATATTTAGGAAAAGTAAAACAAAAAATGACAATATAACAATAAAAAATAATACAAATTTTAAAACAATATAGTCTAACAACTATTACATAGCATTTACATTGTATTAGATATTGTAAATATTCTAGAAATGACTGGCTACTCTGGGCATGCTGCCTATGGGGTAGCCACGCTCCGCAAGGAGCAGTAATAAAAAATAAAAATTAAAACAAATCTAGAGATGATTTAAAGTATATGGGAGGATCTGTGTAGGTTATATGCAAACACTACACAATTTTTTTTCTGATTTTATGTATTTATTTAGAGACAGTACCCAGGCTGGAATGTAGTGACTTGATCTCAACTCACTACAACCTCCCCCTCCTGGGTTTAAGCAATTCTCCTATCTCAGCCTCCCGAGTAGCTGGGACTACTGGTGCCTGCCACCACGCCTGGCTAATTTTGTACTTTTAGTAGAGACGGGGTTTCACCACGTTGGCCAGGCTGGTCTCAAACTCCTTGCCTCAAGTGATCTGCCTGCCTTGGGCTACCAAAGTACTGGGATTACAGGTATGAGCCACCATGCCCGGCCCACCTTTTTTTTTCTAATTAAAAAAATTTTTTTTCTTTTTCTAGTTTATGTGACTCTTTTTTAGATTTATTTTAATTTTAGATTCAGAGAGTACATGTGCATATTTGTTACATGGGTATATTGCATACTGGTGGGGATTGGGCTTTCAGTGTACCCATTACCCAAATAGTGAACACTGTACCCAATAGGTAATTTTCAACCCTCACTTCCCTCCCTCCCTACCCCCTTTTAAAGTCTCTAGTGTCTATTATTTCCATCTTTATGTCCATGCGTACCATTGTTTAGCTCCTACTTATTAGTGAGAACATGTGGTATTTGATTTTCTGTTTCTGAGTTAGTTCACTTAGGATAATGACCTCTGCCTCCATCCATGTTTCTGCGAAGGGCATGATATCATTCTTTTCCATATCTGGGTCCACCATTTTATTTATTTATTTTTGAGACATTGTCTCACTTTGTCACCAAGGCTGGAGTGCAGTGATGCAATAGTGGCTCACTGAAACCTCTGCCTCCCAGGCTCAAGTGATTCTCCTGCCTCAGCCTCTGGAGCAGCTGGGATTACAGGCATGTGCCACCATGCCCGGCTAATTTTTGCAATTTTTGTAGAGATGGGGTTTCACCATGTTGGCCAGGCTGGTCTCTCAAACTCCTGACCTCAGGTGATCCACCTGCTTTGGCGTCCCAAAGTACTGGGATTACAGGTATGAGTCACTGCACCAGGCCTATAACAATTTAATAATTTAAAAAAACAGTGATAGCTGAGACCCAAATGGGTTGGCATTATGTTAATGCTTTATATGCATGATCTCACTTAATCCTTTCAAACTCCCTCTGAAACGTAAGTCCTCTATCCAGAGGAAGAAACTGAGGCACACTCCCTCAGGGAAGTTACTCACTCAAGGCATTACCTACAGCAAGATGCTAGAACTCAGATCGGTCTGATTCCAAAGCTGTTATTGACTATAACTTTTTTTTTTCCTTTTTAAGTCAAATCACTCCTTGCTTGAAAACCTTTAGGATTTTAACGTATAAAAGAAAATTCAAATACTTTGGCCTTACATTTACTGCATTTCACAAACTGATCGCAAGGTCCCTTCCCAGCCTTCCACTTCTCACTTCATCCAAAGAAGTCTCCTTACTGTCCGCCTCTCTTATAAAATCCCAACCTAAATTGGTTCTTTTCCACCTAAGTTCCTCTTATAAGTTATACATAAGTTCTGCTTATGTATCTTTTCCTTATGTATCTTATACATAAGTTCTGCTTATGTATCTTTTCCTGGTCAACAAAATCTTCCTTTTCCTTTAGGCTCCAGTTCAAATTCCATTTCCTACATGTAACCCTTAACAGCTTTTTTTTTTTTTTTTTTTTTGAGACAGAGTTTCGCTCTTGTTGCCCAGGCTGGAGTGCAATGGCACGATTTCAGCTCACGCAACCTCTGCCTCCCGGGTTCAAGTGATTCTCCTGCCTCAGTCTTCCAAGTAGCTGGGATTACAGGCATGCGCCACCATACCTGGCTAATTTTGTGCTTTTAGTAGGGATGGGGTTCTCCATGTTGGTCAGGCTGGTCTCGAACTCCTGACCTCAGGTGATCCACCCGCCTTGGCCTCCCAAAGTGCTGGGATTACAGGTGTGAGCACTGCACCCGGCCGACAGCTCATTATCCTATACCCACATCGCATATGTCAGGAAATCCCACTGGCTATACCTTCAAAAAAACATCCAGAATCCAACATGTACCACCTCCACTACCATCTCTCTGGTCCAAGCCATCATCATCTCCCACTGGCTGTCTCTGCTTTTGCTCTTTTATAGTCTAGAATCTATTCTCAACCCAAATTCCAGAAGTGACCCTTTTAAAACAGAAATCAAAACTCTCCAATGAACCTTCATTTCCTCCCATGTAAAAACCAAAATTCTTTTATGTGCTCGACTGTGAACACCCGTAATGTTCTACACAACTGCTCTGCTCCCCAGCCTCTCTGATCCCTTTTGATTCTAGCCCTTGCTACCTTGCCACGCCCAGAACTCAAAATGCATGCTCATATCTTAGGCCCTTTGCACTGGCTGCTGTCTGCCTGGAATGCCCTTCCTCCAGATATCCTCAGGCTTAAGGCTTATTCAAGACTCTGCTCAAAGACAATCATGACCTACCAGACAATCTTCCCACACCCCAGCACTCCCCGTCTTCCTATCTTTCTATATGTTTACCCCATAACATACTACAAAGTCTACTTAGGTTTATTGTCTGTCTTTCCCAAGAGAACAGGGCTTTGGTCTTTTGCTCACTGCAGCATCCTGGGAGCCTAGAATGGCACCTGGCACACATTATGTGCTCAATAATATTTGCTGAATGGATAAATGAATAGATGCTCTCACACCACCTCAGTCAAAGGTTCTCTCTCCTTTGCTCTTGCTTGTACTAATCATTTGGCACTTACCATACACTGTTGTGTAGTTTTATGTGTGTACATATGATCCAACTGCCTAGATTATGTGTTCCTGTGCCCTCCAAATGCTTTACACCAATTTAGCATTTAATAAATATTTGATGATGAAATATCACTGCAGTGCCTTTTTATTTCAGAGTAGATAGTTATGGTAATAATTTTCAAAACAAGACATTCCGCTTAGAAAAGAAACATTCTAGAAAGCAATATGATGTAAGAAAAATATTAGAACATTTAATTTTAAAAGTTAATCTTAAAAGAATGGAACATATTTTAAAGGTGCATATACATTATACAAAATCCACATCATGCTCTGAAAATATTTATTCTGTGACTTTCACAGCCTCTTATGTCCTAAAGATATGCTTGAGAGTCAAGCTCAAGGTAATTTTTGATAGTAAGGTAATTTGAAACATAGAACATCTATTAAATAATAATTATATCTTGGGAATTTAGGTAATATATGACAGAAATAAAACAATGTGAAATAGGTTTTATGTCACATTTTATTTATAGATATTTATTTATTTATTTGAGACAGAGTCTTGCTCTCTGTTGCCCAGGCTGGAGTGCAGTGGCACGATCTCGGCACACTGCAACCTCCACCTCCCAGGTTCAAGCAATTCTTGTGCCTCAGCCTCCTGAGTAGCTGGGATTGCAGGCGTGCACCATTATGCCCAGCTAATTTTTATATTTTTAGTAGAGACGGGGTCTCGCCATGTTGGCCAGGCTGGTCTTGAACTCCTAACCCAGGTGATCCACCAGTCTTGGCCTCCCAAAGTGCTGGGATTACAGGTGTGAGCCACCGCACCCGACTTTTTGTCACGTTTTTAAATCTAATAGCAGAAAGTTTTGGAAAACAAGTTAGACAACTTTCTAACAATAGATGTAGATCTTTTCAGTTACCTTGACTGTCGTTCATGCGTAATTCTCTTTGTGAGTATTGGTGGAGAGATCAGTAAATAGACTCTTGCATGACTTATGGTAAGTTTCTTTTTTTTTTTTGAGATGGCGTTTTGCTCTTGTTGCCCAGGCTGGATTGCAATGGCGTGATCTTGGCTCACTGTAACCTCCGCCTCCCGGGTTCAAGCAATCCTCCTGTCTCAGCCTCCCGAATAGCTGCGATTACAGGTGCCCGCCACCACGCCCGGCTATTTTTTTTTTTTTTTTTTGTATTTTTAGTAGAGAGGGGGTTTCACCATGTTGGCCAGGCTGGTCTCGAACTCCTGGCCTCAAGTGATCCGCCCGCCTCAGCCTCGCAAACTGCTAGGAGTACAGGCGTGAGCCACTGTGCCCAGCCACTTACAGTAAGTTCTTAATTGATATGTCTAGCTTAGCCTTAAAACTTGACAATTCAAATGAAAAAAGAACAGAGAATAATATATTAGTACTTATAAAATATATAAAATAGAGCCAGGCATGGTGGAGTACACCTGTAGTCTCAACTACTTGGCAGGGGAAGCAGGAGGATTACTTGACTCCAGGAGTTCAAGGTCATGGGTACATAGCCAAACACACACACACACACACACACACACACACACACACACACACAGAGTAAGTGAATTTTGTCCGGCATTAAGTATTTTATGTAACAGAATATGTTCTGCATTTCTAAGTTAAAGCACTTGAGCCTTTTTTTTAAACAACATGGTTACCCAAATGTCATTTTTCTTTGTATTATTCTCTTTTGAAATTAACTGTCAGATTGCTTTATCTCTATCACACATGCTGTAAAAAAATAAATTCTAGGTACATCATGTGACATATAAAGTCAGATTTATAGTAGCTAGGAGCGGTGGCTCATGCCTGTAATCCGTGCTATCTGGGAGGCTGAGGCAGGAAGATGACTGTAGCTCAGGAGTTCAAGACCAGCTTGGGCAACACAGCGAGCCCCTGTCTCAAATTTTTTCTTTTAATCTGATTTATAAACAAGTAACATAGTTTTACATTTTAAAAATAAAAATAAAAATAAAAATAAAAATAAAAATAAAAATGTCATCTTGTCCAGGAGTTCGAGACAAGCCTGGACAACATGGGGAAACCCTGTCTCTACAAAAATACAAAAATTATCCAGGCATGATGGTGTGCACCTGTAGTCCCAGCTACTAGTGAAGCTTCAGTGAGCTGAGATGGGGCCACTGTACTCCAGCCCGGGCAACAGAGCAAGACCCTGTCTCAAAAAAAAAAAAAAAAAAAAAAAAGTCATCTTGAGGCCTACGCATAGAAGTAGCGCCAAAAACATCCCAGTTGTAAACCTTCATGTTGTGTGATTACACCTAGAGAAAAGGGGTTGACTTTCACAGATTTCTCCATCCTAAAACTCTCACAGATTTGGAGAATCACAATACAAATGGAAAATAAGAATAAACCAACCTGGTCAGGCGCGGTGGCTCACGCCTGTAATCCCAGCACTTTGGGAGGCCAAGGCTGGTGGATCACTTGAAGTTAGGAGTTGGAGACCAGACTAGCCAACTGGTGAAACCCCATCTCTACTAAAAATACAAAAATTAGCAGCCAGGCATGGTGGCTCACACCTGTAATCCCAGCACTTTGGGAGGCCGAGGCGGGTGGATCATGAGGTCAGGAGATTGAGACCATCCTGGCTAACACAGTGAAACCCCGTCTCTACTAAAAATACAAAAAAAAAAAAAAAAAAAAAAAAAAAAATTAGCTGGGTCTGTAATCCCAGCTACTCGGGAGGCTGAGGCAGGAGAATGGCATGGACCTGGGAGGCAGAGCTTGCAGTGAGCTGAGATCACGCCAATGCACTCCAGTCTGGGTAACAGAGCGAGACTCTGTCTCAAAAAAAAAAAAAAAAAAAAAAAAAAAAAAAAAAAAAAATTAGCTGGGCATGGTGGCATGCGCTTGTAAATCCTAGCTACTGGGGAGGCTGAGGCACAAGAATCACTTAAACCCGGGAGGTGGAGTTTGCAGTGAGCTGAGATTGTGCCACTGCACTCCAGCCTGGGCAACAGAGTGAGATTCCATCTCAAAAAATAAATAAAATAAACCAGCCAGCCAATTTCTTTCTCCTTTTTTTCTTTTTCTTTGTGACAGAGTTTCACTCTCGTCGCCCAGTCTGGAGTGCAGTGGCACGATTTTGGCTCACTGCAACCTCCGCCTCCCAGATTCAAACAATTCTTGTGCCTCAGCCTCCAGAATAGCTGGGATTACAGGTACCTGCCACCACACCTGGCTAATTTTTGTATTTTTAGTAGAGATGGGGTTTCTTCATGTTGGCCAGGCTGGTCTCAAATTCCTGACCTCAAGTGATTCACCTACTTCGGCCTCCCAAAGTGCGGGATTACAAGCATAAGCCACCACACTCAGCATCAATTTCTAAATATACTTATTTGCACTTCTAAAAAGTCTCAGGGTTAAATGAAATCTAGGCCAAGCGGAGTGGCTTACACCTGTAATCCCAACACTGTGGGAGGCTGAGGCAGGAGGACTGCTTGAGGCCAGGAGTTTGAGACCAGCTTGGGCAACATAGCAAGAACTCATCTCTACATTTAAAAAAAAAAAAAAATTAGCTGGGCATGGTGGTACATGCATGTAATCCCAGCTACTCAGTAGAGGCTGAGGTGAGAGGGCTGCTTGAACCCACGAGATGGAGGCTGCAGCTATGATCACGCCACTGGACTTCAACCCTGGGTGACCAAGATACTGTCTCAGAAAAAAACCAAAAATGTTCATAAGAAAAAAAGTTACAGTAAGCTAAGCTTATTATTGAGGAAGGAAAAATATTTTATAAGCTTAATGTAGCCTAAGTGTATGGTGTTTATTAAGTTCACAGTAGTGCACAGTGTCCTAGGCCTTCACATTCTTTCACCACTCACTGACTCACCCAGACCAACTTCCAGTCCTCCAAGCTTCATTCATGGTAACTGCCCTATACAGGTGCACCATTTTTTTCTTTTGTATCATATTTTTACTGTACCATGTTTAGATATGTTGATACACAAATACAGTTACAGTTACCTACAGTATCCAGGTACAGTCACATGCTGTACAGGTTTACAATACAGGAGGAATAGGCTATATCATATAGCCTAGGTGTGTGGTAGGTTATACCATATTGGTTTGCGTAAGAGCACTCTATGGTGTTTGTACACAATGAAATCACCTAACGATGCATTCATCAGAACCTATCCCTGTGATTAAATGACACATGACTGTATTTACTAAAAACCCATCAGAGGCCAGGTGCAGTGGTTCACACCTATAGTCCTAGCACTTTGGGAGGCCGAGGTGAGAAGACCGCTTGAGCCCAGGAGTTTGAGACACGCCTGTGCAACATAGTGAGTTCTCATCTCAAAAAACAAAAACAAAAACCAAACCCATTAGAACCCATCAGGGTCTCAAACAAGGTGAAGGTTTAACAAATATTATTTCTTTTCCCCCTCATTTTCTTCCCTGTGAAAATGTTTCCATTTCAGGCCAGGACACAAAGTTCAACTCCTAATGAAAAAAAGTGTCCTGGATTTGGGTTCAACTGAAATAAACCATTTCTAGAAAGGCAATATCTTTCATATCTTATTCTCTCACATTCTCAGACTCAGGGCTTTAATTTTAAGTAATGTTAAGTGTTTAATGTGTTTGCAAGATAAGAGAGCCAAATAACCCACAAAAACAGAACATGTTCGGTTTCACAACTTTATTAAAAATAAATTTATAAGTAAACAAATCGTAACTTTATAGATTAAAGTTGATTGGGATTAAGGAGAACCTGGGTATAAGAGGATCTGGTACAGAGAGGTCTCAGGATCTTTTCCTGAGTGGGAGTACATACGAGGTAGGGAAGAGAAAACAACAAACCAGAACAAAGTTGCTGCTCCCAGGTCCTCTTTCATCCTCCACCTTCCCACACAGCATTCTGACAGCCCCTGAGCTCTCCTCAACTGCACTACAAAAGGGCAGGCCACCCCCAGCACAGTCAAGTCCTGAGCTCCCTCTGCTTGTAGCCAGGCACCATGTTAGTGATTTCCACCTCAGGGCTTTCCTTTTAAAATCCACACCCCACATGCCTTTGCAGTCAGCTCTCTCACCTCTCCATACTCATTTCACTCTTCCCCAACTCCCCCAGCCCACCTTCTGCCAGCTCCTTCACTCACTGTATTTTCCTCTTCTACTATACAGAACATTATTCATCAAGCAAGAGCCATGCCATGCAGAAACGCATCTGGTATGCTACTTAAATCATGCCGTTTCACCCGTTTTTCCCCAGATTTGCTCCTCTCACCTTTAACTCAAAGCTATCTTTCTCAGTGAAGAATGTAGACAGCTATTTTGAATTCCATCATCTACTCCATTCTTATTTTCTCTAATCTCACTTTACGGTTATTGTTTAGCCTATTTGGGGAGCAGAGAAAACTCATGAAAAAGGGAATGACAGCAGACTCAAAGAGGAAAGAAAGGGGAAAAGAAGGTGGGGGGGGGGTGCTACATACTTCCATTTGACATTATTTAAATAAAAAATGATTTTCTCGGCAGGATGCAGTGGCTCACGCCTGTAATCCCAGCACTTTGGGAGGGAAAGGTGGGAAGACTGCTTGAGCCCAGGAGTTTGAGGCCAGCCTGGGTGACAAAGAGAAACCCCTGTCTCTACAAAAAAAAAAAAAAAAAAAAAAAAATTAAATTATCTGGGCATGGTGTTGCATTTCTATAGTCCCAGCTACTTGGGAGGCTGAGGTTGGGGGAATCCCTTGATCCCAGGAGGTCCAGGCTGCAGTGAGCTACAATTGTACCACTGCACTCCAGGCTGGGTAACAGTGAGAACCTGTCTCAAAAACAAACAAAAAATGAAACTCAATGCTTATTTCTCTCCTTCCCTGTTCTGTAATCAGACTTTTTTTCTCATCACGTGCACAGATCAGAATGTCAAATGCTATAAGCCGCCACACATTCAATGGTCTTGATTCTTTTTCTCACAGATCCCTCTACTAGTGTAAGATATTGCTGATCTCTAACAGAATACTGTTTTCCTTTTGATTCCCATCATTCTACTCTACCTAGGTTCTCCAAGTACTGAGTCAGCAAATGTTTACTGAGTGCTCAACTTGTTTTGAATGCTGTGCTAAAGGCTTAGAACAAAACAGTAAACATGGGAGCAAATAATGTAATATTCCCAGGTCCTATACTACAATCTCTACGTCTATAGGTGACTTATGCACCCTCAAGCTTGGTACCATGATAAGAAGAGATACTTTCTCTTTAGTTTCAGTAATCTGAAATTTCATTTCTAAAGCAATTTTCTTCCATATGCAAATAACACCTCTATCTGCCACAAATATTTAAGTGTTCATTCTTTTTTTTTTTTTTTTTGAGACAGTCTAGCTATGTCACCCAGGCTGGAGTGCAGTGGGAAGATCTCAGCTCACTCCAATGTCTGCCTTCCAGGTTCAAGCAATTCTCATGCCTCAGCCTCCTGAGTAGCTGGGATTACAGGTGTGTGCCACCATGCCTGGCTATTTTCTTTGTATTTTTAGTAGAGATGAGTTTTGCCATGTTGGCCAGGCTGGTTTTGAACTCCTGGCCTCAAACGATTTGCCTGCCTCAGCCTCCCAAAGTGCTGGGATTGTAGGTGTGAGCCATGGGCCCAGCCTAATTCATTTTTTACTATGGTAAAATATATGTAAGATTTACAATTTTAACCATTTTTTTCCAGGATTGGGAAAACCCTTTATTTCTCTATAGAGTTACTGAATTTTAAATATTTAAAAGTGTTTGGTTGAGTGGCATTACATACATTCACATTGCTGTGAAACCAAGAGCCCTATCCAGCTTTAGAAATTTTTCATCTTCCCAAACTGAAACTCTGCGCCCATTAACTCACTTTAAGCCAGTAATGATTTTCATGGCCCCCACTCTGATTCTTCTCTTGCTTTCCTACTCAGCTAACATTTCAAGGTTCATCATCAAAATCACCCCCTTGCAACTACTCTCAAGCCTCTGGCACTGCTTCTCCTCTGTCAAACCTGCAGGGCAAAACACGAATTTTGGGTGAACTGATCACCTGCCTGCTCTTCGCTGCCCTCATAACAGCTGAATGTTGCTAGGAGAAAAAAAAAAATCACACAACTAACTCAGCTGACTGGTTTCACCTTAAATTCATGGCCCCAAGCCACGGCAAGGGATTCAACAATGCCCAGCATTGAAACTACCTTGTTTCCCAGTTACTCAGTTCCTTGTCCTGTTGCTCAAGGTGAAGTGTCCATCTTTCCTGAAATTATCCACTACCCCTTCTTTGTTTAAGTCACCGGCCTTGCCTCAGACTTCACTGAGAAAACAGAAGCCGTCAGAAAGTTAAGTCCTATATTCTACCTCCAATTCACCTTGCACTTGTGCCCCCATTCTTTGTCTTCTGCCACACTGCGTTGTCTTGCTCCCACTAAAGGCAAGTGTTCTTCCTGTGTCTTGAATTCCTTAAGAATGCTGCTCCCGGCCAGGCATGGTGGCTCACACCTATAATCCCAACATTTTGGGAGGCCTAGGTGCGTGGATCACCTGAGGTCAGGAGTTCGAGACCAGCCTGGCTAACATGGTGGACCCGTCTCTACTAAAAATACAAAATTAGCTGGGTGTGGTGGTGCATACCTGTAATTCTAGCTACTTGGGAGGCTGAGGCAGGAGAATTGCTTGAACCCAAGAGGTGGAGGTTGCAGTGAGCTGAGATTGCGCCACTGCACTCCAGCCTGGGCAACAAGAGCAAAACTGTCTCCAAAAAAAAAAAAAAAAAAAAGAATGCTGCTCCCTTGGTAGTCTTGGTCTCTCTTCTGGATTAGTCTCACCTTCTCTATTAAATATTCTCATTAGCCTATCTAGTTCCCATTGTTTAAAAGAAAAGCCTTCTTCTTTACATAGGGAGACCCTGTCTCTATAAAAAAAATTTTTTTTTAATTAGTTGGGTTACAGTGGTGCACACCTGTGGTCCCAGCTACTCAGGAGAGGCTGAGGTAGGAGGATCACTTGAGCCCAGTAGGTTGAGTCTGTGGTAAGCCGTAATTTGCACCATTGCACTCCAACCTGGATGACTGAGTGACATCTTGTCTTAAAAAAAAATTAAAAAAAAAAAAAAGCCCTCTTCTTTGACCCCATCTCCCTCTGAAGCCACTAAGCTGCTTCTCTCCACTTTACAGCAGCAAAATTTCCCTAACGAGCTGTCGATATTCACCTCACTTCCTATTCTCTCTTCGAAGCATCCCAATGTGGCTTGGACCACTTGTCAAAACAGTCACCATCATGTTGTCAAATCCAAATAGACATTTCTCTATTCTCATTGTGTAACTTCTCAGCAGCATTTGACAGAGGTGACCATTCCCTCTTTCTTGAAAATAATAAAATACTCTCCCACTTTAATGGCTGAACCTTTTCAGTCTCCTTTGCCCAAGCTTTAGCCGTTGTTAGTGTTTTAGGGCTTTTTTTTTTCCCCACACAGAGCTGGCTGTGTGGGAGACCAGAGTTTTATTACTCCAGTCTCGCAGGGCTTGATCTTAAGGCCACAAACAATCTCAATCAGTTCCATGACATGCCATCTGTATACTAGTGACTCCCAAAATTTATGTCCAGTCTAGATCACTCCCCTCAGCTCAACTTAAATATTCAGTGCCTACTTAACTCTCCGCTTGGATGCCTCCCAAGTATTTACACAGAACTCTTGCTACCCACTCCTCTCCACCTGTTCCTCCTCCA